>NC_000007.14:159022908-159335973 GCF_000001405.40 Homo sapiens | reverse complement strand
CCCTAACCCTAACCCTAACCCTAAACCCTAACCCTAACCCTAACCCTAACCCTAACCCTAACCCTAACCCTAACCCTAACCCTAACCCCTAACCCCTAACCCTAACACTGTTAGGGTTATTATGTTGACTGTTCTCATTGCTGTCTTAGCACTGCATGGCAGTGTGGGGAATGCCGATCTTATATTAATATTTTGTTTTGAGGCAGTGCATTAGCATTACAGGTGCTTGTTACATGAGCAATGGGGTGTGTTATATTTTCGGTGTCATGTCTGCATTTGTAATGCTGCATTTGTGTTCCCACGCTACGGTGTGGATCTCCCACTGCTGCCGCCTCACCTTGGCTGGGGAGAATCTCGGTGCACAGGATTCAGACGGGCTTTTGGTTTCCCGTTTTCCACACTGAACCCTTCTAACTGTTCTCTGACCCTGAATATTCAGCGCTGCAAACAGAAAGGATTGTATTCACCATCAATGAAGCCCCGAGTCGTGTCAAAGCGAGGCAGTGCCCCCAAGGTCTGTGCTGAGGAGAACGGTGCTCTGCCTTCGTGGTGTCTCCTGGGTCTGTGGTGAGCAGAACGCCGCTCCGCCCTCGCGGAGCCGCCGTCCCACCCGACCGCCCGCGTCTGTGCTGAGGAGAATGCTGCTTCGCCTCCGTGGTACCCCAAAAGGCTGTGCAGAGGAGAACGCAGCTCCGCCCTCGCAAAGGCGCCCCGCGCCGGCGCGGGGCGCAGAAAAAGATCTATGGCAAGTAAACGTGCAAAAAGACGCTCAACATACTAGAGAATTGAAAACCACAATGAGATAGCACAGCTACTCTATAGCTCTTAGAACTGCTAAGCTCTTTAAAAAATGACAAATTGCTGCAGGAAAAACAAGAACTCTTTTCGTTGCCTGTGGAACACAGTGTATAAGACCAAAATATGCCACCCCAAAATATAATGGTAGGAAACCAGAATATGCTGTCCCAAAATATGTCCCTTTGGCTTAAGAATTATTCCAAGCTATTTTAAAAAAAATGCTAACAACGTTCTGAAAACAGAGTAGAAGTTACCCTTGTGTAAGGAAAATTTACATCTATAAAGGAAATCCCCATTTAAAAGCTACCTCTGTCAACATCAAGAAGAGAAGGATAAGTAAATCACTAGAGTCTTATCAATGGAGAATGCATAGACTTCAGTCTGTATAACAAACCTTACCCTTGTCTACTGTGCTTTTGCTAGTTAGATCCCCACTACTGCACCTCAAATCTTCTTTCTTTAAGTTGAAGATAGTATTTATGCTTGAATTGAAAGCCACCTGTTGCAGATTTACTCGTTTTTTCCTGAGTATCTCCCATGTATCCATAAGGTATACATGTTTCTAAACTTTTCTATTTTTCTAATTTTAATCCGTCAGTTTTTACAGAAGGTCCCATCTAAGAATTCTGAAAACATAGAAAATTATTTTTCCTCCCCTATTACAAGTTGGGCATTTTTTCCCCAAAGCTAAACAAGTCTCACCTTACAATCCAAAAATCACATTCCTAAGTATTTTGACAACTACTTTGATGTTATTTCCAATCAAAAGCTACCATGCCATTATTTACATAAGCCCTATTCATAATGACCAGAGGAAAAAAAGGGAATCAGAAAGTCTTAACAATAGATGACTGTGTGGGAATCTACTCTGACATCAAAAATTGTTACACAGATTATTTAAATGAAAACATTTGAGATACTGAAGATAAAGGAAGAAATCATACCAGAACTTACTTTATCCAATTAAAGCAGAGCTCCCAGAAAAATACAGCTGCATTAACCCCATCCAAGGAGTTTCTTGCAAATTCAGCTGCCATGAAGACAGTGTACTCTTTCCCATTAGCATTGATAAATGAAAATGAAATCCTAAGCTCCCAACTGACTGAACAGACCCACTCTTGGCTGAGGGGACCCCAGAGTAACTTTCAAAACTGAGTTCTCAGCTTTGCTAGGATGGGATGATGGGGGTCAGATACACATCGTTATACCCCCTCCTTTGCTAACCATGATGAGGCTTTCTTCCCTAAGGATTTAACAGAAACCAGCCCTTCCAAAGGCTACACCACTGATATCAACCTCTCCTTTCTTGCCTGATAAGAGACCACCCATGATGGAGAGGTTCTGGCCAGCATACAGAGGATGCACCGAGCGAGTTTTCATGTACTCTGCTTCACCTTTTAATGTCAGAGGGCTGAAAACTCCACCATGGGATCATGCTAACACCGCCATTTTTTGTACATGGGACCCATGAAGAAGCAAGAAACTCAATTGCGCATGCATGCATTTCTCCTTCCATAAATATTCATGACTCCTCCTAGAGCATATTAAATAAATGTATTTGGCCATTCCACTCAGCATAAATTACTATTATGCTTCCTCTTAGAGGAAGAAAACCTGCAGGGAGGTAACATCCAAAGGAGAGATGCTGAGGGCTGAACCAGAGAAGTAGTGGTAGGGAAATGGGGAAGGGGACAGGCTAGGAAATACTCAGAAATAGAACTGAAGATGCTGGTGACTGATCAGGTGTTAGAGAGGGAGGCCTAGACCCTTAATCCAAACCTCATGGATTAAGTTTGAAGGGCCTGTGGATCATTTAGCTGGGGAAGTCCAGGTAAAGAAGAAGTTATAGGGGAGCTCAGAGCAGGGCCTGGGCCTCCAGCCTCTTCTGGACAACAGCCATGTAGAGCCAGTGAGCTGAGGGCTGTGAGGAGCAGGGTGGAAGGTAGGGAGGGGTTACATGAAGTTGCATAAGGGTTATTTTCTTTGTAGAATTTTTTTAAGATAGGAAAACATGACAGTCTTTATAAATTGGAAGAAAAGTACAAGTTGTGAAAGGGAGAGGTTGAATCCAGAGAGGGGAGGAGTAAATTTGGAGAAGAGAGACAGTGCTCAGGTGAAATGGGAGGTGAGTGGAGAAAGCTGTGTAGATGTAGATGAGTTTGCGGGGAGGGGCAGGAGGTGAGAAAGCCTCTTTCTTTCTTCACAAAGCAGGACACTTCTTCAGATCTCATTTTCAGTTTTGCTTCTTTTAAATTATTATTCCTATTTTCAAAGCAAGCTGAAACTTCACTCATGAGATTGTTCTTTTCCCAGGAGTCATTGCAAGGTGAATGTTTACAGCTAATGTCAAAGATCTCTTGAGCCTTGATAGCTAGTCTGTATTTGGCAAGACTTCAATGTTAGAAGATTTAAGATACTTTTAGTCTGAGTAACAATCACAATTAACTCATTTAGCCTGGCTTAGGCTGATTTGGAGGAGATGGAAGTAAAGCTTCAGTTCAAGACTCACCTTCTTCATCGAAACTTCTCCAATTCACCCCATTCTTCACTGGGCTACCTCTTCATATAACTGTTATCATCCCTCCATAATCTGATAGGTCAGTCAGCTGGGTAACAATCAACCTTAAAATTTTAATGTCTTGTGACCACAAATTTAGTTTTTTTTTGCTCATGAGTTTCTGGGTCAGCTGAGGTTTGAGGGTCTTCACTCGGCTCGTCTGGTCTTAGATCCAGGTTCAGGTATGGCCCAGGCATGCTCTATCTGTCTTATTCTGAGGCTCAAGCTGAATGGGTTACAGATACCCAGGAGTAACTGGTGATGACAAAGCAGGAGAAGGCAAGGGCAGCCCCACAAACATTTCAAGACCTGCTTGTGTCAAATCCACTATCATTCCTTTGGCCAAAACAAGTCACATGGTCAAGGAAGTATACTCTGTCCAACCACAGGGAGTCACAAACTGGGTCTAACAATTCGGTCTGCAACCCCTGGCTTGTCAGTAATCTCACCTGAGAATCTGTCAGTTACCTGCTCCATATATACACATGAGAAAAAATTGTAGCTTATCCTTCTCCTGATTCCACTGTATTTAGAATAGAAACATCTTGGGACAGGGCTTGGATTCAAAGATTGGCCCCATCACCAGGATACATCATTTGTTCTTTGGCAGATCTCTTTCCTCTTCTGCCAAATGGGAAATAAGAATTCTGTGAACAGATATGATAGAATACACATATAAAGACATTGGTCAGATATGATGTGTATGGAGATGAGAAGACAGTTGTTTAACAATATTTTAAAACTTAGGGTTTATTCATGACCATATCCAATTTCAAACCAAGCCATGCATTTAATCTTGATTTGCTAAGAAAATTTGCAAACTAAGCTGGTATTGATTTTTGTGGTTAGGGAGACTAGAAAACCAGTAACTGTGTTCTCATCGTAACCAAGCTTAGCATATTCACCCCAAGGCAAAAAAAAAAAGTTCCAGAGTGGGGTCAGTGGCTTTGCATAAGCATGGACTGTGCAGAGTGTATCTTCCTCCACCAAGTGGCACATGGTTGACTCTTCACTTAAAGGAGACATACTCAACAATGTGTGTCACACTGTGGACTCTGCCCAGTGTATACTGTACACGTGCATTCAAGAGAAACAAGGTTTAACCAAATGCATTCAACAGCAGATATTTGAAGCTTACTTGAAAAAGCCTCAGACTGCTCACGACAGGTGCTGGCTGTTGAATGTTGAGACAGAATTTTCAAAACCAGATGCAAACTAATCCAGTCATCTGACACTTGGTGTGGCTTGAAAAAAAATATACTGATCTGGTCTTAATTTTGATCATTTCTTTCAAATGTGCTATTTTTATTTTCTCATTCACCTAAACATTTCCACTTCCTTCTGCTGACATTAAGGGACAGAGAAAGGTATCTGTTGGTTGTTAGGCTCAGAATTCCATTCATCTAAAAGCCAGCTAAGCCCTAGCTAGATGCAGACATGGAGGACGGTTGACCCATGCAAAACTTCTCTTGGGAGTCCCATTTAATACTCATCAGTCTTCTTGTTGCCTGCTTCTAATTCTGCAGGTCCTCCTTGGTTTCTCTTTAAGCCAGCACTTATTTCCATGGTGGGTTGGAGTGAGGAACAATGTTGCAAAGGCAATTAAAACGTTGACAAATTGGGGCCACATTTTGTTTATAAATAAAATAAATTTCTGTGAATAGCATCCAAAGTTTCTCAGTTACTAAAGAACTCAGATATTGGGAGGCTGCTAAATTACGGTAAGTGCTAAAATATCTGGCCGATTCGATTTGTGACTTGAGGGGAAAAGAGACATGCAGTTAGAGATATTTTCAGATTTGGTATTGAGGTTATCACTGTCAGAGAAAAGGAAGCTGAAATTAATTATCTAAGTGACAAGAAGCCACTTAGATACCGAGGCAGAGAATAGCCTGCTGAGGCCAATAGACAGAATCCAGCTTTGTCACCAAAATGGAGAATGTGTAAGATGAGGCACAGAAGAGTGGTGGGGCCGGAGAAAACACAGCAGAATGTGGCTGACAGGATCTTAGGAAGACGAAGTTATGAGGTGCTGAGCAGAGACAAGCAGGAAGTAGCCATGCAATTATTTTACTATCTGTTATCGGTTATTTGTTTAAGTGTACCTGGATTCAACAGAGTAGTCAAATCCATCCCTTTCATCACTAAACACTGAGATTTCCACTGACTTCTACCTACCATAACCAATTTTCCTGGAATTTATCAAATATTCTTGAAAATCTACTGCATCAACATAAATTTGTAGAAAAAAGATGTTATTTTCTAATATACAAAAACTTCATATCTTAAAATGTATTTAAAAACTCCAAATATTTATAAACTCCTGTTCTGGGGTCATTTGTTTTCTATAATAAAAAACAGTGAAAAGAACACTGTGTAAGGGTGAATAAGCCCAGGTTCAAGTCCTGCTGCTATTAATTGGGGTGTTGGATAGAACACAGCTCTCCATGTATCAGTTTGCTCATTTGTGAAAAAAAAAATCACAGCAGATGATTTCTAAGGTTCCACCCAACCTTAAAATGTTAAGATTCCAGGAAAATTTTATGTTAATAACATTTCTTTACTGGGAAAACAAAAATTTTGGCTTGCTCTTTTGACTGGGGATTTGGTTTAGCAAGAATATTATTGCTCATCCTTTGAGAGTGTGAAGCTGTCAGGTAAACATCAGGAAAAATTTTAAAACAGAAAATTAATCAGGGAAAGAAAATACTTGTCAGGTGTTTTAGAATCAGAGAAACCCTAGTTTACATAATAAAGCATCACATAAACTGGCAGCAAGACTGTCCCACAATCCACAAAGGAGAGAGCTTTAAGGATATAGCCATGAAAATTGCAAGCAAAATAAGAAATGAAACTTAGTTTTCCTGACGATATTCTTTCCAGTATCTCTAAGACAGTTCCTTAACTTCCAGTTATGTTTATTAATAGTTACTGAGACTTTAAACTATCTGGAAACCTAAAGTTCTTTGGTGACTTCCATTGATGTTACTGGATGGCCCAAACTTTTCAAGCCGATGGTTCATGGCCCATCATGAGCTTACCACTGTCTATCCTCCATCCTGGCATTGACTCTCGTCTTCTCAGGCTGGTCAAGTGCATTGCACTTCTACCCACTCATTCCTTAAGTTTCCCTCTGTCTCTGTGCCCTCATACTTGTGACAGAATGCTTTCTCTTTCCTTAAGAAAAACAGCTAAGTGGGGAGAAGGGGGGACCAACACCCCCCTGAGCATACTCTTTAAAACAGGTCAAGTGTTGATTGGTAAGACTATGACAAAAAGGTGTTGAAGAAGCTGTGGGAAGACAAGATCACTTCTCTAAAATGGTGGCCACATTGTAGGGGCTTTAATGCTCCACACTGTAGGAGTATTTTAGGTGCTCCTCCCTGTGTCCCCAGTGATGACAGAATCTGGTGGTGCCTCCACACTTCACCCTTTCCTGGGGCAGGATATATGATTGGGCATCCTCAAGGGGATTTGACCTTCATATTATTGGGGAAGGGCCTGGTCTCAACAGAGCTTAATCAATAAGCAACCGTACTCTTTCTCAATATGCTATAGTATGCTATAGGTCCAACATTATATACACATTATTGTGTATGGTTACTTTTTATTTATTTTTTATTTTTTGAGACAGAGTCTTGCTCTGTCACCCAGGCTGGAGTGCAGTGGTGTGATCTCAGCTCACTGCAAGCTCTGCCTCCTGGGTTGAAGCAATTCTCCTGCCTCAGCCTCCTGAGTAGCTAGGACTACAGGCACCCACCACCACGCCCAGTTAAATTTTGGATTTTTAGTAGAGATGGGGTTTCACGGTGTTAGCCAGGATGGTCTTGATCTCCTGACCTCGTGATCCACCTGTCTTGGCCTCCCAAAGTGTTGGGATTACAGGCATGAGCCACCGTGCCCAGCCTGTGTATGGTTACTTTTTAAATAATTTATGAGAATACAGGAGAAAAAGTATGCATTTATGTATTTTTTAAAATAATTACATAACTTTTACTGGTGTGTGTGTGTGTGTGTGTGTGTGTGTGTGTGTGTGTGTTTGTGTGTGTGTGTATGTGTGTGTGTTCAAATTACTATACAGAATCACTTGATTTCAGCCTGTAGAACTTCCTTTAGTATTTCTTATAAGGTGGGTCTGCAAGTAATAAATTATCTGTTTTTGTTTATCTGGGAAAACCTTTATTTTTACTTCAGTTTTGAATAATACCTTTGCTGGATATAGGATCCTTAGTTGACAGATTTTTTACTTTGAAAATTTTGAATATGCTATCCCATTGTCTTCTGGCCTCCATCTTTTGTGATGTGAAGTCAGCTGTCAATCTTACTAGGATTCCATTATAAGTAATGAGTCATTTTTCTTTGCTGTTTTCATAATTTTCTCCTTATCTTTGGCTTTCAGCATTTTTACTATGATGCATTTGTTTGTGGATCTCTTTGAGTTTACCTTACTAGGAGTTTATTGAGCTTTTGGAATCTGTTGGTTATTGTTTTCCAAAAAATTTGATATTTTTTTCCACCCTTATTTCTTCATATATTTTCTCTGGTCCCTTCAGTCTCTCCTCTCTTTCTAGTAATCCTAATAAGCATATATGTGTGCCTGATGGTGTTCCACATTTCAGTGAGGCTCTGTTCATTTTTTTCTTCATTCTTTTCTCCTCTCTATTTTTCAGCTTGCATAACATCTATTAATCTTTTTTTCAAATTTGCTTCTTCTTTTTTTTCTGCTAGTTCAAACCTGTTGAGTCCCTACAATAAGGTTTTCATTTCAGTTGTTGAATTTCTCAAGAATTTCCATTTAGTTCTTTTTTTATAATTACTCTCTTTATTGATATTCTCAATTTGATGCAATATTATTATCATACCTTCATTTACTTCTTTTTTTTGAGACAGGGTCTTGCTCTGTCATCCAGGCTGGAGCACAATGGCATGATCATAGCTCACTGCAACCTCCACCTCTTGGGTTCAAACAATTCTCATGCTTGAGCCTTCTGAGTAGCTGGGACTACAGACAGGTACCACACTGGGCTTTTTTTGTATTTTTAGGAGAAATGAGGTTTCTCCATATTGACCAGGCTGGTCTCAAACTCATGGCCTCAAAAGACCCACCTGCTTTGGCATCCCAAAGTGCTTGGATTACAGGCATGAGCCACCACACCGAGCCCATTTACTTCTTTAATCAAACTTTATGTCTAACTTAGAGTCTTTTTTTTCTGTTAAATCATACAACTGGTCACTCTCAATGGCAGTTTCTTCTCACTCCTGCTCACCCCCTGCCCGGTATATGGGACATACTTTCCTGTTACATGGCACACTTTATAATTATTGTTGTAACTGGACATTTTAGATAATATATTGTAGCAACTCTGTGTACTGATAATCCCCCTTGGAGCTTGTTACTATTATTTAATTATTTGTTTAGTAATTGGCTGAATTATTTTAGTAAAGTCTATTCACTCCTGTAAGGTACATGGATGTGCTTTGGTCAAGGAACAGGCTGAGGCGAATATCCAGGCATGCATGACTCAGTGAGTTTGGAACACAGGCGCACACCTCCACTTATTATACAACTGCTTGTGTAAGTTCATTCTTGGCTCGAGCCACTATTGTCTGATAAAGGTATAATTGCCCTGCTGACACTGTGTATAGAGCTCAACATGGCTCATGTGCAAACACTCACACACAAAGAGAAGGAGAGAGCCAAAGCTGTCCATCTTGCAGATGGACAGGAGGGAGCAAGGACACAGCTCAGCTTGCTCATGCCCAGAGAGAGAAAGAGTTCAGCTGCTGACCTTGAAGGCAGCAGGTTGGTAGGTTGGTTGCTCGGTTGGTCGGTTTGTTGGTAGGTTGGTAGGCTAGTAGGCTAGTAATTACTGCTATTACTATTACATCTGTCATTTTTTTCCTTTCCCTTGGCACACTTGATTTTTAAATGATGCAGACTTTGTGTCTTCCTGCAGCAGTAGACTTCCTGTCTCCTTTAAAACTTTTTCAAAGGGAAAAGGGGGAAGACGGGCTTGTGGCTCCCCAGAGAAGTCAGCTGTAGATGCTGCCTAATGTCAAATGCCAGCTCCCTTAGACTCAGTCACTGTGGACTCCCCTGCAGCACTTGGCGATGACTATTCCCTCTTTCAGAGTTGCCTCTTTTGGGATCCGGGACCCGGCACTCTCCTGTTTTTCCTTCTACTTTCTGGCAATTCTTCTCTTTAAGCATCCTCTGTGGGCTCCTCTTTTTTTCTGTCTGGTCCTCTTCAATTTCCCTCCTGCCAAGACTTGGTGGTCCGTAGGGTCCTGCCCTCTGCTGTCTTCTCTTCTCTGCATAGTTCATCAGCCTCTAAGAGCCCCACAGTGCAGGTAAGCACTGAGGATAACATAAGTCACACAGGTGTGTATGCTTTGTAAGGTATACAGGGGAGTCACATCATGCATGCATTTGACTGTTTATGCACAGCAAAACAAAATCTAAACAATGTGTATGTGCCCAGAAAGAACAAGATGAGAGGTGACAATCTGTCATGTGCCAGGTTATCTCAGGATGCATCAGGCCCCCAGGAGGCACCATTTTTGACTGAATATAGTTGAGATAAGGGTGTGCCACACAGCCTACCCAAGCCAAACTACTGCTCAACTCATGAAGCAGCAAGCTCCTTAGATGTGAGGGGGAAATTTGCCTGCAATGGCATGATTCAGAGAAATCTACCTCTGTGTCATCAGAACTTACAGGTGATATAAGGAACCCCACAGCCTGTAATTTTGGCTCTTTGAGATGACTTGAGACCTTAACCCAGAATAAGATGAAACACCTCCCACCTAGTCCCATAGATGATCAGAAGTTGTGATAGTACAGGAAAGATGAAAACAGCAAATCCGAAGTTTTGACTAAAAGAGTATGGGAAAAGGATCTTACTCAGAATCGAGGTTTCTTTTAAAAGATAGTTGTGAGTTGATTATTATCCTGAGCTACTTATTCAGATCACTCCTATTTCCAGCCCCCAGGTGGAAATTCCTGTGGGTTTCCCAACATCCTACCCACAACCAAGAGCAACTGTGTTATTTCTGTGAGGTCCAGACATAAATGTACCTCTTCTCTCTGCATTTTTTCTTACCTTTGTGTTTATATTTTTAAGTTTGGAAATGCTCTATTACCTCAGGATGCACTAGGCCAAATTAACAGAACATGCAAGGCTGACAAAAGAAACAAACAAGGCAATCAACGAATGCTAAGTGAACCACAAAGATGGCTTTTCTCCTTAGGGGCATGTTGGCTTGAAAGAAAGTTGTAACATATTCTGGAAACAGGAACAAAATAACTCTTCAAAACTCCCAGACTAGAACTCAGGTGCTGAGAAAGAGGTTTATGCTTAGGGGAGAAAAAAGAAACTAAGCTCCAGATATTTATGCTAAGCAAGATTAGGGCAATATGGTTTCACAAAAATACACTGATGGGAATAGAGTATGTCTAGTACATTGGTAGTCTTCTGCTGTATGAGATGACTCCTCAAATCACTTTCTGTACCAGCCTTCAAAAAGATAGGCCAGAATCCCAGAGGTTCAAAAGTTAGTCTGTTTGAAAAGATAAAGGGGAAGTCAAAAGGTCTGAGAACCAAGAAAGCTGATGGTGTAACTCACAGTTTGAGGCCAAAAGTCTGAGATATCGGAGGCCACTGATGTAAGTCCTAGAGACTGAAAGGCCTAAGAACCTGGAGTCCTGATGTCCAAGGGCAGAAGATGGTGCCCAGCTCAAGGAGAGATAACAAATTTGCCTTTCCTATGCCTTTTGGTTCTATCTGGGTCTTGATGAATGGGATGGAGCCATTCACATTGTGGGAGGATGGATCTTTACTCAGTCACTGATTCAAATGCCAGTCTCTGCCAGAAACATGCTCACACATGCACCCAGAAATAATACCTCACCAGCTATCTGGACATCCCTTAACCCAACCAAGTTGACACCTGAAATTAACTATCACATATAGTTCCACAGGTGAGAAGGGGTGAGAAAATTAAAGGCCAATGTTGTCATCTTGATTCAAAGAAATAACAGGCAAATCATAGAAATGAAAGACTGTGGCTAAAATAGAGTTATAGCTTAGTGTTTTTACAAGATTTGAATTTAAATACTTTTGGGGTGTGAACCCCAAAAATTTGAGACAGGTCTCAGTTAATTTAGAAAGTTTATTTTGCCAAGGTTGAGGACATGCATCAACTGACATATACTGACGACATGTGCCCAAGGTGGTCAGAGCACTGTTTGGTTTTATACATTTTAGGGAGATACAAGACATCAATCAACATATGTAAGATGAACATTGATTCAGTTTGGAAAGGTTGGACAACTCAAAGCACAGTTGGGGGAACTCAAAGCAGGGAAGGGACTCCCAGGTCATAGGTAGATAAGAGACAAATAGTTGCATTCACTTGAGTTTCTGATTAGCCTCTCCAAAGGAGGCAATCAGATATGTATTTATCTCAGTAAGCAGAGGGTAACTTTGAATAGAATGGGAGGCATGTTTGTCCTAAGCAGTTCCCAGCTTGACTTTTCCCTTTAGCTTAGTGACTTGGGGGCCCCAATATTTATTTTCCTTTCACAGATGGTAAAAAAACTAATGAAAATTACATAACTCCTTCACTCCAAATTATCTTCTGTTCATTGTTGAACAGTGAGTGCACAGATACAATTACTAATAATATTGTCTTCTTAATTTTTTGCTCAACATTATCTCATACGGCATTTACACGATTATATGATTGACTATTTAATCTTTTTTTTTTTTTTTTTTTTGGAGACAGAGTCTCGCTCTGTCACCCAGGCTGCAGTGCAATGTTGCAATGTCGGCTCACAGTAACCTTCACCTCCTGGGTTCCAGAGATTCTCCTGCCTCAGCCTCTGAGTAGCTGGGATTACAAGTGCCTGCCACCACACCCAGAAAATTTTTCTATTTTTAGTAGAGACAGGGTTTCGCCATGTTGGCCAGGCTGGTCTCGACCTCCTGACCTCAAGCGATCTGCCCACCTCAGCCTCCCAAAATGTTGGAATTATAGGTATGAGCCACCATGCCAAGTCAGCATTTCTTTAATATTGGACATTGCAGTTTTAATTTTTTCTTTAATAAGTTATACATAACTTTCTTTTGGGATTTTCTTTTAATTTTTTTTTTGTACGTGCAATACAGTTCAAATGACATAAACAGTTTTACTTTATATAGTGCTAGACTTCCTCTCAGAAACATTAATGTTACTGAGAATGTACAAACATGCCTCCATGTTTACAAACATGTTATTTTATCATTCTTACTTACATGTGCTAGTTTAGGGAATAATTGTTCATAATTTTTAGTTATTCTCATTTCTATTTCTTTATCCCTCCCTGGGAAGGCTGTGAGTCCGAGGTACTATTGGGAGTGCATCATTTTCTCCTCTTGGCAGAAAAGCCATTCTCCTGCAACTGGGGAGGCCATTGACCTGGAAGGAGTCCATGGCTTCAAGAATGAGTATGAGCCCATTTCAGCCCCCATCCCAAGTCTCCACGCCCTTGTGAGTCTCACTGGTGCTGCTCCTCCATCTGGTGCTATTCCTGGACCAAACTGGGGATCGGACCGCTATTTCTGGTTGCCCAATAATAAGATGCAGATGAACTGCGGAGGAAGTGAGTTTTTATTTCTGTAACCAGTTACATGGAGAAGGCCTGGAAAATATCTCCAGACCAACTCAAAATTACAAAGTCTTCCAGAGCTTATATATATTCTAAGCTATATGGCTATGTGTAAATATGCATTCATCTAAAGACATAAGTGATTAACTACTTTAAATCTATAACCAAGATCCGAGTCTTGAAGACCTCCCCCTGGAGCTTCAGTAAATTTACTTAATCTAAGTGGATCCAGGTGGTGGGGTGATTACCCTTATTTTGTCTCCTGCTGAATTATGGAGATTTGGGGAGTTCCTTCACAGGACCTGAACACAGTTCTGTTTGTTTGATGATACTCACCACTATCCTGGAGACGGACAACAGAAGCACCTGGACGGGCTCTGTTCATTTGGTGATGCTCGCCACCATCCAGGAGACTGAGAGCAGCAGCACCTGGACAGACTGGCCAGGGCCTGAGATCTTCCACAGCCTGGTTCCCAGCTTGTCACAACTTATAGGAGGAAAACAGGCCCCTTACAGCAGCACACTTATGACAGGGTAGACCTTTTACTTTCTGGAATTTTTTGTAAAGTTTATGGAATAATCAGAAAATGTAGATTTGCCTGTTTCCTGAATTTTTTTTTGTTCTGTGGCACTCATATTTTTTAAGGTGAAGAAAGCACAGAGTGGAGGCAAAGATAGGACACAAAAGACATATTTGTCAGCAATACCCAACGCAGCTGTTTTCAGTTTAAATTCTTAGAGTTTTTAGACAAACTATTATTGAGAAGCCCAATGTATAAGACTTAAGAAAATATAAAAGGGCTGGGACCCTAGAGTCCTGCTACCTCACTCCTCTGAGCCCTGATGGTTTCTCAGGGAAGAGTTTGAAAACCACAATCCTGTTGTTTTCCTTTTTATCTTTCATTTTAAATATAATTGTTTAGAATTATGTTAACCCATTTTATTTTGGTTGTGAAAAGATAGTGAACTAATGACTAATAGTTGACTATCCAGTTCAACTATTTCACAGATAACTTTGCCAAATTCACAGAGTTTGTCAGTGATAAAACTGGACCTGGGACCCAGGTTCCCTGACGTGCAGCCACTGAATATCCCACAATTCCTGATGTCCATTAGCTTTGACTGAAAAAAAACCCACATAATTTATTGGGAAAAAGACCATAGTAAACTCCAGTTTTAGTCATCTCTATTTCAAAATTTGTAATTATGTCTTCACTGTAGTTATAAATTCATCTTAGTTGTTTGTTGGTTGTATTATACTTTTGTTGATATGCTTTTCTGATCTTCATTAAGGTGATGGCCAGTCATAGATTATTGTTTACAGCCAACACCATAATTGTCTATTTTAATAATGGTAAATAATGAAACCCAGTGCAAATCTGTCAAAGCACAGGCCATTTGACCCAGCCTTGCAACCCCCATAGCTACATTTTCAGTCACGTGGACTGACAGGTGGTTACACTTCACACTGAATATACACAAATGCATGACTGACACTTCCCATTTGGGCCTCCCAGGGTGACTTGTTCTGGTTTTCACCTTCCCCACTTGATCTTATGTAGTAAGGAGGCAAGAAATGCCCAAGCAACTCAAATTCTGTTTTACCTGTTTGAACCATAACTATTGAGACAGACTGAAGTGTTTGAAGGAATGACATAGAAGGTCTATGGATTTTTGCGTGGTGCATGTGATGCCATCAAATTAGATTCCTCCCTTGTGTGTCCATAGACCTGTGCTTTAAAAGACCTTTCAAATGGAGAAAAACAAAAACCATGGGTGGAGATGCTGCGAAACAGCTCTGCTCAAACAGGCTTCCATCCCTGCTGCACAGCTCTCCCAGCCTCTTCCCTGCTCTATTCTCAAGGTCTTGGCCCTCAGCTCAACAACTCATTCTTGCAAGAGTCAGCTGAATAATTAGCAATGCCAAACAGAGTGAGTCATGGGAGGTAGCTGCTTCTCAGGAATATCTGTGTTCTGACATATACATATATTTTTTTTCTTTTTTTTTTTTTGAGATGGAGTCTCACTCTGTCACCCAGGCTGGAGTGCAGTGGCATGATCTCAGCTCACTGCAACCTCTGCCTCCCAGGGTCAAGCGATTCTCCCGCCTCAGCCTCCCAGGTAGATGGGATTACAGGTACCCACCACCAAGCCCGGCTAATTTTTGTATTTTTAGTAGAGACAGGGTTTCACCATATTGGTCAGGCTGGTCTCGAACTCCTGACCTCACGTGATCTGCCTGCCTTGGTCTGCCACAGTGCTGGGATTACAGGCATGAGCCACCAGGCCCAGCCAGATATGTTTTTAAATAGTGGTAATACAAAGCTTTTAAATTCCATTATGCACATCTCTAACATGATGGCAGGTGTAGAAATTGATATCTCAGTGCAGAGAGCCTGTGAAACATAGTAGTGCTAGCCCAAGCTCACTGCAAGTGAAGGTGGGGAAGTCATAACCCAGTACAGAAGAGTTAGACTATGGGTAATGAGGTTTCTGCAGAACCTCCAAGATAATGCAGAGACATTCAGTTAAGAGCATTGGGGATTTACCTGTATACAGGTATATGCTGAGACAGGTCCCAGTGAGGACAACCTCTCCACCATGGTCTCACACTCCTGAAAGCAAACCCATGAGGTATGATGAGGGAAAGTGGTTTGTTCAAATAGGTCTTTGGTTTGTCAGTTTAAAACTGGTTACCACAGAGTTCAGTGTGGGTCACCTGCTGGAACTTTAGTCTGTCTGTGGATTTTAGGGACTGGCTGAAACTTCACATTTAGAAAGTCAATCCAGATGATACAGTTGAGTCACAGACCACAAGCAGTCATGTCGGGCTGTTTCTCTGCCGACCCTGATCAGCTCTCTGAGTGTGGCTATTGTTCACGGTCCTGACCACTTGGTTTGTGTAATTTCTTGCACCCTCCGGATTAAAAATTCTGAGAATCCATAATTTCATTAAACTCAGGTTTTATCCTATCCAAGATTTATTCCAAATGACAGCGTGCTGGAGTCATGCTAGGACATGCTAGTCAGTGCTGGGGCTAGAGTGACTCACTGCTGCACTGTGCTCCCCTCCTTCCTGTGTTGGGGGCTCCACTTTTACCCCTGTCCTCTTCCCACATCCCAAACTCCCACCTGGCCCCTAACTGTTCAAGGGATCACAATCAGGGCATGTCTCCCACATGGCTTCAGATGCAAAAAATTAACCCCCCCACCAAGTAAAAGCATATTGACCTCACATTTCATTTTCCAAGAGCTCAGTCTTTTGCTAAATAATTGGAGATCAAGTTTCTGGCTATTAACAAATACAAAGGCATTACTAATGGAAACTCTTAATATATGACCACCTCCTAAACTTTTTTACGTTTTGAAAGAAAAATTCCTGGGACAAATGTCTAAGCCCCAAAGAAATAGCTCTCCTGAGTTGCATATTGAGGCACTCAGGCAGAACTGATAGAGGCATCATTGTTAATACAGTAACAACAGATACAAATCCCGGAGTATAATTACATGTCAGGCCCTATACTAAGTGCTTCTTATGTAATATATCAGGAAATTATCATGAGAAGCTTATGAGGCAGATATTATTATTCCTGTTTGTACAGATAGAAAAAAAGATGCCCAACAATGTTAAGTAGACTGCATAGGTCATACAGCTAACAAATGGCAGAATTGGGCCAAACATTTAACATCCACATGTTAGTGTCTTTTAGCAAGAGATTTTCTACAGAGAAGTCAAATTAGATCACAGGTATTTGCCTCTTGTGCTTAAACAGGCTCTTATCAGAGCTAGCCTTTGGCTTTTTTCCATGAGAACATTTTACTGAGTTTATTTTGCTATCTTGATCTACAATGCCTAGGAACTCTAAGAACCGGGGATGGAAAGAAAGTCCACTCCCTGAGATGATTTCTTGTCACCTTTTGGCTACATCCTGGATCTCAGAACCAGGCCTGCTTTTCCTGGCTATACATGGCAAATCCAACTGAGAAATTTAAATGTTTGTTTTATGTTTGAGAAACAGGACCTAATATGAATGTTTGTTCTAGTTGTGTTGACTTAATGCTGATAGAGTTAAATTTGAGCTCTCAGGATCTATTTTTGTACTCTTTGTCAAACGTGTTCCTTCTCCATTGGTCTCCATTGGCTTGCAGTAGTGGTGCTGCTCTGTGTCTATTTCACACCTTAGAGCTCCATTTATTAATGCCTTCAGAATCTTCTTTATGTGCCTTCTATTTTCTTTGTGTGATGCGTGGGGCAGAGTCAGCTCTGGCTAAAATGTCAAAACGAAGAATCCTTAGTGCAGCTCATGTATCCATGCTGAGTAAATGCCAAGAGTGGCTGTGAACCTTCCCTTGACTCTCCTCCACAGCTGCCACTCAACCAAGACCCTGCATTCTAAGGGTAGTCAGTCTGTTAGTCACATGGAACTAATGCACAAGAAGATTGGATGGATTATGAGAAGCTAAACTTTCCCAAGAATATTTACATTTTTAAAGAGGGAATATGTCACAATAAATGAGCTCCTGCCTGATAAACATCCTGCCTAAAACCCTTCCAACCTATTGTTGCTTTGCTTCAAGAAGAATACAATGATTGGTGGAGCTTGAGGCAAAGCGACAAAGCTTGAGGAAAGGTTTTAGGCAAGATGTTTATACTTCTCTTGTACTTCTCAAGTTAGTTATTGTACTTTTCCACTCCAGAATTTCTGTTTCTTAATAATTTCAATTGTGTTATATTTTCTATTTGGTATGACATTATTCTCATGCTTTCCTTCAGTTCTTTAAGAATTTTTTAAAATTTCTTTGAGTAGATTGGGAATATCTGGTTTAAAGTCTTTCATGAGTAAGTTCATCATGTGAGCTTCCACAGGGACACTTTCCATTGATTGCTTTTTCCTCCTGCATATGGGCTGTACTTTCTTGTTTCTTTTTGCGTCTTGCAATTTTTTCTTAAAAATTGACATTTTAAATATTATAGTGTGAAAACCCCAGGAATCAGATTTTGCAACTTCCCCAGGGTTTGTTATTGTTGCTGGGGCATTTTTTGGTAGCTTTTATTGTTTGTTTACTGACTTTAAAGAAATAATTCTGCCAAGTCTGTATTCTCTTTCATATATGAGGACTGAAGTCTCTACTTGGCTAGCTTAAAGGTCAGATAATGAATGGATAGTGATTTCCTTAAGTGCTTGGAACCAATAAGTCTTTCACTATTTGCTGAGGGGGTCTGTATGAGTGATGGGGCACACTTCAAACATTAGTAGGTAATGAACAATTCTGCCTTAGCCTTCCCTTGCTGTTTGCTCAACATATTAAGGTCAGCCCAAGATGAGAGTTGAGGCTTTCTCATGTCTTTCTGAGTATGCACTTGTTAAAAGAAAAACCTTAGACAAATTTAATTTAACAAAATTTAATTAAGCAAAGAATGATTCATGAATCAGGCAGCCTCCCAAACCACAGCAGGCTCAGAGAGACTCCAGCACAGCCATGTGGTAGAAGAAGATTTATGGGCAGAAAATGGAAGGTGACAGACAGAAAACAGAAGTGAAGTACAGCAACAGCCAGATTGATTACAGCTTAGAGTTTGCCTTAT
Source organism: Homo sapiens (assembly GCF_000001405.40). NCBI lineage: Eukaryota > Metazoa > Chordata > Mammalia > Primates > Hominidae > Homo > Homo sapiens. Next base: position 159,317,382 of record NC_000007.14, on the reverse strand, counting down.
TTGAACACAATTTGAACAGTTGGCCCACTTTAATTGGCCAAAACTTGGTGATTGGCACAAAAATAGGCTAGTCTGTTTATATATCCAGTTAGGTTTCAGTTTACTGTGTATAGAAACCTTAAGGGTGAACTTAAAATATATAAGGAGGCAGCTTTAGGCTAAGCTTAATTTAACAAATTCCCCCTTTTGATCATCCCCTTGATTTTGAGAGATTGCCCAAAACATTAGTAATTGACGTCACTATCATCAATGTAAATGTACTGATTTGGTCTTGAAATCCACTGAATAATAGCAGAACAGAGGGTTTTGTAAGGTAGGTACAAGGACATCAGGTTATTTTTTTTGGTAAGGGTTAGAGCAGAGGGTACTTCCTTGCGCTGGACTCTCCTGTTTACAGGAGAGAAACAAAACCTGATCAGTTCTAGGACCTATCTCTTTCCTTAAAGTCTGAGTTAAATTATGCCATATGTAGTATGAGTGACTCCATTTTGGTTTGGTCTGGTCTGTTGGGCCTAGTGTATGAGCTCAGTTCAAAACAATGGCCTCCCATAATTTTGTTTAAGAATTACACCCTTTTTGTCAGGTTCTCACTTAGGTGAGAGTATGATTGGTATGATTTGGCTCTGTGTCCCCACCCAAATCTCATGTTGAATTATAATTCCCAATGTTGGGGGAAGGACCTGGTGGGAGGTGGGATTGGATCATGGGGATGGATTTTCCTCTCATTTTTCCTGTGATAGTGAGTGAGTTCTCATGAGACCTGATGGTTTAAAAGTGTATGTCACTTCCCCCTTTGCTCTCTCTCTCTCCTGTTGCCATGTGAAGATGTGTTTGCTTCCCCTTCACCTTGTGCCATGATTGTAAGTTTCCTGAGGTCTCCCCCACCATGCCTCCTGAACAGCCTGCAGAACTGTGAGTCAACTAAACCTCTTGTATTTATTATTTATTTATTTATTTATTTATTTATTTATTTTATTTTTTTTTTTGAGACGGAGTCTCGCTCTGTCGCCCAGGCTGGAGTGCAGTGGCGGGATCTCGGCTCACTGCAAGCTCCACCTCCCGGGTTCACGCCATTCTCCTGCCTCAGCCTCCCAAGTAGCTGGGACTACAGGCGCCCGCCACTATGCCCAGCTAATTTTTTTTTGTATTTTTAGTAGAGACGGGGTTTCACCGTTTTAGCCGGGATGGTCTCGATCTCCTGACCTCGTGATCCGCCCGCCTCGGCCTCCCAAAGTGCTGGGATTACAGGCGTGAGCCACCGTGCCTGGCCTTATTTATTTATTTATTTATTTATTTATTTATTTATTTATTGAGACAGAGTCTCGCTCTTTCACCCAGGCTGGAGTGCATTGGCAGGATCTTGGCTCACTGCAACCTCCACCTCCCAACTTCAAGCGATTCTCCTGCCTCAGCATCCCAAGTAGCTGGGACTGTAGGCATGTGCCACCACACCCAACTAATTTTTGTATTTTTAGTAGAGATGGGGTTTCACCATGTTGACCAGGATGGTCTCGATCTCTTGACCTCATGATCTGCATGCCTTGGCTTCTCAAAGTGCTGGGATTACAGGCATGATCCACCGCACCTGGCCAAACCTCTTTTCTTTATAAACTACCCAGTCTCAGGTAGTTTTTTTGTAGCAATGTGAGAACAGACTAATACATGACCAACACCTGAGGCTTTAGTGCCACTCTCAGTTACCATCATTTTGGATTTCTAGTCTGAACACATCATTCATACGTTACAGTGCCCTCATGGTCACACATTTATTTGAGTTCTTGTCATTCCAGTGGAAGAGATACCATTTGACATTCTTGAGATGCCTGCATGCAAGTATTTAAAACTTTTGAGAGAATACAGAGTACTAGGGAGACTACTATTATGACTATCAGGAGGATAATACCAAGAGTTTGGAGTATGCTCATTAGCTAGGGTCCCCATGAATCAAACAAACTAAACAAGTTGATCAAAAAGTGAGATAGACAAAGAGCCACTCACTTTAACCAAGCAGTCTGTTCATTAATCTCCTACAACTGAATCTCTATAGTACCCAATGTATTTCTCCATGTGCAAAAAGAAGTGCCAGCAACTACACAGATTCTTCTCTGCCTAGCCAGTAAGTAATCCAGAATGATTCTATTTTTTATTATTTATATTATTTATCCTTTAGCATAACTTTCACAAGAGAATTTAAGATCTGTTGTCTAGCCATAGCCTTTACAGTAGAATCTGCTATAGGGCCTATCAGGAGGGATAAATTTGTAATCATTGTCTCATTTACTCCAAATCATAAAAAAAGAAACCTCATAAATTATGCCTATCTAGAAGGGCAAAGTCTCCTGGCAATGTTCTCTTTAACCTATGATGTAGGTTAAAATGAGTGAACCAATGTTCTCTTTCTGACTGATTATGAGGCAACAAATGTACAATTAAAATTTCTCACCTAGGTTGACCCTTCATCTTTCTTCTAAAAGGCATAAGATTGTTCATGTATATGGCTGGATGCAAAATCATTCACAAAAAAAACTATACCAGCTGAGTGCACACCAATGACACCTTTTTCACTTTTATTGTTCACGGGGGAATAAGAAAGAAAAAAATGGAAAGTTAAGAGTCTGATGATAGCAGAGAAGTCTTGATCCATGATGTTGTGAAAAAGCTGTCTGCATCAAGGATGCTATCTGCTTCTGGGGATAAACTTCCCTGGTTAGATTTACCTTAAGGTTTCCAAGAGGTGAACAGTTCCAAGAATGTGGAGGGGGCCTTCTGAACTGTTAGATTATGAACCCAAGGTTCCAGGTCCTGAAATTTTGCTGCAATGTGGATGGCAAGGGCATCTGAACTGTGACATTATGAACCCAAGGTTCAAGGTCCTGAAGTTTTGCTGCAATGGGGATGGCAAGGGCAGTCTTTATCTGATGTTGTTCTTAGAAGACCCAGTCTCTAAGTTCTAGATTGTGAAGGGTTTGATTGTCCTCGGTCAGTGGACCATAAAAAAGATTTCTTTACCTGGTGAAAATACATCTTGACATAATGCATTAAAGCCTTGCAGCATTTAGTTATATCAGAGTTCAGTAGTGGAAGATAAATGAGGTTGTATTATTAGGGGAATAGGTCTTCCAGTGACTATTTTATAAGGTATCACTTTATGGTTTACACTGGAAGTGGATCTGATTGCCATTAATATAAAATACCTTTGACCAAAGCAATCCAGTCATTTCAGTTAGCTTTACCAAATGTTGTCATATTTATAAAACCTTATTTAACTGCTTTAAAACTTGTCCAGTGAAACAAGTACTTCCATCACTGGAGATTTCTCCAGGAATGTCCCATGGGGAAAACACATTTTCTAATAACCTTTTAGCTACTGTTATAGAATTAGCCCTCTTGCATGGAAAAGCTTTCATAGAACCAGAAAACATGCATTGAAAATGACAATTGAATGAAATCCCTCTGTAAATGTTTAAATGCCCTATCATAAACAGAAATGTACCTGCAGTTTTGATTGTCCTCTTAGGAATAAGAATTTAACAAACCAAACATTGGTCATCAACTATTTTAGCAACTTAGAAGAGTCACCAAACCAATATATATATTTTTAATTTGGATCACTTTATTTCTTCAATGATGAGTCATGGAATGCAGAGATTTTGATAACAAAAGCTTTAAGGACTCAGGAAGATGAAGCAGCTGTTCTCCAGGAGCCCACACTTAACATTGGACTTATATCCTCTTAAATACTGATTGTTTCTCCAATTTAGGTGCATAGCACTGATAACCAATAGATTATCATAGGTAATTTGACTTTCACCATGGAGTTCATTTAAATTGCATATCTTAACAATTTCAGTACTAGCTGATTTAGCAGGAACATCTGGCAAAATATTTTCTTGGTATTCAATTAGTTTATTTCCTGCCTGGCTCAGTAGTTTTATAAACCAGCCAGTCTCTTCATTAGAGTTCCACTAATTTTTACCCAATCCAAGTGATGTGGTCCTAAAGTTATTAGAAACTTGTGTTCAAGAGCATGTGTCAGGGTTCTTCCCATCCTTTCATGAATCTCTTTAAAGACACCATATTCTAGGATTTTATGTGCTTGTGAAGTTTTGAGAAACTGCATCAGAATTAAGGAATTAACTGTGGAAATGACTTTAAATGGTCATAAAGACAATTGAAAAGGAAATTTGGTTATTTCTGTGGTTTACAATAACTCAACATAATAACCAGAATTATGACCGATAGCATATACCCAGACATATTAGGATTTTAGAAATCCCATATAACTTTGGAACATATATTAATAACATATTCTTTAAGATATAACTTAAGAAGGTTAAACCATCCTTTCTTGTTAGACAATGCTTCCCATGTAATTTCACATGTCAAATAATCCTGTTTATCTCCCTTATGGATGCTTCAGGGGACCTTTGTAGCATCCCAAAGTTAAAAGGTCAAAAAAGACTTAATTTTGAAGTTGAAATTTGATTTTTAGGAGGCCAATCAAATATGTCAAAGTTTTAAAACACTTTACCAAAATAAGATCACAAGTCACCATAAAATAATAGTCATTCATTTAGCCAAAGTGATAATTAAAAGATTTTTTAAACAAAAACCTGTACTCTTTGAGAGAGGAGACTCAGTTTTCCAATCAAAAGATCTCAGACAGCATGAGACAAATTCTGTTTCTTCTCTTTTATCTCTGTCTTTCTCTTTGCAGTTTACTCAAAAGGTGAACAAAAATATTTTACTGTGTCTTATTAACACTACATGAAATTTTTGTTCAGAGGAGAAAAACAAATTTTATTTTTGTATTAGTGTACTATAAATATAAAGCTAATATTTAATAAAATCTTATAAATAAATCAATCAAGTCTGTCATCTTTTGAACACATAAGATTTCTATAAACTCTATAAACCTTTTGTGTTTTATACTTTTCCCTAACTTTCTTTATTTATCTAGTTTTATCTTTTTTTTACTCCTTCAATTTGAAATCTTTAAGTAACTTCAAACTAGACAATTTTTTTTAGCAAACACCCATTTTTATGCCTTCATAACTTCCCCCATCTAAAGCATGTCGTGTTTTTGTTTTTGTTTTGTTTTGTGTTTTGGAGACAGGGTCTCACTCTGTCATCCAGGCTGGAGTGCAGTAGTGTGTTTACAGCTCCCTGCAGCCTCAACCTCCCCAGGCTCAAGCAATTCTTCCACCTCAGTTCACCAAGTAGCTGGGACTATAGGCTCATGCCACCATGCCCAGCTAATTTTTGTATTTCTTGTAGAGAGAGTTTTACCATGTTGCCCAGGCTGGTCTCACACTCATGGGCTCAAGCAATCTGCCCACCTCAGTTTCCCCAAGTGGTAGGATTACAAGAGCAAGCCACCATGCTTGGCCCTTGCTTTTGTTTATACACTGTGTATACAGAATTGTTTCTCTCATGTCTAATAGTTTTAATTACAAAGATTAACTATAATTTTAAGTCTTAGTAGCCCTAATTTCTAGTAAAAACCCTAGAAAGTAATTTTGAACTGTTTATATCAGTCTTTGTAGATAAAAAACATTTTGTATTTTTTTTAAAAAGATGGTTCTTCAAATTATTGTTTATTAATGATATAAATATATTCAGCTTTTCTATACCATATAAAAATAATATGTCAATGTATATAGACTTAAACCCATGTTTAATAATAAATATTTCAGTATTTCAACTTACAAATGACTCAAACATTTTATGATTATCTATTACTTAATTTAACCTAACTTTAAGATTTTAAATTACTGAAAATACATTTTGAAACTATGACACAGGTGCCCTCCTAATGTCTTTCCCAGTCATCCTGGGTGCCACATAGCCATGTGGCACCCAGGAGGGCTATGAAAAGCAGAGCCTGTTTGAGTCCTGAATTCACATACCAGGCATAGAGGTCTTCATAAAAGACAGAGCTATGAAGACTATACCTGGAGTATCCAACCCCTCCCAGAATAGCCAGGAGGCAAAGCTAGGGCAGGGAAGAAGGGGCCATATTGGGCTTGATTCTGCCTTGTAGCTGCTGGTCTAGGCACTGACAACATGTCTCCAGACCTCACCATGACCATCCATCCAGATCGCTGAATCCAGAGGCTCTAAACCAAAACTGTAAGCTGACAGTCAAATCAAGCAAGTATCTACTTATATTTAACTGGTAATTTTAAAGTCATTCCTATTTTACCAACAATGTAAAAGCTAGTGAGAGGAGTTAGCCAGCTTGCTTTAGGCATATGGTAAGTGGGGTCGGGGGGTCCCTGGAGAACCTTGGACCTGTCCAGGTCATTGCCCAATCCAAACATACCACAAGTGCTTACACCAAATGTTTTGTACAGATAAGGGAAATCGCACAGGGTACTTGCCTAAACATGCCCTCAGTTACACAGATAAGAGAAGCTACACAGGAGACTTGCCTACATAAGCCCATGGTGGAAAATTCCATTCCTTAACACATGGACAGTAAGGGAAATAAATCAGTATGGAGTGGCTTAGACTAAGGGTCCATATGTGCACTGGAAAGATGGGGTGGAGCTGCCAGAAATTAACATCTTATGCAAATAAGGAACCCACCCCCATCAGCTTTTCTGTGAAAGCCCTTGTATTCAACTGTGAAATGGCAACATGCTTTCAGGATCCCTGTCTTTGATGAGTGCTCTCCTTTCACTTAACAAATTCTGCTTTACCCTACTCACTCTCTGGTGTCTGTGTGCCTAATTCTTCCTCGTTGTGGGACAAGAACTTGGACCTAGCTGAGCTAAGGAGCTGGAAGACCACAACACTCGCTTTATTTACCAAATATTATCACATACACAGAATACCTACAGACACACAAACACATAGAAGCAGATCTTATCGCTTTCATAAAGGATTCTCATTTGCTGGCTTTTAAATAGCTTTCTCTTCCTCATTCAAACTATCAATCTTCCAATTGCTTGTTTCATTACCCTAAGAAATAATTTACTAGGCAATAAATTCACATTTCTAAAGGGACAACTCTTAGGTGAAACAAAAAGTTATATTTTATAAGCACAGAGCTAAGCCTTTAGGCCTAAATAATGTACTATTTGCTCAAACAAGGGAAAAAAGGTATAAGTAGAAGTTCACTTAAGACAAGATGGCCAGAAAAGAACTTTAAACAAAGGTATGATTTGTTGTGTGAATTTAAAACAATGGTAAGAGTTTCTAATATACATAGACAGACACCATAAAAATGGAGATTTCCTTTATAAGTGTGAAATTATTTTACAAAAGGATTTCAAGATAGCCAGCTAAATTCCAGAAGGGTGTACTTTAGTTTGATAGGTGGTCTTTTTTAACTTAGCTACTGTTTCTTAGATAAAATTACTGAGTTTATGATGGAGCCCCTTAAAGAATAGGGCAAAGAAAGCACTTTCTATGCCTGGACTCAGCATGGATAGATCTGAAAGAGAAGCAAGAACCTACTTTACCTGAGAGCCTACCTTTTAAAAACACTCTATCTAGGATAACTTTCTTTTCACCTTCAAGGTAGGATGATGACCAAGCCAAAAGATTAGCAAATTTAATTTTTCTTATCAATTAGTCACTTAGGCTTTTTATTTGCTTTTTATAAAGAGTCTTTAAATAAAAATATTGAAATCTTTTTAGAAGCTTCTGCATATCAATAGGTATCCCTAGATGAGACTAATTCGGGAGCCCTCATTTTCAAGTGCACTTCTTCAAATGCAGTGTTGTTCATTTGAAATGTTCCACTGTAACTTTCACACTGAGCAATTCACACTGTAGATTGGATCTGTGCCCCCACCCAAATCTCATGCCAAATTGTGGTCCTCAGTGTTGGAAGAGGGACCTGGTGGGAAGTGACTAGATCATAGAGGCAGACTTCCACCTTGCTGTTCTTGTGATGGTGAGTGTGCTCTCGTGAGATCTGCTTATTTAAAAGTGTGTAGCACTTCCCCCTTTGCTCTCTCTTTCTCCTGCTCCAGCCACATAGAATGTCTCCTTCCTCTTTGCCTTCCACCATGATTGCAAGTTTCCTGAGACCTCCTTAGCCATACTTCCTGTACAGCCTGTGAACCACGAGCCAATTAAACCTTTCTTCTTTATAAATTACTCAGTCTCAGATAGTTCTTTATAGCAATGGAAGAATGGACTAATACAGTGAGCTAATACCTAAATGACCTTCATGAATTTTGTTGAAAGAAACGGCTTGGAAACTATCTGATCAGCATGAGATTTGTCACTCAGTCATCTCAGTCACTTTCCTGGATCAATATTTGTATTTTGAATTTGCTGTTAGTGTGCAGAGGCTGCACCTCCATCCCAAGTGCATCTGAAGGCAGTTCCCTCTGACCAACGAACACATGTGGAAGTTGAGAATCTAGAAAATGACTCCCTTAAAACTATTCATGTCCCTGGAAGGTCTTCCCATATCCCCAACAACATGCATTCTCATTTGAAGACCACTGACTATTCCACAGCATAAATCAGCCAACATGATTTGTTGAGTGATCATGAAGTGATGTAGATTTCAGATATCACCAGCCCCACCCACTGGGATTCAAGCTGACCACTCATTAAATGTCCTCTTTGATTCACTTTACCTTTCCCTGTGGAAGAACTTGTTTAGGCCCGTTTACTAAATCCTGATGTAAGTCAACACCAAATTAGAGAAAATCACACTTTTCAAAAAAAAAAAAAAAACTTTAGATTGATTCTCAAATGCCAAGTTTGAAATTTTCCATAACACAAAATAATTTGGAAGTCTGATTAAAGTCAGTAGGAATGATGCAAAATCATTAAGTCCAATTATTATTATTATTATTAGATCATTTCACTGTAGGACAGTTACTCCATAGCTAGTGTTTCTTAGGGAAAGCATCTTTTAACCTCAGAGTACATCTCACAAAGCAATGACATGCCTTTGAAAAGCAATGCTAAATAGACATTTTACAAATGGAATCATGCTGTCCACACATTAGGCAATTTATTATTAGAGCAATCCTAAGATTTTTTTAAAATAAAGAGATGCCCTATGCTGAATGAAAAAGCTAATACTTTAATATGCTTTCTTGTCAAATGTTCATTTTCATATAAAGGGCTTTCTTGGCAGGGGTTGCTGGGGAGCTGGACACAGCTGTCTCATTTTACTGCTGCTTGCCTTACTGTGTTTTGCCTTTTCTTTCAATGTACAAAACTGTGCACTCTTTTCTTAGCTCTGGTAGAGGGCTCAGCAATTAGCCTATGAAAGGCTATTACAAATTTTCAAATCATAAAATGTATGCTACACTGACCATGGTGACTGATGTAAAATATACTTTAAGCTGCCTCAGGATTTTGAGTCTTATTCATTGGAACATAAATGAGCAGAGCAATGAAAAAAAAGAGTTGATTATGGTTGATAAAGTGTCAATTAAAAGTCTTTAATATAATTCTTCTAGGAGATCATTAGCTATTAATTCAATCATTTGCTAATGCAATACAACCCTTTCCTGACTTGTGGCTGTCTTGTGTAGGCTATGTACTGATGTGAAGTTGCTTGTATTTGGCCTTCACTACTCCATGCACAATATATGATATTAGAATTATCTCTTTGAGCTGAGGGATGTTTTATTACCCTGATTGTGCTCACCACTCTTGTCTTCCCCAGTACATGAGAAATCTGAAACATTTTCTATGTTATTAAGTCAGTGTCACTTGTGGATGGTTGTGACTCCCCGTCCTCACTCCAATTCTCATAGATGGAAACAGAATTTGTATTTATGCATCAGCCAATAGCTCTCCTGCAGCATTTTGCATATTTAAATAAATGTGGTTCTGATCATATCTTTTTTTGGGATCATTGCAGATGTGTCTGATGATGCCACACATAACAAAGAGAATACTTGACTGAGATAATCTTATTTCAGAAGGCAGGCTTGTTAATGGGTATCTGTAACTACAACCTGAAAATACAGTCAACAAGAAAGAAAACCTCTGCCTTGCACAAACATGTATGTCTTAATGTGTGAAATTTAAACTACCTTTTAAGTGACTGTTATTTAGTACCAGTTAGCTAGATGCCCCTCCGTGGGGTTGGAGCATCATTAGGTATCAGCCTAAGGAAATGAGGTGCGAGGTAGATCTGCTGACAGGAGGTCATGAGAGAGCTAAATAATTTTTAAAAAATGGAAGTATCTTCTGATACCTAAGCTGAGAGACTGAGTGTGGGAGGCTGTAAAGCAACTGGTGGCTAAAGCCAACATGAGCAAAGCCAAGGAGTCTTTAGTTCAAGAAGAAGGACCAGGAACTTGAAGGTGATGATCCCTGGTCTCTCCATCAAGGGCATCCTGTAGTCAGCTTGGTCAAAGAAGCTTGGCTGTGTGCTGTGTTTCAGTGTCCCCTCCAGAGTTCGTGTTGAAATATACTTGCCATTGTATCAGAATTTACAGAAAGTGGGACCTTTAAGAGATGATTAAGTCATGAAGGCTCATGAAGGTAATGAATGCATTAATACTGTTATTAAGAGAGTGGAATCCCAATAAAAGGAAAAGTTCAGCCCAATTTCCTCTCTCTGTCTCATGCATTCACTTCTGCTTCTACCCTTGCCCCATGAGATGACGTTTGCTACATGCCGGCACAATGATTTTGGACTTCCCCACCTCCAGAACTGTAAGAAATAAATCTCTTTTCTGTATAAATTACCCAGTCTGTGGTATTCTGTTATAGCAGCAGAAAATAGGCTAAGCACTGTTCAATGATTAATCTCCCTTGCTATTTGTTTATTCCAGTAATTGGCATAAATTGAGACTAGCAGAGGGCATGTCCATTTTGTGTTGCTATAAGGAAACACCTGAAGCTGGGCAATTTATAAAGAAAAGGGGTTTATTTAATTTAAGTTCTGCAGGCACCAAACCTGAGGGACTGCCTGGCTTTATAAGAACTCTCAAGGGAAGTAATTACACTAAGAACCAAACCAGCATCTCAAGAACAAGAATTGCACCAAGCCATTCATGAGGTGTCCACCTCCATGACCCAGAAACCTTCCACTAGGCCCAACCTGTCAATACCACCACACTGGGGATCAAATTTCAACATGAGATTTGGTGGGGATGAACAAACCGTAGCCACACCGTAGCAGTGGGAAGCTGAGGTGAGAAGGTGCAGGGTGTGAGGAGTCCTACACAGACCTATGGCTTAGTCACTGACTGCAAGCTGGTGGGGTGAGAGGCCTAGTCCCTGGGGTTCTGATGGTGCTGTCACCATGAGTGCAGGTGACATGTAGCTCACCATGCTGTTTGGTTATAAAGCTATAAAACTTATTTCCTATTTAATGTTTTTCCTGGCCAGCTTCTTTCATGCAAAAAATAATGTCCCAACATGACAGTGGGCATTACCTTGTGCATTTTCTGCAGGGCAGCCTGTGAAGGTGGCAGCAATGGTTTGTTACTTTCCCATCTCTCCTTTCCTGTGTTTTTTGCACTTTTGCTGCTTCTCCAATGGGGTCACTGTGAGTTCAGGACGCCAGTCCACCCACACTGAATAACATTATGCCCCTGGCCCTTTCCTCCCATCTCTATTAACCTGGAGGACATGTGGCCCTCCCATTACTTCTTTCCTTGGCTGTTTTAGTGGCAGTTTATGATACACTGAAGTAGACAATACACTAAAAAGGTAATATATCCCTTCCAGAAAAAAATCTTATATGGAAGCAGGATTCCTACAGATAGAGTTTTAAATCCACAGGAAAAATTTAATGGGGGATGTTTGGTAGTGTAATTGGGTCAAAGCCTCATATATTATAATTTTTGGTGACTGTTCTGCCTATAAAATATGTAACCTACTTAGGGATAGGTATTGGTCAGGCACAAATGTTTTTCTTTGTTTGGTTATGAAAACTCTGAAAAATACTAAAGAATGTATATGATACATATCATGTGATTACATAGTGCATTTAAGGACAAGCCAGCTGAGTAAACAGATGTTAGTATCAATGTGTTAGGAATCTGCAAACAACCCCCCAGCCCCGGCATCCGAACCCTCTGTGGGCTCCTTTCTAGTCACATCCCCTGCCTCTTCCTAGAAGTAACCACAACCAGATTTGTGTTTATAGTTCCATTGTTTTCGTTACAGTTTTACAACATATATATATATCTCTAAATGATGAGTTGCAGTTGTAGAGTATTACATGTTTTAGAACACATTACAAGTAGTTTCTTTCACTATGTGTATTCCTTCATGACTTTATTCCTTCAATGTTATGCTTTGGAGATTTATTCTTGTTGATATGAATAGCTGTACATTATTTGTTTTTCCTGATACATACTATTACATCATGTGAATACTTCTGAATTATTTGCCCATTCTTTTGTTGACAGATCTTTGGGTACTTCCAGATTTCTACTATTACAAACCACAGGGCTTCAAATATTCTTACACCATATCTCAAAGTATATATATGCATGATTTCTCTCATTGAAACCTAGGACTGGGAGTATAAGGTTATAGAAAATGTACCACATAAAGTTTATTAGATTACTGCTATATTGTTTTCCTAACTAGTTGAAGGAAATGATATTTCTACCTGCAGTACATAAGGGTTTGTGTGTATACACACACATATATAAAATGATATACATTTGTCATATGTATCATAGCTAACATTTGCTCCCAATCTGAGGCCTGCATTTTTGCTTTTGTCAAAGTGTTTTTTGTTTGCTTATTTGTTTTTTCATAAAGATAAGTTATTAATGCTATGAAGTCAAGTTTATCTGTTATTTCTTTTATGGTTAGTGCTTTTGTGTCTTATTTTAAAAATCCTCTACCATGAGATCATAGAGGTAGTTCTATGTTTTCTTCTTAAAGTTTTGCCTTTCACATTTTTCTTTTTTTTATTATCCTTTAAGTTTTAGGGTACATGTGCACAATGTGCAGGTTAGTTACATATGTATACAGGTGCCATGTTGGTGTGCTGCACCCATTAACTCATCATTTAACATTAGATATATCTCCTAATGCTATCCCTCCCCCCTCCTCCCACCCCACAACAGGCCCCAGTGTGTGATGTTCTTCCTGTGCCTATGTGTTCTCATTGTTCAATTCCCACCTATGAGTGAGAACATGCGGTGTTTGGTTTTTTCTCCTTGTGATAGTTTGCTGAGAATGATGGTTTCCAGCTTCATCCATGTCCCTGCAAAGGACATGAACTCATCATTTTTTATGGCTGCATAGTATTCTATGGTGTATATGTGCCACATTTTCTTAATCCAGTCTATCATTGTTGGACATTTGGGTTGGTTCCAAGTCTTTGCTATTGTGAATAGCGCCGCAATAAACATACGTGTGCATGTGTCTTCATAGCAGCATGATTTATAATCCTTTGGGTATATACCCAGTAATGGGATGGCTGGGTCAAATGGTATTTCTAGTTCTAGATCCCTGAGGAATCACCACACTGACATCCACAATGGTTGAACTAGTTTACAGTCCCACCAACAGTGTAAAAGTGTTCCTATTTCTCCACATCCTCTCCAGCACCTGTTGTTTCCTGACTTTTTAATGATCACCATTCTAACTGGTGTGAGATGGTATCTCACTGTGGTTTTGATTTGCATTTCTCTGATGGCCAGTGATGATGAGCATTTTTTCATGTGTCTTTTGGCTGCATAAATGTCTTCTTTTGAGAAGTGTCTGTTCATATCCTTCGCCCATTTTTGATGGGGTTGTTTGTTTTTTTTCTTGTAAATTTGTTTGAGTTCATTGTAGATTCTGGATATTAGCCCTTTGTCAGATAAGTAGATTGCAAAAATTTTCTCCCATTCTGTAGATTGCCTGTTCACTCTGATGGTGGTTTCTTTTGCTGTGCCGAAGCTCTTTAGTTTAATTGGATCCCATTTGTCAATTTTGGCTTTTGTTGCCATTGCTTTTAGTGTTTTAGACATGAAGTCCTTGCCCATGCCTATGTCCTGAATGGTATTGCCTAGGTTTTCTTCTAGGGTTTTTATGGTTTCCGGTCTAACATTTAAGTCTTTAATCCATCTTGAATTAATTTTTGTATAAGGTGTAAGGAAGGGATCCAGTTTTAGCTTTCTACATATGGCTAGCCAGTTTTCCCAGCACCATTTATTAAATAGGGAATCCTTTCCCCATTTCTTGTTTTTGTCAGGTTTGTCACAGATCAGATGGTTGTAGATATGTGGCATTATTTCTGAGGGCTCTGTTCTGTTCCATTGGTCTATATCTCTGTTTTGGTACCAGTACCATGCTGTTTTGGTTACTGTAGCCTTGTAGTATAGTTTGAAGTCAGGTAGTGTGATGCCTCCAGCTTTGTTCTTTTGGCTTAGGATTGACTTGGCAATGCAGGCTCTTTTTTGGTTCCATATGAACTTTAAAGTAGTTTTATCCACTTCTGTGAAGAAAGTCATTTGTAGCTTGATGGGGGTGGCATTGAATGTATAAATTACCTTGGGCAGTATGGCCATTTTTACGATATTGATTATTCCTACCCATGAGCACGGAATGTTCTTCCATTTGTTTGTATCCTCTTTTATTTCATTGAGCAGTGGTTTGTAGCTCCTTGAAGAGGTCCTTCACGTCCCTTGTAAGCTGGATTCCTAGGTATTTTATTCTCTTTGAAGCAATTGTGAATGGGAGTTCACTCATGATTTGGCTCTCTGTTTGTCTGTTATTGGTATATAAGAATTCTTGTGATTTTTGCACATTGATTTTGTATCCTGAGACTTTGCTGAATTTGCTTATCAGCTTAAGGAGATTTTGGGCTAAGACGATGGGGTTTTCTAGATATACAATCATGTCATCTGCAAACAGAGGCAATTTGACTTCCTCTTTTCCTAATTGAATACCCTTTATTTCTGTCTCCTGCCTGATTGCCCTGGCCAGAACTTCCAACACTATGTTGAGTAGGAGTGGTGAGAGAGGGCATCCCTGTCTTGTGCAAGTTTTCAAAGGGAATGCTTCCAGTTTTTGTCCCTTCAGTATGATATTGGCTGTGGGTTTGTCATAGATAGCTCTTATTATTTTGAGATACATCCCATCAATACCTAATTTATTGAGAGTTTTTAGCATGAAGTGTTGTTGAATTTTGTCAAAGGCCTTTTCTGCATCTATTGAGATAATCATAAGATTTTTGTCATTGATTCTGTTTATATGCTGGATTACATTTATTGATCTTCATATATTGAACCAGCCTTGCATCCCAGGGATGAAGCCCACTTGATCATGGTGGATAAGCTTTTTGATGTGCTGCTAGATTTGGTTTGCCAGTATTTTATTGAGGATTTTTGTGTCAATGTTCATCAGGGATATTGGTCTAAAATTCTCTTTGTTTTTTTGTGTCTCTGCCAGGCTTTGGTGTCAGGATGATGCTAGCCTCATAAAATGAGTTAGGGAGGATTCCCTCTTTTTCTATTGATTGGAATAATTCCAGAAGGAATGGTACCAGCTCCTCCTTGTACCTACGGTGGAATTCGGCTGTGAATCCATCTGGTCCTGGACTTTTTTCGGTTGGTAAGCTATTAATTATTGCCTCAACTTCAGAGCCTGTTATTGGTCTATTCAGAGATTCAACTTCTTCCTGGTTTAGTTTTGGGAGGGTGTATGTGTCGAAGAATTTATCCATTTCTTCTAGATTTTCTAGTTTATTTGCATAGAGGTGTTTATAGTATTCTCTGATGGTAGTTTATTTCTGTGGGATCGGTGGTGATATCCCCTTTATCATTTTTTATTGCATCTATTTGGTTCTTCTCTCTTTTCTTCTTTGTTAGTCTTGCTAGTGGTCTATCAATTTTGATGATCCTTTCAAAAAACCAGCTCCTGGATTCATTAATTTTTTGAAGGGTTTTTTGTGTCTCTATTTCCTTCAGTTCTGCTCTGATCTTCGTTATTTCTTGCCTTCTGCTAGCTTTTGAATGTGTTTGCTCTTGCTTCTCTAGTTCTTTTAATTGTGATGTTGGGGTGTCAATTTTAGATCTTTCCTGCTTTCTCTTGTGGGCATTTAGTGCTATAAATTTCCCTCCCCACACTGCTTTGAATGTGTCCCAGAGATTCTGGTATGTTGTGTCTTTGTTCTCATTGGTTTCAAAGAACATCTTTATTTCTACCTTCATTTCGTTATGTATGCAATAGTCATTCAGGAGCAGTTTGTTCAGTTTCCATGTAGTTGAGTGGTTTTGAGTGAGTTTCTTAATCCTGAGTTCTAGCTTGATTGCACTGTGGTCTGAGAGACAGTTTCTTATAATTTCTGTTCTTTTACATTTGCTGAGGAGTGCTTTACTTCCAACTATGTGGTCAATTTTGGAATAAGTGTGGTGTGGTGCTGAGAAAAATGTATATTCTGTTGATTTGGGGTGGAGAGTTCTGTAGATGTCTATTAGGTCCACTTGGTACAGAGCTGAGTTCAATTCCTGGGTATCCTTGTTAACTTTCTGTCTCGTTGATCTGTCTAATGTTGACAGTGGGATGTTAAAGTCTCCCATTATTATTGTGTGGGAGTCTAAGTCTCTTTGTAGGTCTCCAAGGACTTGCTTTATGAATCTAGGTGCTCCTGTATTGGCTGCATATATATTTAGGATAGTTAGCTTTTCTTGTTGAATTGATCCCTTTACCATTATGTAATGGCCTTCTTTGTCTCTTTTGATCTTTGTTGGTTTAAAGTCTGTTTTATCTGAGACTAGGATTGCAACCCCTGCCTTTTTTTGTTTTCCATTTGCTCAGTAGATCTTCCTCCACCCCTTTATTTTGAGCCTATGTGTGTCTCTGCATGTGAGATGGGTTTCCTGGATACAGCACACTGATGGGTCTTGACTCTTTATCCAATTTGCCAGTCTGTGTCTTTTAATTGGAGCATTTAGACCATTTACATTTAAGGTTCATATTGTTATGTGTGAATTTGATCCTGTCATTATGATGTTAGCTGGTTATTTTGCTCATTAGTTAATGCTGTTTCTTCCTAGCCTCGATGGTCTTTACAATTTGGCATGTTTTTGCAGTGGCTGGTACCAGTCATTCCTTTCCATGTTTAGTGCTTCCTTCAGGAGCTCTTTTAGGGTAGGCCTGGTGGTGACAAAATCTCCCAGCATTTGCTTCCCTGCAAAGGATTTTATTTCTCCTTCACTTATGAAGCTTAGTTTGGCTGGATATGAAATTCTGGTTTGAAAATTCTTTTCTTTAAGCATGTTGAATATTGGTTCCCACTCTCTTCTGGCTTGTAGATTTTCTGCTGAGAGATCAGCTGTTAGTCTGATGGGCTTCCCTTTGTGGGTAACCCGACCTTTCTCTCTGGCTGCCTTAACATTTTTTCCTTCATTTCAACTTTGGTGAATCTGACAATTATGTGTCTTGGTGTTGCTCTTCTCGAGGAGTATCTTTGTGGCATTCTCTGTATTTCCTGAATTTGAATGTTGGCCTGCCTTGCTAGTTTGAGGAAGTTCTCCTGGATAATATCCTGCAGAGTGTTTTCCAACTTGGTTCCATTCTCCCTGTCACTTTCAGGTACACCAATCAGACGTAGATTTGGTCTTTTCACATAGTCCCATATTTCTTGGAGGCTTTGTTCATTTCTTTTTATTCTTTTTTTCTCTAAACTTCTCTTCTCGCTTCATTTCATTCATTTGATCTTCCATCACTGATACCCTTTCTTCCAGTTGATCAAATCAGCTATTGAGGCTCGTGCATTCATCACATAGTTCTGGTGCCTTGGTTTTCAGCTCCATCAGGTCCTTTAAGGACTTCTCTGCATTGGTTATTCTAGTTAGCCATTCATCTAACTTTTTTTCAAGGTTTTTAACTTCTTTGCCATGGGTTCGAACTTCCTCCTTTAGCTTGGAGTAGTTTGATCATCTGAAGCCGCCTTCTCTCAACTCGTCAAAGTCATTCTCTGTCCAGCTTTGTTCCACTGCTGGTGAGGAGCTGCATTCCTTTGGAGGAGGAGAGGTGCTCTGATTTTTAGGGTTTCCAGTTTTTCTGCTCTGTTTTTTCCCCATCTTTGTGGTTTTATCTACCTTTGGTCTTTGATGATGGTGATGTACAGATGGGGTTTTGGTGTGGATGTCCTTCCTGTTTGTTAGTTTTCCTTCTAACAGTCAGGACCCTCAGCTACAGGTCTGTTGGAGTTTGCTGGAGGTCCACTCCAGACCCTGATTGCCTGGGTATCAGCAGTGGAGGCTGTGGAACAGTGAATATTGCTGAATAGAAAAGGTTGCTGCCTGATAGTTCCTCTGGAAGTTTCGTCTCAGAGGGGTACCTCGCTGTGTGAAGTGTCAGTCTGCCCCTACTGGGGGGTCCCTCCCAGTTAGGCTACTCAGGGGTCAGGGATCCACTTGAGGAGGCAGTCTGTCTGTTCTTAGATCTCCAGCTGCGTGCTGGGAGAACTACTACTCTCTTCAAAGCTGTCAGACAGGGACATTTAAGTCTGCAGAGGATTCTGCTGCCTTTTGTTTGGCTGTTCCCTGCCCCCAGAGGTGGAGTCTACAGAGGCAGGCAGGCCTCCTTGAGCTGTGGTGGGCTCCCCCCAATTCGAGCTTCCCAGCCACTTCGTTTACTTACTCAAGCCTCAGCAATGGCGGGTGCCCTTCCCCCAGCCTCACTGCCCCTTGCAGTTTGATCTCAGACTGCTGTGCTAGCAATGAGCAAGACTCCTTGGGTGTAGGAACCTCTGAGCCAGGCACGGGATATAATCTCCTGGTGTGCCGTTTGCTAAGACCATTGGAAATGCACAGTATTAGGGTGGGAGTGACCTGATTTTCTAGGTGCCATCTGTCACCCCTTTCTTTGACTAGGAAAGGGAATTCCCTGACCCCCTGCACTTCCCAGGTGAGGCGATGCCTCACCCTGCTTTGGCTTATGGTGGTGCACTGCACCCACTGTCCTGCACCCACTTTCTGACACTCCCTAGTGAGATGAGCCCAGTACCTCAGTTGGAAATGCAGAAATCACCCATCTTCTGCATCATTCATGCTGGGAGCTCTAGACTGGAGCTGTTCCTATTCAGCCATCTTGGCTTCACCCCTCACATTTTTCTTTAAGCTACCTTAAATTCATTTTTGTAAATGGTGTGAAGTTAGGACCCAGTTTTACTTTGCACATGGATAAACAAATGGTCCTGGTACTATTTGTTGAATGGTAAATACTTTCCATAGAAATATGCTCTGCTGGCACTTTCATAATACCATTTCTCTATATTTTAATAAATCAAATATCTATATATGGCTACCTTTCTTTTTTTTTTTTTTTTTTGAGACAAAATCTCACTCTGTCACCCAGGCTGGAGTGCAGTGGTGTGATCTTGGCTCACTGCAATCTCCACCTCTTGGGTTCAAGAAATTCTCCTGCCTCAGCCTTGTGAGTAGTTAGGAGAAAATCTTTGAAATATATCCATCTGACAAAGGTCTAATATCTGGCTTCCATAAGGAACTTAACAAATTTACAAGAAAAAAACAAACCCATAAAAAAAGTGAGCAGAGGACATGAATAGGCACTTTTCAAAGGAAGACATATATGCAGCCAAAAAGCATAGAAAGAAAAGCTCAACATCACTGATCATTAGAGAAATGCAAATCAAAACCACTGTGAGACACCATCTCACACCAGGCAGGATGGCTATTATTAAAATGTCAAAAATTAACAGGTGCTGGCAAGGTGACAGGGAGACGGAATGCTTGCACACTATTGGTGGGAGTGTAAATTAGTTCAACTATTGTGGAAAGCAGTATGGTAATTCCTCAAAGAATTAAAAACAGATCTACCATTCAACTCATCAATTCCATTACTGAATATATCCACAGAGGAATAGAAATCATTCTACGATAAAGACACATGCACGTGAATGTTCATTGCAGTACTATGCACAATAGCAAAGACAGGAAATCAACATAAATGCCCATCAGTGGTAGACTGGATAAAGAAAATGTGGTACATATAAACCATGGACTACTATGGAGCCATAAAACAGAACGAGGTCATGTCTTTTGTGGGAACATGGATGGAGATGGAGGCCATTATCCTTAGCAAAACAGAAAACCAAATACCACATGTTCTCACTTGTAAGTGGGAGCTAAATGATGAGAACACACGGACACACAGAGGGAAACAACAGAGACTTGTGCTTATCAGAGGGTGGAGGGTGGGAGGAGGGAGAGAATCAGGAAAAATAACCAATGAGTGCTAGGCTTAATACTTGGGTGATGAAAATAATCTGTACAACACACCCTCACAACACAAGTTTACCTATAAAACAAACCTGCACATGTACCCTGCAACCTAAAAGTTTAAAAAAAATCCATTGTCTAGGAGGAGAAAAATTAATTAATAAAAGCACAGTTATTGGATGCATGCTTTGTTTTCATTGAGAGCACTGCATGGTTGAAAATATTTGCAGATCACAGCTTTAACCAGCATCCAGACCATTAAGTGTTCTTCAGTATCTGAGTCTGTGGATGTAGAATCTAGGCCTGCACAAGGAGGGACAAGGCTTGGTTCTTCAGCTGTTTCCAGTTTTCACCAAGTGCCTGCCAGAGCCCGGGTCCTGTAGCCCCTAAAATGCTGAGAAAGTGGCGGAGCAACAGTTATTGTGGACAGCCCACCAGGGTCAAGGGCCATATTTACTCTTCTCCTCCACCCCAGTGAGTATTCCATGTTAATTTCATGGTGAGCCGTCATGTTATAGTTTTAGTGTTTTATCAAGATATTAGAACCAAAACATTTGCAAATTCAATTCTGGTCACCATGTTTAAAACTCAGATAGTCATGAGTTCTTTTTCTAAAGCAAGATTGGCTGATGGTAATTTCTAAGATATGTTCTAACATGTAGGCATTTACCTGTAGGAAAAGGGCTGTGTTAGATCCCAGCAAATGAAAAAAAAAAAAAAAGGCAAACTCAAGGGTTTATTTACAGAAGTGTGGGCAAAGCCAAAAGAAACAATAAAAGCCTGTGAAATGCTCCCAGACTAGCAACAGCAGAAACCCTTTAATACCCCGGGGCCAAAGGGTGAGGAGAGAATGGGCTGCTGGACCCTCCCAGAACTCTGGAGGGCTGTTTCTCCATGGGGTCATTCTGCCTGACACTGTGGGCTCAGGTGGGGGTGCTGCAGGGCTGCTGCTCGACACCCTCTCATTTGCAGGGCAGCCCTAGCACAGAGAATGGTTGAGTAGAAATGCTAGTGCAGCTGAAGTTGAGAAACACCAGAGAGAAACCCAGCCTTTCTGAAAACCCGCTACTGGAAGGAAGGAAGCAGAGGAAACCAAGGCCCTCCCCACCTCTGATGGCCGGTGCCTCCCTCTGGCTGAAATCCTGGAACAGGACCTGGGTGATTCTCCCAGAGGCCAGCCTCTCAGGACCCAGAGCAGAGCTGGAGAAGTGGGAGGATGACTTAAGAGGCAGGTGGAGAAGACCAACAGCACCGTCCTCCTAGAGCCCAGACCAGGAACACTTTCTTCATGCACAAATGAGAATGGTAAATCTTTTTAAAAGACAATTTTTTCCCATTTCTTGCCTCCCCTGCTTGCTGTGGTGTGGATGGGGTTTGTTTGTCCTCCCTGAATCTCATGCTGATATGTGGTCTGGGCATGGTGGTGTTGACAGGTGGGACCTAGTGGGAGGTGTTTGAATCTAGAGTGGAACCTCGTCATCGGCTTGCTGCCTTCTCATGGTAGTGAGTTCTTGCTCTGGCAATGCTAGATGAGTACCTGTGAGCGTGGTTTGTTGCAAAGCTAGGATGTTCTTTCGTTTGCCTCTCTCTTTGCAGGTGTCCAATCCCCCTGGCTCTTCTCTGCCATGTTTTAACCCAGCACATGGCCCTCACCGGAAACCAAGCAGATGCTATGCCTGCTTCTCCCACTTCCCAGCCTCCAGAACTGTGAGCCAAGTAAATTTATAAATCACGCAGTCTCACGTACCAGGTTATAGCAACCCTTATCATACAAAGACACTGTTCCTCAGCTTCTCCAGTCTATAACCCTGACCCCAACCCAGGTTGCCCAGGTTGGTTTCCATCCTGGGCCCCTCCCAAACCCCACAGGTCTTGCTTGTCCATAGATCTTGGTGTATTGTTGCTGGAGGATCAGAGAATTGCCCTGGGTGTCGGGTCAATTCACCCAAAAGGAGTAAAAGCACCTGGGAATTTATCCCACAACTCAACCTAAGCCACGCACTGTCTGAAGGAGGATAAAATACCCACTGTCTATGCCTGCAGTCAGGATGAATTCTGATTCTATGCAACACTGAAGCACTATCACCCAAGCTCTGAGCTGCCCAAGCCCAGGCAGGGCTCCAGTGCTTCTCCCAACACCTCACCCTGATTGTTCCATCTGTTTTGGTTTCTCTCCTTTATTCAATGGATAATATGCAAATTATAGCTGAATAATAATTTCACCAATATCCTTGTCTCATAATCTGCATCCAGGGAGAGGTTGCCAGAGGCCATATCACTCATCTCTGCCCTAATCATGAAAAGTATTAACCTGAACAATAGTAACCTATGACCTCACCCTAGCCCTCACCTTCACACTTACCCTCATCATAATGCAAACTGTAACCCTAACCCTCACCTTCATCCTCACCTTCACCCTAACCCTAACCATCACCCTGAACTTCAACCTCACCTCAATCCAAATTCTAATCTTAACTCTAATCCTCACCCTCGCCCTAACCCTAACTCTAACCCCTAACCCCCAACCCTAACCGTATCTCTAACCCTCACTTTATTTACAGCAATCTGTGCTCTAACACAAAATGACATCAAAAAAATTGTAGTGTTGACTACCCTCACCCTAAACCCTGGAACCTACTTGTGGCCATTGGCCAACTGAACCTTGGGCTCTGAGCCCTGGGGCAGGCAAGGGAATCTGGATGACTCCAGCCTGCTGGAGAGAGGCAGCCAAGAGAAGCATGTTGTTAGGAACATAATCAAATTAAATTAATGGGCTGACTGGCCCCAGCAGCTCCATCTAACAACACAGAAAAAACAACAATAAGAAATGGATCATTTCTCCTGGTTTGAATGCTGGAAAACTTGCAGTCACTGAAGAGATTTCAAATGAAATTCCCTACACTATTCTGGGAAATAACTGTTCTCTGCACTCAGCCTGGTGGCTACAAGGAAAAAGGTAAATATTGCAAATACACAAGATGATGTAGAGAAACTGGAGGGCAGGAGGAGGGAGAAACGCTGTGGGGTCCTGGGGGGGCTCCTGGCCATGGCTCTGTCTCTCTTTTCACCCTCACAGCGGCTGCAGAGAGAGTGCAGCAGCCTGCTACTAGTGTACTTAAAATGAACTTGCAACTGTAAAATCCCTGGTATTTCTGAATTCTCAGGCATACATCTATTATGCTAAAAGGCACATCTGAAGTTTTAAGACTACATATCTCCCAAACATGTGGCCTGATGCCTCTGAAAGGAAGTTAGTGTCGCCACAGAGTGGCAGAAGGACCATCAACTGCTCCTTCATCTGGAGAATTGAAAGAAATTCAGAGCTTTGAAATGGCTCCTGGATAGAAGAAATAACCTAGTCTCTAGATAAGATGTAGTGGCAGCTTTGCCAATGTTCAGAGGCAGGAGCTGGTAGTGTGCTGTTAGTCTTCAACTCACTTTTGAAAAACTACAAGTCAGGTCCCTCCCAGTCTACCCTCAGCTCCCTCTTTGCCAGCGGGACAGCACTGCCAGGCCTCCTCTGTGCCCCAGCAGACCGTCATCCTGGCTGCTGCCCTTACCCTCCTTTTGGCCTGGAATCTGTTTTTTAAGACTCACTTCCCTATGGAGCCTTCCCCGAAGACCCAATCCCTAAGATAATTTTTTCTTCACTAGGACCCTGATGGTGGATGCTGTGGATTCCTCCAGCCTCTCTCTGCATGCCAGCCTGGAGGCTTCCAACTGCAAACACCTATGACATTTCCTGAAGCCTTTGTCTGGCTCCTGGAATCCACCTGATGGTGTGCAGGGTTGGCTTGAGGTCCTGGGAGTGGCCCTTGGACCAGTTGGTGTGTGAGTCCGCTGGTGGAGCCTCCAGCAGTCTACCCTAGTTCAGGATACTTTGGAGCCTGCTGTGCACCATCTCCCAAAGTTCCCCAGGAGATTTCAGTCCCATTAATTTAATAAGAGTTTATTCTACAGGCTCCCTTTCCTTTCATGTCTCACTGCCCATGGGCCTCCTGGGAACATCTCCCAACAGCATTGCCTGCACTCATTTCTCAGGTCAGCTTCTGGGAAACTCAACCTAAAACAATCCCCACAGATCTTACCATGGTGCTCACTCAGCGTTCATTCATTAATGTTTTTCTGCTGTCTTCTAAATGTAGTATCTCATCAATGAGATCATGAACTACTTGAAGGAAGTAGCTTCCATCATCAGCTTCCCCCACAGTTTCTGGAATAGCATAGAGCTTTATATAGCTGGCACAGTGGGACTGAATTTTTCACTTCCAAAAGTTTGTTAACATTGCAGATTTTCATTTATGCCACCTACAGTTTAAGAAATAAGGTGCTTGTGAGCTTACCAAGATACACAGAAATTATGTCAACTGTAAATATTACACCAACACTTAATGGCATCACTGGTGCCCAAACTCCTGGTTTGGGTTATACATAATTTTTCTTTACGTATACAACAAAGGAAGTTATTTGGGAGAAAATAGCACATGCTATCAGGAGTCAGTGATTTTTGAATACAAGGCAAAGACCTATTTTTCCTCTCAAACTGAAAGGTGGAGGGGTTCTTGATTATTGCTATTTGGGGCAGTTGATAATATTGTACAGTCAGAGGGACTTTGGGGCCATCTGATAGCCAATGTTCTTCTATACAGTTGATCATTTGCAAGAAGACAAGATAGTCTTAATATTTTAGTTATGAGAGAGCAAATCACCTTGGTGTGCTGGAAAAAGAAAAAAACAATTAAAAGTCTCTCCAATCAGACACCCTTACAATTCTCCCTGATCCTCCCTGTGTGAGGTTGTTAAGCTTTAGAGATAGGCTGGCCTGGGTCTTAGCTGTGTCACTAGTGGTTGATTTTAGCCATATCGTTCCTTTTTAAAATGTATTGTTCTTATCTATAAGTGGGGAAATAATAATGACTCTGACTTCATAGAACTGTTACAATTAAAGTACATGAAACAGTGTATTTAAAGTGCCCAGTACAGCGTTGGGCAGCTAATAAACTATTAATAAGTGGTTCCTGCTATCACAACCACCGTCATCATCACGAGCATAATCAGAGGCCCTGCAGCATCCCTGCAAGACGGTGGAGAGGCTGAGTCCCAGGTGCTGGTTTAACAGTGAATGAGCCCTTTCCACTCGATTCTTCCAGGATCACACACTGATCTGCCATCTGCTACATCACTTTGGTCTTGTCCATGCAGAAAATATGCTAATTCCAGAAATGACTTTTTTTGTCACTTTAGGTCCTTAGAGACTTTGACAAAGTTTGGCTGCTGGATCTCTAACCTGTCTTCTCTGTGGGTGATTTTATAAACTTCTCTCATTAGGGTCCATCTCAAGCAAAACTCTAAAATCAGTGACATTTTCTCACCTTGGGGGATTTTTAAACAATTCCCTGGGGTCCCAGCATCAACTTTTTAAAAGCCACTCCAGGATGTCCCAACTGCAGCCAAGGTTGAGAATCACTGGACTTGGTTGTGGCCATAAACTAGGAACCTGGGGAGGGGTGGAGACAGGACTAATGGGATTGAGTGGCTCAGGGAACCGCGAGGCTCTGGGATGGATGTGTTTTGCACAGGGATGTTGAAAGGCAGGGGTCCTGGAGAGGGAAACAGAGATGAGCCAGGCCAGGAGCCCTCCAGTGAGCAGGAAGCTGATAGTGTGAAGCTGATAGACGAGGGCAAGTGGAGAGGTCAGAGGGTGGGGCCTGAAGGTGTGTCCTACTGAGAACAGGATATTTGAGAGGAGAAGGAAAAGAGCAAGGAGGCACCACTGTCCAGTTGAGGCCCTGTGCTGAGGGGGCATTGAGGAGGAAAATGCAGCTACCAGTGTGAGAGAATCTAGAGCATCCTCAAGGGGGTATTTCTGTTTTAATTAGAGCAAGAAGACTTTTTCATTCACTCAACAAGCATACTGAGTGAACAAAGCAGACTGACACCCTTCAACACTCACAGTGGAGAGCTATGAAGGGAACCCTGAGGGAAGCTGCTGAGCATGTGGAGGTGCTGTTGGTCTGAGCACGTGGAGATGCTATTGCTTTACTCTGAGTTCTGTGGGCTCACATTTTGGTGACAGCTTGGGAACCAGTCAGATTAGTGTTACATGGAGGCAAATATAGAGTCAAATCCCTGGTGACCTGTGGATAGTGTGGATAGCATGGCTCTGAAGACTGGTAAATGATTCCCCCTCATCTCTCTGAGCAAGGAAGTGGGTAATAAATTCTAATTGGAGATGCTTTGCAGGATGTGTCAGAAGCACTTGGGGAGAAGGCTGTGTCTTGCCCAGGAAAGAAAAGTTTTACAAGGAACACGTGGAGCTCTGTGAGGCCTCCTCTACATTTTACATTGGCAGGGTCAGGACAGGGAGGGACTGTGCTCCAGACCCAGGGAGAATCCCGGCTCTACCATTTAACTCTGGGACTTTAGGCAAGGCTTTTCTTGGCACCTCCTTTCCTCATCTGGAATAGGGAAATTATAATGATACTTGCTTGAAAAGCTTGTTGTAAATATTAGATGAAAATATTAGGCATAACAGCTGGTACCATTTTGGGGTACACAGGAACCACTCTATACATGTTAGTTATTTTTTAAATTATACTTAAGTTCTGGGATACACGTGCAGAACGTGCAGGTTTGTTACATAGGTATACAAATACCATGGTGGTTTGCTGCACCCATCAACCCGTCATCTACATTAGGTATTTCTCCTAATGCTGTCCCTCCCCTAGCCCCCACTCCCTAACAGGCCCCAGTGCGTGATGTCCCCCTCCCTGTGTCCATGTGTTCTCATTGTTCAACTCTCATTTATGAGTGAGAACATGTGGTTTTTTGTTACTGTGTTAGTTTGCTGAGAATGATGGTTTCCAGCTTTATCCATATCCCTGCAAAGGACATGAGCTCATCATTTTTTATGGCTGCATAGTATTCCATGGTGTATATGTGCCACGTTTTCTTTATTCAGTCTATCACTGATGGGCATTTGGGTTAGTTCCAAGTCTTTGCTATTGTGAGCAGTGCTGCAATAAACATATGTGCGCATGTATCTTTATAGTAGAATGATTTATAATCCCTTGGGTATATACCCAGTAATGAGATTGCTGGGTCAAATGGTATTTCTTGTTCCAGATCCTTGAGAAATTGCCACACTGTCTTCCACAATGGTTGAACTAATTTACACTTCCACCAACAGTGTAAAAGCATTCCTATTTTTCCACATCCTCTCCAGCATCTGTTTTTTCCTTACTTTTTAACAATTGCCATTCTGACTGGTGTGAGATGGTAAGTCATTGTGGTTTTGATTTACTTTTCTCTAATGATCAGTAATGTTGACCTTTTTTTCATATGTTTGTTGGCTGCATAAATGTCTTCTTTTGAGAAGTGTCTGCTCAGACCCTTTGCCCACTTTTTGTTGGGGTTGCTTGCTGTTGTTCATAAATTTGTTTAAGTTCCTTGTAAATTCTGGACACTAAACCTTTGTCAGATGGGTAGATTGCAAAATTTCCTCCCATTCTGTATGCTGCCTCTTCACTCTAATGATAGTTTCCTTTGCAGTGCAGAAGCTCTTTAGCTTAATTAGAACCTATTCGTCAATCTTGGCTTTTGTTGCCATTGCTTTTGGCATTTTTGTCATGAAGTCTTTGCCCATGCCTATGTCCTGAATGGTATTGCCTAGGTTTCCTTCTAGGGTTTTTATGGTTTGGGGTTTTACATTTACGCCTTTAATCAATCTTGAGTTAATTTTTGTATAAGGTGTAAGGAAGGGGTCCAGTCTCAGTTTTCTATATATGGCTAGCCAGTTTTCCCAGTACCATTTATTGAATAGGAGATCCTTTCCCCATTGCTTATTTTTGTCAGGTTTGTTGAAATCATATGGTTTTAGATGTATGTTGTTATTTCTGACGTCTCTGTTCTGTTCCATTGGTCTATATGTCTATTTTGGTACCAGTACCATGTTGTTTTGGTTACTGTAGCCTTGTAGCATAGTTCAAAGTCAGGTAGCATGATGCCTCCAGCTTTGCTTAGGATTGTCTTGACTATATGGGGTCTTCTTGGATTTCATATGAAATTTAAATTAGTTTTTTTCTAATTCTGTGAAAAATGTCAATGGTAGTTTGATGGGAATAACATTGAATCTATAAATTACTCTGGGCAATAAGGCCATTTTCATAATATTGATTCTTCCTATCCATGAGGATGGAATATTTTCCATTTGTTTGTGTCTACTTCTCCCTGAAGAGGTCTTTCACGTCCCTTGCTAGCTGTATTCCTAGGTACTTTATTCTCTTTGTAGCAGTTGTGAATGGGAGTTCATTCATGATTTGACTCTCTGCTTGTGTATTGTTGGTGTAAAGGAATACTTGTAATTTTTGCACATTGATTTTGTATCCTGAGACTTTGCTGAAGTTGCTTATCAGCTTAAGGAGTTTGGGGCTGAGATGATGCAGTTTTCTAGAGAATCATGTCTCTGCAAACAGAGACAATTTGACTTTCTCTCTCTATTTGAATACCATTTATTTCTTTCTCTTGCCTGATTGCCCTGGCCAGAACTTTGAATACTATGTGAATAGGAGTGTGAGAGAGGACATCCTTGTCTTGTATTAGTTTTCAAAGGGAATGTTTCCAGCTTTTGCCCATTCAATATGATATTGGCTGTGGGTTTGTCAAAAATAGCTCTTACTATTTTGAGATAGTTCATAAATACCTAGTTTATTGGGAGTTTTTAACATGGAGGCTCACACATATCACCTATGGCTGCTTTTGCACTCCAACAGCAGAAAGGAGGGGTTGATGGAGATTGCATGCTTCAGATATCCTAAAATGTTTACTATCCGGCCCTTTGCAAGGAATTTTTTCAAAAGCCTTTTCTGCATCCATTGAGGTAATAATGTGGTTTTTGTCTTTGGTTTTGTTTATGTGATGGATTATGTTTATTGATTTGCATACATTGAACCAGCTTTGCATCTCAGGGATGAAGCCAACTTGATCATGGTGGATAAGTTTCTGGATGTGCTGCTGGATTTGGTTTGCCAGTATTTTATTGAGGATTTTCACATTGATGTTCATCAGGTTAACTGGCCTGAAGTTCTCTTTTTTTTGTTGTGTCTCTGTCCGGTTTTGGTACAGAATGACGCTGGCTTCATAAAATGAGTTAGGGAGGAGTCCCTCCTTTTCAATTGTTTGGAATAGTTTCAGAAGAAATGGTACTAGCTCCTCTTTGTACCTCTGGTAGAATTCAGCTGTGAATCCATCTGGTCCTGGGCTTTTTTTTTTTTTTTTTGGTTGATAGTCTATTAATTACTGCCCCAATTTCAGAACTTGTTATTGGTCTATTCAGGGATTCAACTTTTTCCTGGTTTAGTCTTGGGAGGGTGTATGCATCCAGGAATTTATCCATTTTTTCTAGATGTTCTAGTTTATTTGCATAGAGGTGTTTATAGTAGCTAGTGGTCTATCTATTTTGTTAATTTTTTCAAAAAAACAGCTCCTGGATTCATATATTTTTTTGGAGAGTTTTTTGTGTTTCTATCTCCTTCAATTCTGCTCTGATCTTAGTTATTTCTTGTCTTCTGTTAGCATTTGGATTAGTTTGCTCTTGCCTCTCTAACTCTTTTAATTGTGATGTTAGGGTGTTGATTTGAGATCTTTCTAGCTTTCTGATGTAGCCATTTAGTGCTATAAATTTCCCTCTTAACACTGCTTTAGCTGTGTCCCAGAGAATCTGGTATGTTTTCTCTTTGTCCTCATTGGTTTCAAATAACTTCTTGATTTCTCCCTTAATTTCTTTATTTACCCAGGAGTCATTCAAGACCAAGCTGTTCAATTTCCATGAAATTGTGTGGTTTTGAGTAAGTTTCTTAATCCTGAGTTCTAGTTTGATTGCACTGTGGTTGGAGAGACTGTTTGTTATGCATTTGCTGAGGAGTGTTTTACTTCCAATTATGTGGTCGCTTTTAGAATAAGTGCCATGTGGCACTGAGAAGAATGTATATTCTGTTGATTTGGGGTGGAGAGTTCTATAGATGTCTATTAGGTCCACTTGATCCAGAGCTGAGTTCAAGCCCTGAATATCCTTGTTAATTTTCTGTCTCATTGATCTGTCTAATATTGACAGTGAGGTGTTAAAGTCTCCCGCTACTGTTGTGTGTGAGTCTAAGTCTGTTCGTAGGTTTCAAAGAGCTTGTTTTATGAATCTGGGTGCTCCTGTATTGGGTGCATGTATATTTAAAATAGCTCTTCTTGTTGCATTGATCCCTTTACCATTATGTAATGTGTTTCTTTGTCTTTTTCAATCTTTGTTGGTTTAAAGTCTGTTTTGTTAGAGACTAGGGCTGCAACTCCTGCTTTTTCTTTTTCTTTTTTTCTTTCTTGTTTTTTTTTTTTTTTTTTTTTTTTGCTTTCCATTTGCTTGGTACATTTTCCTCCATCCCTTTATTTTGAGCCTATGTGTGTCTTTGCATATGAGATGGGTCTCCTTAATACAGCCCACAAATGGGTCTTGACTCCTTATCCAATGTGCTAGTCTGTGCCTTTTAATTGGGGCATTTAGCCCATTTACATTTAAGGTTAGTATTGTTATGTGTGAATTTGATCCTATCATCATGTTGCTATCAGGTTATTTTGCTCACTAGTTGATGCAGTTTCTTCATAGTGTCATTGGTCTTTATATTTTGGTGTGTCTTTGCAGTGGCTGGTACCAGTTTTTCCTTTCCATATTTAGTGCTTCTTTCAGGAGCTCTTGCAAGGCAGGCCTGGTGGTAAGAAAATCCCTCAGCATTTGCTTGTCTGGAAAGGATTTTATTTCTCCTTTGCATATGAAACTTAGTTTGGCTGGATATGAAATTCTGGGTTAAAAATTATTTTCTTTAAGAATGTTGAACATTTGCCCCCAGTCTCTTCTGGCTTGTAGTTTTCTGCTGAGAGGTCTGCTGTTAGTCTGATGGGCTTCCCTTTGCAGGTGATCTGGCTTTTCTCTCTGGCTGCCTTTAACATTTTTTTCTCATTTCAACTTTGGAGAATCTGAAGATTATGTGTCTTGGGGTTGATCTTCTCATGGAATATCTTAGTGGTGTTCTCTGTATTTCCTCAATTTGCATGTTGGCCTGTCTTGCTAGGTTGGGAAAGTTCTCCGGATAATATCCTGAAATGTGTTTTCCAGCTCATTTCCATTCTCCCTGTCTCCTTCTGGTACTCCAATCAATTGTAGGTTCAGTCTTTTTATGAAGTCCCATATTGGGGTCTTTGTTCATTCCTTTTCATTCTTTTTTCTCTAATCTTGTCTGCATGTCTTATTTCAGTAGGGTGGTCTTCAAACTCTGACATCCTTTCTTCTGCTTGGTAGATTCGGCTATTGATATTTGTGTATGCTTCACGAAGTTCTCGTGCTGTGTTTTTCAGCTCTATCAGTTCATTTCTGTTCCTCTCTAAACTGGTTCTTCTAGTTAGAAGCTCCTCTAACCTTTTATCAAGTTTCTTAGTTTCTTTGAATTGGGTTAGAACATGCTCCTTTAGCTCAGTGGAGTTTTTTATTACCCATCTTCTGAAGCCTACTTCTGTCAATTCATCCATCTCATCCTCTGTCCAGTTCTTTGCCCTTGCTGGAGAGGCATTGCAATCATTTGGAGGAGAAGAGGTACTCTGGCCTTTTGGGTTTTCAGGTGTTTTTTTGTTGATTCTTTCTCATCTTCATGAGTTTGTCTAGTTCCGATATTTGAGGCTGCTGACCCTTGGATGGGCTTTTGTGGGGACATTTTGTTGTTGATGATGCTGTTGTTGCTTTCTGTTTGTTTTTCTTTCAATGGTCTGGTCCCCTTTCTGTAGGGCTGCTGTGGTTTGCTAGGGATTCACTTGAGGCCCTATTCATCTGGTTTGCTCCTGCACCTGAGCTGTCACTCAAGAAGACTGGAGAACAGCAAAGATGGGTGCTTGCTCCTTCTTCTAAGATCTCTGACCTCGAGGGGCACCAATCTGATGCCAGTAGGATTGCTTCTGTATAAGGTATCTGACAACCCCTGTTGGAGGGTCTCACCCAGTTGGGTGGTACAGGGAACAGAACCTGTTTAATGAAGCACTTCGATTGTCTCTTGGTGGAGAGGGTGTGCTTCACTGAGGGGAAATCCACTCATCTGGGCTGCCCGGATTCCTCAGAACTACAGAAAGAAAGGTTAAGTCTGCTGGTCCGCAGAGACTGCGGCCACCCCTCCCCTAGGGGCTCAGGCCCATGGAGATTTGGGTTCTGTCCCTGAGCCTCTGGTTGGAGTTATTGGAGTTCCTGCAGGGAAGCCCCACCCAGTGAGGAGGGATGTGTCAGGGTCAGGCCTGAAGAGGTGCTCTGGCCACAGTCTGCAACAGCCAGTGTGCTGGGCTGTGGAGGACATCTCTTGGGGACCAAGCCATCCAGCATCTCTGGCTCCAGCATGGGAAAAGCATGGCCTGGAACTATAGAGATGGATGCCACTCTTCCCCCACCTAGGGAGCTTAGCATGTTAGGCAGTTATGAGTCCCAGTGCTGGCTGCTGCCCCTCCCACAGGAGCTCAAATGGCTTAGGCAGTAGGTAGCCACAGCTGTGGTGCTGGTCACCTCTTCCCCTGGGAGCTCAGCAGACTTAGGCAGATTCCAGTTGAGAGGCTGTTGAGAGTCTGCGTGGCTCCTGGGTTGGGACCCTAGGCCCTGGTGGCGTGGGTTCACAAGTGGGATCTTCTGATTCATGGGTTGCACAATTCCATGGAAAAAGGACGTTTTCCCCAGTTGGGTAGCATGCTCACTCACTGTCTCCCTTGGCTGGCAGGTGGGGGCTCCCCTGTCCTGTGCAGCTCTCAGTTGGGCCGTTGCACCACACTGCTTTTCCTTCCTTGCTGTGGATCATGTCAGCCGCCTAGTCAGTTCTGATGAGAAGACCTGGATACCTTGGTTGCTGGTGAAGGATTCACATGCTAATTACGGTTCTTTATGATGGAAGCCTCTGATAGCTGCTGTTTCTAGTTGGTCTTTTTAGCCCTGCCCCTACCTTACTCAGATTCTAAGTACCTATAGGTACATGGGTCTGTTTGGGGACCTAATTCTATCTCCCAGTCTGTTTGTTCTTGAACAAATATCATGCTGTTTGAATCACTGTAACTTTATACTATGTTCTGATATTTATGGAGTCTTAATTGCCTTATTAAAAATTTTTTTGGGGGTCAGGTGCCTATAATCTTTGGAAGGCTGAGGCAGGAGGATAGAGGAGGATAGAGCTTGAGCCCAGGAAACCTACCTGGGCAACATGGTGAGACCTCATCTCTACAAAATATTTTAAAATTAGCTGAACATGGTGACACATGCTAGTGGTCCCAGCTACTCAGAAGTCTGAGGCTGGAGGATCACTTGAGCACAGGGGGTTGAGGCTATAGTGAGCCATGTTCACACAACTGCTCTCCAGCCTGAACAACAGAAAGAGACCCTGTAAAAAGGGGGAAAAATTGGCATTTTAAATTTAGTTATTCTTCCAGATGAGCTTAATTTTTTTAAAAAGAAACAATGTATTTTTGCATTAAAATGTATATGTTCTCTCAAGAGAATGAACATATATACATACTTCCCCAAGCAGATAAGTGGTGTCTCCATTTATTCAGATCCTATTTTGCCTTAATAGTTTTTTCATCTTCCTTATATAGATCTTGTACCTTTCTTGTTAAATTTGTTAAGTACTATTCTAAACCTTAGAACCTAGACTAATATTGAACTATATTATATATTTACATATTGTCTTAGTCAATTTTGTGCTGCTATCACAGAATATCACAGACTGGCAAATTTGTAAAGAGCAGAAATGTATTTTTTCACAGTTTAGGAGGCTGGGAAGTCCAACATCAAGGCACCAACAGATTCAGTTGTCTGGTGAGGGCTGCTCTCTGTTTCCAAGATGGCACCTTGTTGCTGTATCCCCTCTAGAGGGGAGGAACACTGTATCTTCACATTGCAGAAAACAGAAGGGCAAGCAAAACAGATTCCCTCCATGAAGCCCTTTTATAAGGCGGCCTAATTTCATTCAGGAAAGGTGGAGCCCTCATGACCTAATCACCTCTTAAAGACCCCACCTCTTAATATCTTTACTTTGGCCGTCAAGCATCAATACCTGAATTTTGGAGGGAACACATTCAAACCATAGTACAATGTATAAGAACTAAGTATTACTTGAAGACTACAAAAGATTTGTCTTTTAAAACCACGTTTCCTTTGTTCCTTTTTAGTAATGGCTGTTTGAATAACTTTAGTCATTAGAAGTTTACTCATGTGTTTACCTCTTCTTAAATCAATTTTGATAACTTATTTTTTTCCTAGATAATCACCTATTTCCTCTTGACTTACCACTTTTCTGCCCCCAAACTTATAATTTCTTTCATTCCATTCATATCTGTGTGCAATCTCTCATCTCATTCTTGATGTTTATGGTTTCTCTATTTTTCTTGGTGAGATTTCTGAAAGATTTGTCTTCTGAAATACCAGTTCTTGGTTTGATTCAACAATTCTATTTTTCTTGTTGTTAACTAATTTCCTGATTGTTTACATTTGTCACATTTTTCTTCTTATTTAAATTGATTTATATTTGTTGTCTTCTAGTTTTCTTGAGTTTTACAGGGTCAGTTTACTTTCAGTTTTTTTTAAATTCAGGGACATATCAATTTTACCCACTTTATCTGGCCCGTTTTTAAATGTCTCATATTAATGCTCTTTTACTTCACAAGAAGGGCTTACTGTATCTTTTTTTTTTCAGTTTTTATTCTGAAGGCTTTTTCAGTGTTTATTATCACTGAGTTTATCTAAGAAAAGAGGTAGAACCATTCTTCATGCATATAAAGTAATTCTGAAAGCATTCCGGTCTTTAGAAATGTAGTTGATGTCGTGATTTAAGATGAAATTATTGGATGCTTAGGGAAAAATCAAGATAACTCCTAGAAACAATAAACTTCAAACAACTGAAGGAACATAGCTGAATATATGTGTTCAAAAACTTGAAAGATGACAACCTTTGTAATATATTTTAATGCCTACTCTTTCCTCTTATAGGTAATTTAGTAAAAGCTAAAACACAAAATTACTCTCCTCTTTGAGAAGTTCTAATTCCTGATCTTTCAAGAAATTTGAAAAACATCTTTCCTTGAAAATTCTCAGCTACAATTTCCCATATACAACACTTTTCTCAGTCCAGACTCCACTGGAAACTAGACAGTGCCCCCTTGCAACCATCCTTTCTCCCTTAGTATTTAATAGCACTTATTAAACACAACTTGTGCCCAGCTTGATGCTTAGCTAGAGGATGATACCAAGAAATGTATAGCTTGGTTCGTTCTTCCAGGAATTCATATGTGAGGAAACCTTATCAAAAAACATGACAAGATGAAAAGTAAGGCCTTGGAAACAACCTAGATCAGGGTTGGCAAACTGTGGCCCACAGCCCAAAGCTGGCCTGATGACTGGTGTGTAAACAAAGACTTATTGGGACACAGCCATGCTCGCTCACACATATCACCTATGGCTGCTTTTGCACTCCAACAGCAGAAGGGAGGGGTTGATGGAGCCTGAATTCTCCACACATCTTAAAATGTTTACTATCTGGCCCTTTGCAAAAAGAGTATGCTGACCCCTGGTATAGATAATTGGGCCAACCCTCGGGTTGAAGTCAAGTAGAAGCACTGGACAGATGTCTGTGTCTGCACGAAGCCTCAGGATGCCGAGGACACTGAGGAGCCCCAGGCTCATGCTTCCTAAGAAGACAGAGATGGAGAGAAGTCACCCAGTGCTTGCAGCCTCTCTTGTCCTGGATGAAACATTGACAGCTTCCTGGGCTACAGGGAAAATGTTGGCATCCAGGGACCAGCAGGGGGTGGTGCTTCAGGAGCCTCATACTTTGGGTTGGAAAACCAGAAATCCTGCTGGAACAGGGTAACTGGAAGTAGATGCAGACTGATGTGGTAACCAACACCTAACTGTGAATCAACTCAACCCCTGAAACTGAATTATTATGGCTCTTGGCACCTGTCAGAGCAAAATACGTGCTAGGAGACAAAATATCACCCTAGGATTTTAATTATTTAAATATAACATCCTCTACACTATAAAAAAGTACCACTTCATATTCTGTTTGTGATGGTTTAGTGGATATTGGACTAATCCTCCTGCCATAAACAAACATAAAAGCTGAGCAAAATGTGCAAAACAACTCTTGCCAAGCATTCGACAACAAATGCAGGGCTACGATCCTCAAGAGAAGAGGGTGCACACATGGGCCTCACATTCATCCCAGCTTTCTCCTTCTAAATCTCAGCACAGGGAAATGGGGTCCAAGTAGAGACCAGTAGTCTCTCTGGGCAGAGGAAGCAAAGACTGAAATTCAAGAAATGCTAAGGTGACAGGAAATTTAAGAGTAGGAAGCTGCAGAAAAGTGGGCCCAAAAGTCTGTGTAAAACATGTCCCCATACACTTGGCTTACTCTAAGCAGCAGGTGCATAAGAAAAGAGTCTGAAAATCCTCTGAGAAAACAGCCAGGAGAGGCTGACATTGAACAGAGAATTAAGAGCTCACCAAATGCTGCAGAGACATGGTAATTTGGTCCCAGCCAGATTGGAGAAACTTGTTAACACTGTGAGAATCTAGTTGAGACCCAGAAAGGCCATGCCCTAGGAGCAAGGAGCACTCCCTGGCAGTGAGCTCCACGTAGTAGGGGTCAGGGCAAAACTGAAATGGTCACATGTAGCAGTATATTAGGGTTTGCAATATCTAAAGCCAGATTTCAAGAAAAAGATTCAAAAAGAATTTTAGACTGGATTGGAGCTGGAAAAATGAGTAAAATTAGGATTTGTAAGACTGTATAGAAAATTGGAGATTTTTAAAGTATGTTTTAAAAAATAACGGGTGTTAAATTTCAACAAATGCCTTTTCTACATCTGATGTGTCTGGCCCCACATTAGGGACTTACTTTTCTCCGTGAATACCGTCTAAGGGAAGTAACCTCAGGAGCCATCTGATTACTCTCCTGCAGTCCCTAGAGACAGTGCTTCACTGCAGGTGGCCAGTGCTGCACAAATGGATGCCTGTTGGTGCTGTGCACACAATCAAACCACATGGCCAACATCACCTGTATTCAACAAGTAGAATCTTTTTGCCCCATCAGATAATTCTGATTTTGTTCCTTTTCCAGGAGCTCTATTTCTTCTTCCCTTCCTGCTTTCCTCCTTTCTTCCTTCCCTCTCCACCTCTTCCTCCTCCTCCTTCTCTCTCTTTCTCTCAAAGAGTCCCATCTTTGACTTGAGTTTGAATCCTGAGTCTGTCTTTTGCTAGCTGAGTATATTGAGGAAAACTAAATTATGCATCTCAATTTTTCTCAACTGAAAAAACACCATATTTTTAAGATTGAGAGGATAAGAAGATATTTACAAAAGTATCACTTGCATATCATAATGCTCAACACATGTTAGTTTCTTTCTTTCTTTTTTTTTTTTTTTTTTTTTTTTGAGATGGAGTCTCACTCTTGTTGCCCAGGCTGGAGTGCAGTGGCACGATCTTGGTTCACTGCAACCTCTGCCTCCCGGGCTCAGGCTATTCTCCTGCTTCAGCCTCCTGAGTAGCTGGAATTACAGGTGCCCACCACCATGCCCAGCTAATTTTTGTATTTTTAGTAGACATGGGGTTTCGCCATGTTGGCCAGGCTGGTGTCAAACTCCTGACCTCAGGTTGATCCATCCGCCTCAGCCTCCCAAAGTGCTGGGATTACAGGGGTGAACCACCATGTCTGGCCATTAGTTTATTTTTTATTCATACAAAATATTTTGCATTTTTATTAGGTATAAGTATTTATTACATGCATAGCTTCCAATTTTGTTTTATGTTCTAGGAAAAATATTACTATAAAAATACAAGCTAGAGTGAATAATATAAAAAGAAATTCATAATCTTTTGAGCTTATAGAAACCCCCATGGTAAACATTAATTATATTACCTGGAGATAAAACTCATGCCCCTTATCCTCCTTATTCCCAACATCTCAGCCTCCTGAACAGTATCAGTAGAACTTAGGGGACGATAATACAGCTTCAGTGGACACCTGCTTAGAACTTTGAATGTGACAGGCAGTGTTCTAAGGGCGTTGCATCTGATAACTTATTTAGTTCTCATGAGTAAGAACGTTTATAACTGCCACTTTACAAACATAGAGATTGATGTGTGAGAATAAGAGAACTGTCTGGAATTGTTCAGCTGCAGAGTGGCAGATCTGGGATTCAGAGTAAGGAGTTTAATCTCTGCACTGTTGCACAGAGGATATGTAATGGTACAGTGTCAGAATCTTGGTGCATAGGTACTGGATATAGGGTCAGAATCTTGGAGAATAGGTACTGGGTATAGGGTCAGAATCTTGGTGCATAGGTACTGGATATAGGGTCAGAATCTTGGAGAATAGGTACTGGGTATAGGGTCAGAATCTTGGAGAATAGGTACTGGGTATAGGGTCAGAATCTTGTAGCACAGAAAGTGAGTATAGAGTCAGAATCTTGGAGCATAGGTGCTGGGTATATGGTCAGAATCTTGGAGAATTGGTAATGGGTATAGGGTCAGAATCTTGGAGAATAGGTACTGGGTATAGGATCAGAATCTTGGCGCATAGGTACTGGGTATAGGGTCGGAATCTTGGAGCACAGAAAGTGAGTATAGAGTCAGAATCTTGGAGCATAGGTGCTGGGTATATGGTCAGAATCTTAGAGTATTGGTAGTGGATATAGGGTCAGAACTTGGAACATAGGTACTGGGTATAGGGTGAGACCAACCTTCCACATCTTTTGTAAAAATTGTACACTCTCCCATTTTCCTTCTCTATTTGATTTTTCTCCAGTGTACTTACTGCATTCTGATATCATTTACTTATTTTTAAAATTTTTATATTTGTCCTCTAAAATGTAATCTTTACAAATACAGGGATTTTCAAAAATGTCTATTGTATTCATTACTGGGTCTCTATTATCTAGAGCAGTACCTGGAACTTTCCAAGTATTCAAGAAATTAAAGTTGAATGAATGGGT
Source organism: Homo sapiens (assembly GCF_000001405.40). NCBI lineage: Eukaryota > Metazoa > Chordata > Mammalia > Primates > Hominidae > Homo > Homo sapiens. Next base: position 159,278,194 of record NC_000007.14, on the reverse strand, counting down.
AAATATGTAATTTTCCATGTTTTAAAAGTGATTTTTTAATCATATGCTAACTCAACATAATAAACAGTGTCTAGTGGAGTGATGTCAGCAGGAAGGCAGACTAGGAAGCTCCAGGCCCTCATTTCCCCAGAGAAATATTACATGAACATTTAGAGACTGTCTAAATTAACAGTAAATGAACTCTGGAAATCTGCCAAACATCTAAGGCAACCAAGCAAACACCCCATCAAGGAAGAGCCACAATCAGAATGGTGGTAAAATTTGTGTTGTTTTTACTTGCTTTATCTCACCACATTCCTGATGCTATATGATTTGGAGCAAACAGTGGCCTGGTCCTAAGTTCCCTTCCATGAGTTGGAGAGAGCAGAAAGGACCTAATTTACAACACTCTAATCTCTCTGGGGCTGCCTGATGGACCTCTGAGCTCAGATAAACACAAGTGGTGCGCCTTGGATCTCAGGTGAGGAGAATCCCTGGGAAGCAGTGGGCATGGCTTGTGCAAAACCACAAGAACACCACAGACCACCCGGTGTCTGGGGCAAGAGATTACTCATGGAGGGATACAATAGAACAGCTTAGGTCCCAAGAAGAGGTGAAACGAGACTCTACGGGAATTAAGAGATTTAAAAGCGTCTATTTATACAGGTAATTTGGAAATAAAACACACACACACAGGCCCAGGGAAGACACACTCCCAGAACAGCACTGAGAAGACCTGAACCCTCCATATGGAGCTATTCTCAAGGCTCAGAATACACCCTGCTAACTGTTGAAGGTCTTCCCCTGCATGAAGCCTGTCTGCAAACACTGGGACAGGTGGCTGTTTTTTCAAATTCTTAATTTTTAACAAAAGATCACAAGACATACAAAGTAATAGGAAAATATGGTCCATTTTAAGAAATAAAATAAATCTTCAGAAATCACTCATGAAGAAACATAGGCATCAGATTTACTAGATAAAGACTTTAAATATACTTAAAGAGCTAACATGGAAAAGAAGGAGAAGAGAGAGAAAAGGGGGAAGATAACTTATTTGAAGAAATAAGGGTCAAACTATTTCCAAGTTTGAGGAACTCCAAGAAGCTCCGTGATCACCAAGTAAAATAAACCTAAAGAGACCCACATTCAGATATGTTATAGTCAAACTGTCAAAAGCTAAAGACAAAGAGATAATCTTAAAAGCAACAATAAAAAAAAAACATGTCGTGTGCAAGGGATCCTTAATAAGATTATCAATGGATGTCACAGCAGAAACTTTGCAGGACAGAAGGCAGTTGAATGATATATTTAAAGTACTGAAAAAAGAAAAACCTGTCAACTGAGAATCCTACATCTGACAAAATTGTCCCTCAGAAATGAGGGAAAAATTAAGACATTAAGATAAATAATAACTGAGGGAGTTTATTGCCAATAGATCTGCCCTCAAGAAATGCTAAAGGGAGTCCTTCAAGTTGAAATGAAAGGACACTAGAGAGTTACTCAAAGCCACATAAAAATTTAATGCTCTCCATCATAAGTAGCCACATGAACAAATATAAGAACCAATATTATCATAATTTTGGCATATAACTCCACTTTTTATTCTTCCACAAGATTTAAAAGACAAAAGCACATGTGTCAGTCCGTTTTCACACTGCCTTAAAGAACTACCTGAGGCTGGGTAATTTATAAAGAAAAGAGGTTTAACTGATTCAGCTCCACATGGCTGGGGAGGCATCAGGAAACATAATTATGGCAGAAGGTGAAGGAGAAGCAAGCACCTTCTTCACAAGCCAGCAGGAGAGAGACAACAAAGGAGAAAGTGTATACTTTTAAACCATCAGATCTCATGAAACCTCACTCACTATCATGAAAACAGCATATTAAATCCACCGCCATGATTTACCAGGTCCCTCTCCTGACACGTGGGGATTACAATTTGACTTGAGATTTGCATGAGGACACAGAGCCAAACCATATTAGCATAAAAAGTATAAATTTGTGTTATTGGGTACACAATATATAAATGTGTAACTTGTGACATCAATAACATACAGGGAGTGAAGATGTAAAGGAGTAAGGTTTTGTATGTGATTCAAGTTAAAATGGTATCAGTTTAAAGTAGATTGCTATAACTTAGGATGTTATACGTAATCAGCATGGTAATCACAAAGAAAAATATCTATAGAATATACACAAAAAATGAGAAAGGAATCAAAGTGTCACCAAAAAAACACAACTAAACACAAAGGGGATAATGGAAGCAACAAGGGGTAAAAAGTATAACAGAAAACAAACAACAGAATGAAAATCGTAAGCCCTTCCCTATCAGGAATTACTTTAAATGTAAATGGATTAAACTCCTCCGTCCAAAAACAGATTGGCAGAATGGATCTTTTAAAAAAGCAACATCAAGATCCAACTATATGCGTCTACAGAGACTCACTTTCAAACTAAGACACACATAGGTTAAAAGCAAAAGAGTGGGAAAAGATATTCTATGCAGATAATAATCAAAAGACAGCAGGGGTGGCTACATTAAAAATGAGAGTCTATTTATGAACTATATATTCAGTACTTTAGGATGTCTGCAGTAGTAGAATTACAACACAAAATATTGTAACTTCATCATAAATTTTGTGATCAGATGGCGTATGTTCCTTGTATATGCTTTTATGTAACTTCCTTTGCCTTTCAGACATTTTGTCTCTTTCAGATAAATTTTAGAACCATTTCATTAAGTTTTTCAAAAATCCCAATTTGGATTTTGACTGAAACCATGTAAAATTTTTGTGTGCATTTGTGGAAAATAGACATCTTTATTATACTAAGGCATCCTATCCAGGAATGTGTCATGTCTCTTCATTTAGCCTTATACAGGTTTTGATATACCAGAAAAGTCTACAAAAGAGTCTTACACTAAACTTACCCTTTTTATTCCTATAAATACTTTAGAATTAACTTGGCAATTTACACACAAGAACACAAGAGAACTGACATGCTATTGAGTCTCACATCTCACTAGCATAGTCATGTCTTGATTTATTTACATCTTCTATAATATTTTGAACAAATGTTTATATTTTCCCCAATGTCCTTAAATGTCTTTTCTTAGATTTATTTCTAGATCCTTTATATTGTTTATGGCTTTTGTAAATGCAATAATCTCTCTAAAATTTTCCACTTGGTCCTGATATAGAGTAATACAAATGAATTTGGGATATTGCTTCTGTATTCAGGAACCTTATGCTTATTAATTCTAAAAATTACCTGTAGATTTTTTTGGATTTTTCTACAAAGAAAAATCACATCATCTGTGTATGATGATGTTTTTCTTCCTTTCCAAGTATAGGTTTTTATTTCTTTTTCTTGTCTATTGTACTTGCTGGACTCTCAAGCCTGTCCAACCCATGGCCCCGGGCTGCATGCAGCCCAGGACAGCTTTAAATGCGGCCCAACACAAATTCGTAAACTTTCTTAAAACATTTTGAGATTTTTTTTGGTAATGTTTTTCTTTAGTTCATCAGCTGTCACTAGTGTTAGTGTATTTTATGTGTGACCTAAGACAATTCTTCTTCTTCCAGTGTGGCCCAGGGAAGCCAAAATATTGGACACCCTTGCTCTAGTACAATGATGAGGGAAAGCTGTGAAAACAGAAATGTGTAGCTTGTTTCTGGTCTTAAAGGGGATTCCTGCATTTGTACACTGTTTTTTTGTTGTTGTTGTTTTTGTTTTGTTTTTTTGTTTTTACAGAATTTTAAAAAATTCTCCTTAGCAGGCACTTTGTCTTCTAGTTTGTTGAGAGTTTGTATCATAGATTTTTTTTTAACTTTTATTTTAAGTTCTGGTGTACATGTGCAGGTTTGTTATGTAGGTAAACTCATGTCACGAGAGTTTGTTATACAGATTATTTCATCAACCAAGTACTAAGCCTAGTACCCAATGTTATTTTTTCTGATCCTCTCCTTCCTCCCATCCTCAAGTAGGCCCCAGTGTCTGTTGCTCCCTTCTTGGTGTTCATGAGCTCTCATCATTTAGCTGCCACTTATAAGTGAGAGCATTCTGTCCCTGCATTAGTCTGCTAAGGATAATGGCCTCCAGCTCCATCCGTGTTCCTGCATTATGTCATTCTTTTTTATGCCTGTATAGTATTCCATGGTGTATATTTACCACACTTTCTTTATCAAATCTGTCATTGATGGGTATTTAGGTTGATTCCATGTCTTTGCTATTGTGAATAGTGCTACAATGAACATATGCATGCATATGTCTTTATGGTAGAATGCTTTATATTCCCCTGGGTATATACCCAGTAATGGGATTACGGGTTTGAAAGGTAGTTCTTTTTTTAGCTCTTTTTCTTATTTATATCCCTCTCTTTTTCTTAGATTAGTGGAAACTTACTATACATGCTCTTCTTTACTTGCTTTTTTCTCTTAAATATAAAATTTAGTCAAATGATTACTTCAATTGAAAAATTTAAACTTCAATTAAAAGTTTTTCTGAGATCACTTCATAACAACATATAAAAAGTAGGCACTAAATATTAGGTACTTGTGGACATAAAGATGGAAATAATAGATTCTGGAACTACTAGAGGGAGGAGGAAGGGAGGGGGCAAGGTTTGAAAAGCTAACTATTGGGTACTATGCTCACTGCTTGAATGAATGATGGAATCATTCATATCCCAAACCTCAGCATCACACAATATACCTACCTAGCAAACTGCACATGTACCCTGAATCTAAAATAAAAGTGGAAATTATTTTTGAAAAAATTAAAAACCAAATATATAAAGATATTCCTCATTTCTTTTTTAAAGCTATTTTGTCTTCCTTGTGTAGTACATTGTAAATACTTGATAAATATTCACAAAATTAATCAATCAAAATTTCAGGTGCAGAGAGATTAAGTAGCTTGACCAAGAGTGCACAGATGAATTAAATAGGGATTTGTTTAATATCATTACGAAAATTAAATCACATCTACTGTAGTAGAGGGAGTTTTTATTATTACTCTGCTCAGAATGACAAAATTATTAAGATTTTGAAGTGCTGATGTTTCTTTACTTTCAACTTTTTATAAATATCTTTCCAGCAAATAAGTTTAGAAAGAATCAATATTTAAAAGCTCTCAGACTATTAATGCAAATGAAATAGGAGAGTTCCCTGATTCTCCTCACAGAACATGCAGCAGAGGAGTGACTCTCCTGCTTGGTAGCCCTGCAGCTCAACCCCCTAGGGGGAGCATGCAGATGGGCAGGTGCACAGGCCAGGGTGAGTGCTTCAGGCTCTCAGCCCCGCGGTAGTGTCTAGGGGCTGGTTGGTTGCCTGCAACCCCAGTGTTACAAAGCCCTTTCAGCTTTGCCATCTGTAGATGGCTTGTGTGTTAATCAGCTCAATGGACTCTGCCTTATTGCAAGGGCAGAGGGCCAGTGTGACAGTCTTCTGTATCTCGAGCTCTTGCTCAGTGTCCTGAAAAAATCAGATCACACGTGGGCTCGAAGGAAGAGTGCAAGGTTTTACTGAGTGGTGGAGGTGGCTCTCAGTGAGATTGATGGGGAGCGGCAAGTGGGGTATGAAGTGGGAAGGTGATTTTCCCCTGGAGTCGGGCCGCCCAGCAGCCGGACTCTTCTCCAAACGCCTCCAGCTGAACTCCTCTTGGCATCTGGACATCCCTCCTCTTCTCTCTTTCTCTGTCACATCATTCCACCATTGCTGGTCTGCTGGTCTGCTGGTCTCAACGTTCAGCCGCTTGTGTGTGTGCCCACTAAGTCCTCAGGTTTATATGGGCACAGGAGGCGGGGTGTGGTGGGCCTGAGTGGTCTTTGAAAATGCAACATTTGGGCGTAAAAACAGGAGTGCCTGTTCTCACTTCTGTCTGTGGGCATAGGCCTGAGGGTGGAGCCTCCCACTTCTATACCCAGCACTTCCCTGCCCACTTCCCATATCACAAACATTAATTACTATTGTTTGGAAAACTGTCTTTGAACTGAAATTTTTGATGTAGTATTTGAAATTCCTTAAGGTGCTTAATAAAAAATTTTAATTGTACCCTTAAAGCCAGTTCTGGTAAAAATACATTGTTATGCAAGTGCTAAAATACTGGATTTTGCTGATCTTTTTAAATGCTATGTGAAAAGCCCAGTAATTTGCCACGAGTTTCAAGAATACTTCATATGCTACTGAGAAACTGAATGAATGTGCTGAATAAAGGGAACAAAATGTAACTCCCTCAGCCATTATTCCTGGATGCTACATGAAGAAATGTTGAAGATGAGTGATCTGGCAATTCTTCAAATAATTCAAGTGCTTCCAAATAGCCCAGAGAATTAATATGCCTTCAGAGAATTGGCAGTGGAAACAGGATCAAGTAGAATAATTTCCAAATGGAATTCTTTTCTCCAGCTTGCTTCATTTAGATGACTTAGATGTAACCTTGGAATATTATTGTAGAAATAATTATATATACATGTATTAAATATATATGTGTATATATATATATATATATATATATATTTAAGATAGGCACATAAAACTAATATGAGAGAGAAGCCAGCAAAATGGCTGACTAGAGATGCCTGGTACTTGTCTCCCCCATAGGACGGGACGAAGACAATATATAAATGCTAATATATGACTGGAGTGTCAAAGGAAGAGAACATTGGGATGCAGTGGAGGGCTGGAGGTGCACTGTGGTGAGTGAAAGTCCAGGAGGGCAGTTTGGAGGCACATGGCCTCTTAAATCCCATTTCTCACAACCTAGATTGGATTGGGCTGGAGACAGGATGGACTTTCTGTTGCAGGGAAAAGGTAAGCAGAAGATCCCCACCAGCCCTTACTGCCATAACAAACACCTATGTTCCATACTACAGGAGAATAAAACACAGTCCTCACAAGCCCTGAGCCCTATTTGGAGTGCTGCTGGGAATTCAGGCAGTTGTACTGCCCCAGATTAGGAGCATAAGGTATGCACTCTCCACCCCCAACACACTCCTTGCGAGCCAAACTGCCACAGTACAGTACTGTCTTAAAACCAGAGCCACCTTGAAACTCCATATCTCTGGAGTGCACCCTTCTCTGAGGGCCAGTAGCTACTGTATCTCTCCAGCACTGAAGCTCCATCTTCATTATGCAAGGCCCACATAGGTGATTGAATGCTACAAACCCAGCTGTGTGGACCCTGGGCCCAGGATTGGCTACACTTCCAGTTGAAGGAATAATCTGCCAGTCCCGCTCAGGATGAACATGCTCTTAAGTCAGCTAAGCTGCTGCACACACACCCCTATGTGGGAGACCCTGAGCTTCCAAGTAGCTGATACACTCTGGGGCCAATGGAATGGCTACATACTTGCTCTCAGAACAGCCCCGTAGCATCCTCAACCCCCACAAGCATGCTCCTGGCCTGCCCAATGACCCTGCATCTCCAATATGGGACTGAGAAACAGTCCCACAGGTTGCCCTTGGTAGGCACACCCCCAGGTCAGCCGAGTAGCTGTGCACTCACATCCTAGGCCTGAAAAACAGCTCCATAAGTTGCTCCTGGAAGCAATGCTCCCACGTTGGCTGAGCAACCATGTGCTTGTGCTCCTGGCTGGAGTAATAGCCCCACAGCCGCAACCCCAGTGAGTCAGAACTCAGTTGGCTGACCCACCATGTGAATACACACACTCTCGACCTGAGAAATAGCCCAGAAAGCCCATCCTTGACAAAGCTGCAACACTGTCACTGCAAACTGTCTTAACCTAGGCCAATGAGAAACTTGCAAATGCCACTTGTATAGATTACAGCTGAAGAAACTACTCAGAGACTACACTAATACATCCACCTAGAACCAAAGCCAACACACCCCACTGAACTAGCCCTCCAAGACCCATTCATACAAATAAATTCTTCCCTACAAAATCTACTACACAAAATGGAAAGAGGGGACTTTCCCACAAGATGTATAGAAATCAGTGTAGGGATGCATCAACCATGAAAAAGCAAGGAAATATGTCACCTCCAATGGAAAACAATAATTCTCCTGTAACAGAAACCAGTCATAAGGAAATACATGAAATGCCACAAAAAGAACGCAAAACGATAATCTTAAGGATACTTAATGAGATATAAGAGAATACGAATAGACAATTCAATGAAATCAGGAAAACAATTCATGATTTGAATGAGAAATTCAACAAAGAGATAGATATCATTAAAAAGAATGAAATGAAAATCCTAGAGCTGAGGAATTCAATGAATGAAATAAAAAATACAATTGAGAGTTTCAACAACAGACTAGACCAAGCAGAAGAAAGAATTTCTAAATTTGAAGATATGTCTCTTGAAATAACATAGGCAGACAAAGCAAAACAAAAAATGAAGAAAGCCTACAAGATTTATGGGACATCATTAAGCAAACAAATATTTGTATGATGGGCATTCTAAAAGGAGAAGAAAAAAGTGAGAAAAACATACTTAATGAAATAATAACAGAAAACCTCTCAAGTCTTGGGAGAAAGATAGACATCAGGCCCAGGAAACCGAAAAAATTCTAAATAGATTCAATCCAAACAGGTTCTCTACAAGGCACATTATAGTCAAATTGTCAAAAGTCAAAGACAAAGAAAGAATTTAAATCAGTAAGAGAAAAGCCATCAAGTCACATATAATGGAATCTCCATTAGACTAACAATGAATTTCTCCACAGAAATCTTACAGGCCAGGAGATAATTGGATGATATATTCAAAGTATTGAAAGAGAAAACTACTAACCAAGTATATTATACCAAGGAAGTCTATAGTTCTGAAATAAAAGATAAACAAAACCTCTTCACAGACAAGTAAAAACTGAGGGAATTTATCATCACTAGACTGGCCTTACAAGAGATGCTTAAGGCAGTCTTACATCTGGAAGTGAAAAGACAATAACCACCATCATAAAAATATGTGAAACTATAAAAACTCACAGGTAGAGCTAATACACAAAGGAGAAAGAGAAAAGAATCAAAACTTATCACTGCAGAAAACCACCCAACCACAAAAATAAACAATAAGAGAAGATGTAAGGAACAAAGGAATGCCAAACAACCAGAAAGCAGTCAATAAAATGACAAAAGTCCTCACTTACCGGTATTAACCTTGAATGTAAATGGATTAAATTCCCCACTTGAAAAATATAGACTGGCTGAATGGATAAAGAAAGACCCAATTATATACTGCCTGCAAGAAACTCACCTCACCTGCAAAGACACACATAGACTGAAAGTGCAAGGATGGGAAAAGTTATTTCATGCGAATGGAAACCAAAAGTGAGCAGAAATAGCTATGCTTATGTCAGACAAAACAAACGTCTTTAAGTTAAAAGCTGTAAAAAGAGGCAAAGAAGGGCACTGTATAATAATAAAGGGGTCAATTCAACAAGAGAATTAGCAATTGTAAATATATATGCACCCAACTGCACAACTCCCAGATATATAAAGCAAATATTACATCTAAAGGGAGCAATAGATCCCAATGCAACAATAGCCGAGGGCTTCAACACTCCACTCTCAGTATTAAAGATATCATCTTGACAGAAAATTAACAAAGAAATATCAGATTTAAAAATCCACCATAGACCAAATGAACCTAACAAACATTTACAGAACATTTTACCCAATGGCTGAAGAATATATAATATATTATTTTCATCAGCACCTGGAATATTCTCCAGGATTGGCCATATGCTAAGAACACAAAAAAAGTCTCAAAAATTTTTACAAATTGAAATATATCAAATATATAATCTGACCACAATGAAATAAAACTAAACGTCCATACCAGGAGGAACATTTAAACTATAAAAATGAATGGAAATTAAGCAACATGCTTCAGAATGACTGGTGAAGAAAGAAATTAAGAATTAAATTTAAACATTCCTCAAAACATGAAAATAAAAGTACAACATAACAAAACCAATGAAACATAGCAAAAGCAATAGTAAGAGCCAAGTTTATAGCAGTATGATGTGATTTGGCTGTATCACCACTCATATCTCATCTCAAATTTTGGCTCCCATAATTCCCACATGTGTGAGGGACCTGGTGGGAGGTAATTGAATCATGGGGGCAGTTTCCCCCATACTGTTCTCATGGTAGTGAATAAGTCTCATGAGATCTGATGGTTTTATAAGGGGAAACCCCTTTCACTTGCTTCTCATTCTCTCTCTTGCCTGCTGCCATTTAAGACCTGTCTTTCACCTTCTGCTGTGATTGTGAGGCCTTCTCAGCCATGTGGAGCTGTGAGTCCATTAAACCTCCTTTTTCTTTATGAATTACCAGTCTCAGGTATGTCTTTATCCACAGCATGAAAACAGACTAATACACAGTAAGTGCTATAAACTTGCCTACATCAGAAATAGAAAGATTTTAAATAAACAACCTAACAGTGCATCTCAAGGAACTAGAAAAGCAAGAACAAACCAAGGCTAAAATTAGTAGAAGGAAAGATATAATAAAGATCAAAGCAGAAATAAACAAAATTGAGACAAAAAACATAAATGATCAATGAAACAATAAGCTTGTGCTTCAAAAAGATAAATAAAATCAACAAACCATTAGCTAAACTAAGAAAAAAACCCAAGGCTGGGTGTGGTGGCTCATGTCTGTAATCCCAGCACTTTGGGAGGCCAAGGCGGGTGGATCACCCAAGGTCAGGAGTTTGAGACCAGCTTGGCCAGCATGGCGAAACCCTGTCTCTACTAAAAATACAAAAAAATTAGCTGGGCATAGTGGTAGGCACCTGTAATCCCAGCTACTTGGGAGGCTGAGGCAGGAGAATTTCTTGAACCTGGGAGGCAGAGGTTGCAGTGAGCTGAGAGTTCCATTGCATTCCAGACTGGGCAACAAGAGTGAAACTGTCTCAATAAAAAAAAGAAAGAAACCCAAATAAATAAAATCAGAAATGCAAAAAGATTTTACAAGGGATATCATAAAAATACAAAGGATTATTAGAAACTACTATGAACAACTATAGGCCAAAAATTTAAAAACCTACAGGAAATGGATAAATTCCTAGATGCATACAACCTACCAAGATTGAACCAAGAAGTAACTAAAAATCCTGAAAAGACCAATAACAAGTAATGAGATTGAATCAGTAGTAAAAAGTCTTCCAATAAAGCAAAGTCCAGGACCAGATGGCTTCACCACTGAATTCTGCTGAACCTTTAAAGAAGAATTTATAATAACTATTCTCAAACTATTTAAAAAAATCGAAGCAGAGGAAATTCTTTCTAACTCATTCTATGAGACCAGCATAACCAACCCTGATACCAAAACCAGATAAGAACACAACACAGAAAGAAAACTACAGGCCAATATCCCTGATGAACACAGACACAAAAAACACTCAACAAAATACCAGCTAATTGAATCAAACAATATATCAAAAACAACACATCCCCATGATCAAGTTGAATTTATCCCAAGAATACAAGGATGGTTCAAAACATGCAAATCAATAAATGTCACATCACATCTGTAGAATGAAGGACAAAAATCATGTGATCATCTCAATAGATGCAGAAAAAGCTTTTGATAAAAAGCTTTTCATAATTAAAAAAACCTCTTAATAAATTAAGTATAGAAGGAAATTACCTCAAGTAATAAAGGCCATACATGACAAACCCACAGCTAACATCTTACTGAACATGCAACAGCTGAAAGTTTTTTCTCTAAGAACTAAAACAAAACAAGAACATCCATTCTCACCACTCGCATTTAATGTAATACAGGAAGGCCTAGCCAAAGTAATTAGGCAGGAGAAAGAAGTAAATGTCATCCAAATTAGAAAGGAGGAAATCAAATTGTCCCTGTCTGCAGACAGCATGATCTTATATGGAAAAACCTAGACTCTACCAAAAAATAAATAAATAAATAAATAAATAAGCCCTCTTAGAACTTGAAAATGGGAAGTTGCCCTGTTTGATCACTCTGAGTGCTTATTAAAAGAAACCAGGCTTCCATCATACATGGGTGCCTTAACAGACACAGTGAAATTATTCCTGTTTTTGGTGTTCAGATAATTCTACAGTATAGCAATGTAGTTAGTTCTAGTGTTTCATAAAATACATTCTTAATCTTTATTTTCCAAAAGATACAGTCCCTTCAGACTCCTCATTTGGGCGAATAACACAACTCAGTCTGTTAAACAGAAGACATCAACCAAAGACATTGTAAAATTCTCGCAATTATAAAAGTATTGAAATAGCCAGGCAGGGTGGCTCACACCTGTAATCCCAGCACTTTGGGTGGCCAAGGCGGGAGGACCACGAGGTCAGGAGATCAAGACCATCCTGGCTAACATGGTGAAACCCCGTCTCTACTAAAAATACAAAAAATTAGCCAGGCATGGTGGCACGCAACTGTAGTCCCAGCTACTCGGGAGGCTGAGGCAGGAGAATCACTTGAACCTGGGAGGTGGAGGTTGCAGTCAGCTGAGATTGTATCACTGCATTGCAGCCTGGGTGATAGAGCAAGACTCCACCTCAAAAAAAAAAAAAAAAGAAGTATTGAAATAACATTTTGTAGTTATTTCTGGGGTAATTTTTCTCAATTCCAAAATTTTATTATTTTCCCTTAAAACGTGTTCTGCTTTGTCCTAATAAAATCTGAATTTGTTCTTTTCAGAATCTGATTAAGCAAATGAAGATCATAATTACCCTATGTGGCAACTTTGTGTGAATTAGAAAAAGGTACTTTCTCAGGTAGAGAGCAATCTGGGCTTACAGCCTTGCTGAGCAGAGGGCACATTTGTACACAGAAAAGAGTATCACCTCCTCTGTGCTGATGCTGACACTAGGGCATGTAACTCGAAGAGGAAAGCTTGGACGAATTCAAACTCCCACTTATCCTGTCCATTATTCTGGTATGTAGTCTGTGAATTGGAAGGTGAAGTGAAACCATGAAAAGAGTCATTTAGGTTGGATTGAATTATGAAAAATGTAGCATAAAATATTTTTCTGTTTTAAAATTAAAATAGTAAAATTAAAAATATAAAAAGTACAATGAAGAAAATAAAATAACAATCTTTCATATTATGACCACCTAGAATTAATCATATCATATTTGTTTTTTCTCAAAAATTATCTTATTACTTTTGTTTTTTTCATTATTTTAATCAACATATAATAATTGTACATATTTATGGGGTACAGTGTGCTCTTTTGATATATGTATACCATGTGTAAGAATCAAATCAAGGTAATTAGTGTATTTTTTATCTGGAGATACAATCTTACTATGTTGCGCAGGCTGGTCTTAAACTCCTGAACTCAAGTAATGCTCCCAGATCAGTCTCCCAAAGTGCTGGGATTATGGATGTCAGCCACTGTGCCTGGTGTAATTAGTACATCTATTACCTCAAACATGTATTGGTTCTTTGTGTTGGGAACATTCAAAACCCTCTCTTCTAGCTGTTTGAAATGTACAATAAAGTACTGTTAACCATAATCACCCTACAGAGCTGTAGAATCTAGAGCCCTCATCTAGCTGTAATTTTATATCTGTTAACTGACCTCTCTCTATTTCTCCTCCTCCCTTGTCTTATTACATTTGTACAAAAGTCATGCTCATTATGAAGAATTAAAATGATGGAAAAAATATGCAAATAAAGAGTCCCACCAAATTCTGCCACACAAAAATTACCACAGTTAACATTGGGGAACATTATTTTAGATATCTTCCTATACACATATTTATGGAAAGATAGAAATAATTTTATCACATAGAATCATATTATAGGTGTGATTTTTAAAATAAAAACTATTCAAAAATAATAAATAACAATAAAAATTTCCATTTTTGGCAGTCTCTATTAACTTCCTGCTTTGGAAGAGAACAACATCAGTACTCTCATTTCTTTCCATCTCCTCCTCTCCACCTACCTCCAAATACTTATTAATGACTTTATGCATCATAGATTTAGCATATTAAAATTCTCCTCTGCAGCTATAATTTATGTCATGGTCCACTATTGGTTAGTTCTGTAGATAGATTCAGAAGTCACCACCAGTCCTTTCACTGCAGCTTCTCCTTTCCTGAGTTTTATTCTGATACACCTTTTAATTGGATGGATTTATTTAAGGAGGCTCATGAGGGCTATATTCCTGAATATCTTTATGACAATTTCATCTGGTAACCATTATTCTTGAACTACATCTTGACATCTTAATTGGGTATAATAGTCTTGGGCCACATTGTCTTTTCTCAGCACGTTGCTTTCTTGTCTTTTGATTGAATGTCTCACTTGGGAAGTCTCTGTCATGTCTTATTTAGCACCTTGTCAATGATTTGTACTGTTACTCTAGATATACAAGAAATATTTTCTGTCATTGAAGTTCAATAACTTGAACAGCATGTATTTTGGTGTTGAGCATTCTGTATCAACTATCCCTCAAAGGGCATATACTTTTTAAAATTATAGATTAAATTATTCATTTTGGGAAAATTCTATATTATAAACATCTTCCCTCTTTCCTTCACTGATTTTTCTACTTTAGGGATGCCAATTATTTTTATTTTGGACCACCCTTGTCTTTCTTCATCTTTCTCTCTTTCTTTTCTTTCTTTCTTTCTCTCTCCCTCTTTCTTCTTTTTGATTTGATCTTCTCTTTCCAAAAGTAGTCACTGTGATTATGTCAAAATTTTTATTTTGGTCAATAATTAGATTTTCAGCAGTCTCTATTGTGTTCTTTTCTGTTTCTAACTTACTTATTAGTTTGATATTGGTGTTGTTTTAAACCTTGATGTGTCTCTTAGGACTCAAACTTCATCTTATTCAGTTATTTTATCATCTTACCATTGATCATTTGTTCATGGATATTATGTTTTTGTTAAGTTATTCTACAATAAAGAGAATTTTCTTCTGTTTATTGAGTTACATTTTATTTTACTCAAACTTTGTGTTTTTATGCCATCTCTCTCCTACTCCTTGTTTCCTTCTCTTTCTCCTCTTTCTCCACCTTGTCTTCTCTTCCTTTTTCTCCCTCTCCTCTGGCTTCCTGTTACCCTCTTCCCTCTTCCTCTTTCTCTTCATCCTCCTCTTTCTTTGTCTTTTCCTTATCCTCCTTCTTCACTTCCTTTTTCTTCTGCTATATGTTTACATGATTTTTCTGCTGTGTCTTCTCATCCTACACATGTTTGGGTGCCTCTCTCCAGACACGTTATTTCTCCTGATAAAATGTGAGTAATATCTCCTTCTATTGTATCTATCACCAGGTTTTTCCTCTGTGAGTGACTTTCCTCTCTGAGTGAGGAGTAGTCACTTTGTATTTTTTCCATATTTTTGTAGCCTGAGGGAATAAAAGTGTATTATGTGGTTGTATAAAAGTGTATGATTGAGAGAGGCTTAGTGAAGTAGTTGCAGTTAATATTAGAATAACTGGGCTCTGCCTTTTCTTCCTATGCCAGAGTTTATTCAATCTAGATAGACGAAAAATACTATCCCATGGAGAGATAGCCTTGGACTTCAGCATGTTTCCTCAATTTAGTATATAGACCTGAAGCCTTATTTTTATTAAATAGTTAGTCCCATTATTCAGTTTCTTAACTTTATATTTTTCTCTCCAACAACAGTTTTTTTAAAAAATTTTTAATGAGAGAATAACAAGATAAGGCTATTTCTGGATTTATTTATTCCTGTATTTGAGGTATAAGTGACAAATCTCAGGATTTTGTGACTTTATCAAAATAATTTTGGAGAATGGTGGTGAAGTGATTATATTCTATTTCTTTTGTTGTTCCTAGTTTTGGAATTTTATTTTTGTTGTTTTATCTTAATAGTTGTTCTTGGAATTTTTATCCCCCCTACCCCCAACCCATTTTGTTAGGCATTGTGAGAGATAAATTCGGTAAAGTTTTGCTTTCCATTTTAAACTCAGAACCATATTGTGTTTTCAATAAGAACAATTTCTTTCTGGTGTAATTCCTTGGTACATTTTCATAACTTTTTAACGGACTCTAAATGTTGGAATGGGCCTTAGGGATAACTTTATTGATATTGTTCTATCCACATGCCCAGCTGACTTCTTCACTTAAACTCTCATAGACCTCTTAGACCCAATGTCTATGAAGAAACTTTTGGCTCCTCCTTGGTCCCATTGATCTGCTCCTTACCTAGTCTTTTTCCATGTCACTAAATGGTACCACCATTTCTCCTGTTGTTCAAGCCAGCAACTTTGATCATATTTGACTTTTCTTTCTGTTACATTCCACATCCAATCTATAAGCAATTCCTAACAGCTCTGCTTTTGAAATATAATCTGATTTTGATAATCTCTCACTCTCTATTTCCTGTTCACCTTGATTACTATAGCATCTTTCTAACTAGTTTTACCATTTCCTCTCATTCTATACACCATCTTCACACAGTGACAACAGTAATCCTTTTAAAATATAAATCAAATTAACTCCCTGCTCAAAATACACCACAAGATTCCCACTAGCCTGGAGCAAAATCACAAGTCCTGTAAGGTCATTATCTGTCCCTGGCTGCCTCTCAATCCTGTACCATTTTTCCTGTTTGCCAAGCTCAAGTCCCATTGTGTTCATTTCTGATGCCTCAACATGCTGTTTGCCTGGGGGCTTTGCACTTGTTACCTCTCCGACTTCTAAACACTTCTCTTGTGTATTTCCATGGCTCATACCTTTACTTTATTAAAGTCACTTCCCAAATACCACCTCTTCAGAGAGGTCTTTTACTGCACTCTCACTGTCTCCTCAACCTGCTTTACTTTTCTTCAGAGGAGTGTCACTACCTGATATTTTAAAAATACATTTATCTATTGGTTATCTGCCTCCTCTTCTAGAGTGTAAGTTCCCCAAGGCAGGGTCTATTTTGTGTGCTTCTGTTTCCCCAGAGCTGAAGACAATGGTTGACCCATTGTTGACATACAGTAATTTTTTAAAGTAAATGAATAAATTACTATATAATTCTGTTTTCATTTGAATCATATTTCTTTTTTTTATGAATGGTGGCAATGAGGCAATTCATTCAATTCTATTATTGATGCTGCTAGTTGTTGTATTTTCCTGAATATGTCAGTAGAAAACGACATGGTCTTTGTATGTCTCTGAAAAATATTGAACACTTCACTTTGAGAAACTGTATTCTCTCCATTATTCCTACTAATGGATTCACTTAGGTAAAAACACTGACCTACAGCTTGAAGACAGTCAAGCAGAGACTAAACTCCCCCTTCCTCAGCCCTTCCTCAGCCCTTTGTTCTGTTCAAGTCTTCCACGGATTGGACGAGGCCCACCACTATAAGACAGGGCAATCTGATTTATTCAATTGACCAACTCACATGTTCATCTTCTCCACAAACATCCCCACAGACACACCCAGAAATGACTTCTAACAAAGCATCTGGACACCCTATGGCCCAGTCAAGTTAATACATAAAACTAAACAG
Organism: Homo sapiens; assembly: GCF_000001405.40. Classification (NCBI taxonomy): domain Eukaryota; kingdom Metazoa; phylum Chordata; class Mammalia; order Primates; family Hominidae; genus Homo; species Homo sapiens. The sequence continues at coordinate 159,260,779 of NC_000007.14, read as the reverse complement.
TATAGCCCCTTTTCACAGTCTTCTGCCCAGAAATATTAGGTTCCTATTGGACTTTTAGCCACCAGCCCCATGACTGGAGACTGCTGCTGTCGGGGAAAAAGAAAAAGAGAAAACCCTCTTTATGTACATCCTCTCCAAGTTGACTCACCTTCAAAATCTTTCCATTTTATTTTTCAGAATCCTCAGGTGGTTATCTTTTTTTCCAGATTTGTCCAGAGTTTTTAGTTGTAACCAGTGAGAAAGATGGGCTGTATTGGGCTTCCGCCACCACAAGGAAATTGGAGCCAAATTACCAAATTACAAAAAAATCTGGTAACTTTTATGCAACCTATCTTTCCTATTGGACTAAAAGGGGATGCTGTTCATTTTCTAGTATATCTCTTATGTGTATGATACCTTATATCCTCAAAAACATATAAATAAATAAGCAAACCAGGAAGATTTGCTAGCATAATATTTAAAAATTGAGAGCTACTGATACTTGGAATTTTCCCAGAATGTCAAACATTTCCCGCCTTCAATTTATATGTTTGTCTTAGTAATTTCTAGGCATACTGAAGTTTTTTATTAAGAATTCTAGCAGTAATTTTTAGATGATGAAGCCTCCACAAACATAAACCAACCGTTCATTGGCAGCTGATGAGTGGACCATTGCATTCCATCATATTGAAATTCAATTGGACATGAATTGGGGGTTTCCCCAAATAGTTGAATCAGAAACATTTGGTGCATTTTGCTATTAAATGGATGACACATTCAATGCAGAATAGATTTCTCAATTTCATATCCAATGTTTAGTAAGAATGAAACAAATCTGCAGATCCAGACAGACTCACGGGATCCAACCCCATGCAAGAATTTGAGTGGGCAATGGACTCCTGTGGAGAATGAGAGAGAAGACTCGCCAGTAACAGAGACCTCTTCAACTTTGGATAAATTCTCTCCAAGGCCCTGGATTTTTTGGAAGCAGTATCACAAATAAAACTGTTTATTTTTTCAAGGGGAAAAATTATAGGTTGAGGGAGGGCAGGCAAAAATGTAGTGGTTTCAACTCTGTGAACGTACTAAGAGCCATTGGATTGTACACTTTAAATTGGTAAATTGTATAATATGTAAATTATATCTCAAAGCTGCTTCTATATATATTATATAAATATATGTATAAACATAGTGATATATATATATATATATATATAAATGTAGTGATTTAATCTGCCTGACCCTAGCAGGAAGGGAGAGGCCGAATCCGGATTGCCACAATGGTGCTCTGTTTTTGTGGCTGTGAAAGCCTACTCCGGAAATAATCAATCTGCCAAAAACATATGCCGAGGATTTGAGGATGCTTCAGAAACCATTTTACAGATAAAATTGTCCTATATTTTTTCCCAAGGTGATTCTTCACAGTGTCATAATAATGCCATGACTCAATTAGTAAAGCTACGAGAGGTGTGAACTGAGAGTAACGTGCTGTCAGCCTAAGTAGCTAATGGTATCACAGCAGTGTCCAACAATTGGGAATGCAGACTAAGAAAGGACAGATCTCTTTCATCAACAACTTTCCATTTTTATTGTATTCATGGAATGAATCTGGCATTATTCAAATTTCTATGGAAATTGATTCCTTTTCTCCTGGGATTTTCTTTATTTTTAAAAATTGAATTCTTGATGTTTTGCACAAATACAAGGGTGTAGGCAGATATCAAAACGTAAATGACTATGTTTTTGTTTTGAGTATGTGAGTACAACATTTATACCTGAATATAGAAATTCAAAATAAATTGCTAGAGACTTGAATCAGACCAAATTCAGAACCAAAATAGGTATAAATGGCACTCACTATTGTATAAACTTTGAATTGAAATCATCAGTTTACCTGGCCATCAGAGAAATGCAAATCAAAACCACAATGAGATACCATATCACACCAATTAGAATGGCGATCATTAAAAAGTCAGGAAACAACAGGTGCTGGAGAGGATGTGGAGAAATAGGAACACTTTTACACTGTTGGTGGGACTGTAAACTAGTTCAACCATTGTGGAAGTCAGTGTGGCGATTCCTCAGGGATCTCGAACTGGAAATACCATTTGACCCAGCCATCCCATTACTGGGTATATACCCAAAGGACTACAAATCATGCTGCTGTAAAGACACACGCACACGTATGTTTATTGCGGCACTATTCACAATAGCAAAGACTTGGAACCAACCCAAATGTCCAACAATGATAGACTGGATTAAGAAAATGTGGCACATATACACCATGGAATACTATGCAGCCATAAAAAATGATGAGTTCATGTCCTTTGTAGGGACATGGATGAAATTGGAAATCATCATTCTCAGTAAACTATCGCAAGGACGAAAAACCAAACACCGCATGTTCTCACTCATAGGTGGGAATTGAACAATGAGAACACATGGACACAGGAAGGGGAACATCACACTCTGGGGACTGTTGTGGGGTGGGGGGAGGGGGGAGGGAATAGCATTAGGAGATATACCTAATGCTAAATGACGAGTTAATGGGTGCAGCACACCAGCATGGCACATGTATACATATGTAACTAACCTGCACATTGTGTACATGTACCCTAAAACTTAAAGTATAATAATAATAAAATAAAATAAAATGAAAAAAGAAAAGAAAAAAAAAGAAATCATCAGTTTGCCATAGTATCACACATAATTGTGTGGTCTTTGAGTTCAAATCTCGGTTCCATTATTAAGTGCGCCATATGATTCTGGGAACTTACCCCACCTCTCTCAGCCTTTGGTTTTCTCATGTATAAACTGAGTTACTAAGATTGTTCAGAGAATAAATAAGAAATTTATATAAAGTACAGTGTAAATACTCAGTAAATTGTTCTTGTAACTGTTTTTTTCAAATTATTGTTACTAGAAACTGGACAAAATAAAAATATACATAACATAATTAATTAGTATAAGTCAGAATAGAAACGCTCTGTCCAGTTCTTCAAAACCAACCTCACCAGGCTGAGAGTTCATTTGATTCAAGTCCCTGAGTTCACAGTGTTACCAAATGGGTTCCATTTGCCCACATGTAATGGAAAGCCAAATACTGAAGCACTGGATTTTTGCAGCAAGAAGGGTTTTTACCAAGCAGCCGAGCGAGGACACAGGAGTTGGGCTCAAGTGTGTCTCCTGAGTCAGGGGTTGGGGCAGGTTTTATGGTCAAGGGGTAGTGAGGCATCATCTGGTTGGGTCTTGCAATGAGGTGGTGCTGGGAAGTGTGGTCTGACTGGATCCTGCCATGGGTTATGCCAGGGTTCGATCTGATTGGATCCTGGATCCCGCCATGTCGTGTCCACTTCTTAATTCAGTCCCCGCTCCTCAGCCCAACCACTGAGGTTATGCCCATGTTGCACACTGGGTTCATCTGGGCACGCTCAAGTTATGTGACCTTCAACTTGGGGGTCTGTGGAAACTAAAAAATAATTCAAAACTTAGTCGCATAAAAGTTGAACCAGATTGGTTTAGTTACAACAGACCCAGCCAGCAACTCCCTTTGAAGACTCCCTGGCTCTCTCCTGTTTCCACTCCAGACCCTCTCAGTTCATTGATCTCTTTTCCCCCCTTTTCACATCTGCCAGTTTTTAACACATTGATCACTTTATCTGCAAACAATTCTGTCTTTCCTCAGGAGTCATATTCGTAAGTCTCAGGGACCTTTTGGAAAGATCCTTTTTGGTTTTCCTATGTGGTGTTTTGGTGGCACAACTCCTTAAAACACAGTATTTGGAGCTTTTCCCCACCTCAGAGAGTGGTTTGAATAAAGAAAACTTGATAGATTTCTAGGAGGACAAATCAAACAGCCTTGAGGCAAGCTGTAGTCTGTAACTATCAATCTTTTCTTTTTCTTTTTGAGACAAGGTCTCGCTCCCTCACTCAGACTGGAGTGCAGTGGCTCAATCACAGCTCAGTGCAGCTTTGAAATCTTAGGCTCAAGCGATCCTCCCACCTCAGGCTCCCAAGTAGCTGGGACTACAGGTGTGCGTCACCACGGAACTAATTTTTTTTTTGCTTTTTTTGTTTTACTTCTTGTGGAGACAGGGTCTCACTATGCAGCCCAGGCTGTTCTCAAACTCCTGAGCTCAAGCGATCCTCCTGCTTTGCTTTCCCAAAGCGTTGGGGTCATAGGCGTTCGCCACCCTACCTGGCCATGAGTCTTATTCATCTGAGATATTTTGCATGGTTTATTCCTCTTATTGATGCTTTTCTTTGTATTACATTTGCATGTAGGAGGGCTAAGTTTAATTCTAAGTTTATTATGCAGAAGATTTGGTAAATATGAAGGTCCCTAAGTAATTTACTTTAGAGAGTTAGTTTTTTAAATTTACAAATTTCAGGCAGCAATCCAATCTCATTTTTTATTTAGTTCATTTTCGTATTTGGAACTCTTTCTCTGTTTGAATCAAGTGAAAACACACATTTCCACAATTTCTGTTTATACCGTTTACATACAATGTTAAGCCACTGGAACAATGCATTTGTGCCGATTATGCCTTAAAACAAAATAAACATAGAAGAGTTTATTAGCTTTTGATCACATGGCAAACTATATTTTGAATAATCACATAATGATTTTAACATTTCCAGAAGCATTCAAAAACCTATGTCAACATCTATTTTTGAGAGTCACAGAAAGCTTGAAAATAGGTGTAATAATCTCTCTCTTGCCTGCAGGCAAGATTATACCCACATTATCCCCAGTAAGTAGTTGTGGCACTATGGAAATTTTTTTAAACTGCTTTTATATGTAATGTAAGTATTTACAACAGAACTCCAAAAGTAAAAAGGAATAAAAGATAATCATGTTATTTTTGAGGGGCTGCTGATGAGTCTTATTTCCCCACCCCCATTGACTGGAAGAATTTTGCTCATTTTGGTTTTATTTTTTCCTTCATACTCTCCTCCTCCTTATGGGTCTGATTATTTTTTTCCAAGAAAACTAATGATTCAGGAAAAGGAGTGACAGTTTGAGGGCAGTTAGACGGCAGTGATGAAGTGGGAGGGCCGTGGTGCCGGCACAGGGAGAGCTTTTGTGGTCCCCACAGTTCCAAAGACCGCTGCTTCCCAGGAGAGCCTATCGTCCCTGCCGTCCACAAGAATCAGGGCTGCTGACCAACAACTGATTAGCAGAAGCTTTTCTAGTTCCTTCAGGTTGCCAGGTTGACTTGGGTGCTTTGAAATGGAAGCCAAGTGTACCTGCCCAGAACCAAATTCTGTACTAGCCTGTCCCAAACCACAGATCTTTGGAGGAAGAGAGGGCTGTGCAGGGGTGGAGTGAAGACAGACAGTTTTCTGAAGGTTTTCCAGCCCAAGTTACTGCAGTGGCAGTACCCCGAGGGTTGTCAGGAGTGAGAGGTGGGAAGCCTGGTTTGCTGAGAATTTCAGTTTAGTCAAGCAAATGAATGAGGTGCATTTGGTGCTTACGCTGCTACAAATTTAGAAACCACTAAGTTCTGACAAGTATCAGAGAATATTCTTGGCTTTCAAATTCTTAACCAGCAGCTCATTTTAATGATAATAAGGTAGGATGAGGAAGGCAAGGCTCTTCCTCCTGAAGCTTAGGCTTTGGTCGAACAATCGTTTACTCCTTTTCCAGTCGGACCCGAGGGGTCCACATGCATAGGATTGCTTCCACCCCACAGGAGCTGCATCATCTGCAGCCTGCAGCATTCTTCGGGCCCTGTCATGGTTTGAAACTGCTGTGCATTCACGCTTACAAACTTGCTCATACCCACCCACAGCCTTGTTGAAATACACCTTCCAGAGGATCTGGAACCTCTGCTCACCTCCCCACATCATGACTAACTACCCTACCCCTGCCCCATCTTCACCTGTTCTTCAATTCAGTCTCATGATGTCCCTGGGGACGCTGAGAACACTTCACTGTCTTGTCTGTCTTCCACGTTCACCTTCCCAAGATCTGCTTTCCTCCATTCTATCCGAGGCTGTTGAACATAGCTGGAGAACTTAATAAACTGGACCCAAAATCTTGCATTATTGATTTGCTTCCACCTCTCAATACCTGCAGACCTTCATCTCATTTTCCTCAATTTTTTCCTTGTACGTATGTCATACACTCCTTCAGGATGAAGAAAATGTCTTATTCACCTTTTTATGCCTCAAAATAACAGATCAATATCTAACAATACATATCTAGTAGATTAAATGTGTTTAAAAGTGTTTAAAGTGTTTATTAAATTGAGTAACAAAGAATAATGAGAAGAATGATTTGATTACTGCTGGGAAAAAGTCTACACATGAGAGTTGTGTGAATTGCAATATCTGGTTGGATATTGTCTTATGCTATAAACTTAGTGTTTCTTAAGCATGAATCTTATCTAAACAAGCTCACTATAAGGTCTGTTAGTTAAGGAATGGCATGTTATATTTCTCTTTAAATTCACATGTTATTTATCCAGTGGGCTAAATAATTCACCAAATTCCAAACTAAAAAGGGACCCTAGAATTATGTCCAATAACTGACTACATCGGGATCACCTGGGGAGGCTTACAAAATCTGGCTTCTTAGGCTGTAATCAGGACTTTCTGAATGAGAATTTCAGAGGCACAGGTATACATGATTTTAGGAATTCCCAAAGTAATTCTGTTTGCAAATAGGTTGGCAGCCATGAGTATAGCCCAGTCTTCCCAAAATACAGATGAAAAAGCTGAGAGAGGGCCAGAGAATTCAAGCAATTCTCTGAAGTGGGGGTATCAGTGTCCTTTCCACATTTGGTATGTGGGCTTTGTTCATGTCAAATTTCTTGTGCAGAACTCATGCCCTCAGTGTCACCTTACAGAGGCAGTGGACTGTCTCCTGGGCCCTTGGGTTGAGTCTGTGCTGACAGTGCCTTACCTCACACTTGGCCCACACTTCCTTCCTTAGGCTCCTCTGAAGCCTGCCCTGCATGCCTGAGAGCACAGACAGAAATGGCAGGGTGTCTATGCTGCATGACACACTTCTCAACTGCTGGGAGTGGGTTGACAGAGACTGCTTCTAATCGTCAGCCTGTTTGCAGATAATTCTTAGAAGTATTTTGTACACTCCCAGAAGGTCGTGGTGACCAACAGTTAATGCCTTCCTGTGTCAGTTTTCCTCTTTTCCGTTTCACTTCCTCTGGTCTTTCATTCCTGCTCTCTGGAATAACTTTCCAGGAAACTGCGTGGACACAAGTCTTTGCCTTGGGTTCTGATTTTGAGGGGAGTCCAGACTGAGATAATTAGGCCCTTAGGATGTGGTCTGAAGCCAGATCTGATGGCAATGAGGCCCACATTGCTAGTAAGTGTCATGCACTGGCATCAGAATGACTGAGACCTTATCTGTGGAGAATTCGAATGGAAGGAGTTGTAACATGTGAACCATTGGGCTGTGTGATAGCCCCGATAGTTGGATGATTTAAGGGCAATGAATCATTAAAATAATTTTAATGATTGTGGACTTAGTTGGCTTTTAAATGCTTTGGAAGCCTTGAAAAAACAGTGGCAGACTTAGGATTAAGCAACCTGGCGAGAACTGATCCTGTGGGTTGCTGGGATGGCCCCCAGGACACAGTGTATCCACAGCAAATGAACAGGGGCAGTGGAACTGCCTGGGCCAGATGTTGAGGGAGGGTCAGGAGGCTCAGAGAGTGGGTTTCTCATGTGATGCCGATACACTCTGCTGGGAGACCCTGGAGAACGTGCCCCCGATAAGGCCATTGAGGAGTTTCCTGAGGAGCGGACACTGGTGTAACTGAGAAGTGTGGGGTGCTGACCCCTGGAAGCTGAGGCTAGCAGTGGGAAATGCAGCCACAGAACGGGGGTCCTGGTATCAGTTGGGACTGCAGGGTTCCGGAATGGCAGCAGCCAGTTGTTACAAACTGCTAGGAGCAGGGTGGGCAACAGCAACACAGCCATAAAGAGCAAGAAGGAAACCTGGGGATGTGTGTGTCTGGAGCCCTGGGGGTCAGGATGATGGCAAGTCACTCATGGTGTGGAGAGACAGGTGGACAGCAGATGCTGACTGAGGATGTTACTTGAATTGCATAACAGACAAAAAAATGAAGTTGCTGAGATGTCTGTGTTGTCCTGTCACAAGGTCACTTGGCATTGCAGAAGGCAGGAAATAAGTATCCTGTCTACCAGCCTGTGGTCCAGGCTAGCAGGGTTGGAACTGAGGAAAGTAGATGGACAGGGTCTGCTCAGAGGCTCTAGAATTTGCTGACAGATTAAACCTAGGGCAGGGTGGAAGCCAAATCAAGGATAATGCCCATGTTTTGACTTAAGCAGTTTGGTGGACAGTGGTGCCAAGAATACCAGGGTAGGGCAGGAAGAGGAGCCAGCTGTGGAGGAGCTGAGAGTTCTCCTTAGAACAGGCAACATCTGAGGTATCTGCTAGACACCCAAGGGGCAAGCCAGATAGGCCATCAGGTACAGGAGTCTAAGACTCAACAGAGACATAGACTTGGCTAAGACTGGCACAGAGGTAATCACCACTGTGTGAAAACACCTGAAGTGACAGTGTGGATAGGGTGGACAGAGAGCCAGTGGCACGCCCCTGGTGCGTGCTATTGTTTAAGTTCTGGTAGAGGAGCAGGGTCTAGCAAAGGAAGCAGAGCAGGCAGAGCCAGGTAGGCTGCAGGAAACCCAAAGGATTCTGGAATTGAGAAGTTGAGAAGAAAGTATTTGAAGTGGGAGAAAATATAAAAGGACAGTGCGACCAACTGTTTTGAACCCTGCTGAGAGTTTGAATAACAGCTAAGGACAGAGAAGTAACTGGTGGCAAAGTGGAGGCCAGTGATGATGTTGACAAGAGCCAGGTCAATAGAGTGGGACACAGTAGCCTTTTGAGAATGAATTGAGGAGAACCTGGTGCTACCACTCACGGTCATGGTGTGGAACAGGAAAAACATGGGGTTTCAAATGTGCAGGTCTTCGTGTTCATTACAAAGAAAGACCAACCATATTTTTAAAATATTTTGCTGTATTTCGTAGCTTAAAATATTGAGAAAAAAATGATCTGATTTCCTAAAGAGACCAGGTGTTACAATGGAAGACCTACTTTCTAGGAAATAAAATTCTCACATGAATCCTGAGGAGTTCTCAGATTGAACTGTGTTTCTCTATTTTGAGAGTGGAAGTTCAGAAAAGTAGTAAAGAGTAAACAAAACAAATAGGACATAGATTTGGAAGAGAGAAAAATGGATGGCAAATCATGAGTGTCCAGGAAGAGATGGAGCTAAGGCCAAGAAGCTGTCCCAAGGCCACCGTGAAGGGGAGAGAAGATGTAGCTGGGTGGAGCCTAACTCATTTGGCAATATGAATGACACACTATCTGAACCTTGTAATACTTCAGTTCACTTTTATTTTTACTATTTAATTTTGAAAAGAAAGTAGAAGTCATGAAATATGCTAGTAATACAGATGTATATTTGTGTAGATAAAATGTGTGTATTATGCATTACACACTGATCCCTTCATCACTGAAATCTAAACACAGCTTATGTGTTGTGCCTTACCATGCCGTTATTCACTGTGCTGCACCTACGTGAATTATCACCATTACAGCTGGGATGGCATGGAAAGATGAAGCACAAATACTCCTTGAAGATTCCATGTTCTAACCATGAGTACATGGAGTGGAAATAAATTAAATGTAGTCAGTGAAGTTCAAGTCTATTCACTTGGAAAAGCTTTATTTGTAGCTCCACCACTACTAACCCTTACAAGAATTTTAAAAGCAGGCAACAGTCATCGCCAATGTTTCTTGTAGCCAATCATGAACCCTTAAATGCCAAAAGATGCCTTGGAGTACTGGGAATTTTGTTAATGATATTTCGACAGGCTAAAATGTTTTATAGCTTCTAGGTAAGGATGCTCCAAGTCTTCTGCAGAATGAAAACAGGTTCTTAGCCACAAATCAGGCTATCTGGTTTCCATCTAACTTACCATAGACTGCCTAGAATGGGAATATTTCATCTGACCTGGCTTTCTCTGCAGCGTTAATGATTATCCCAGGAGAATATTATTTTTTCCAGAGCAGATTCTGTTTCATTTTCAGTCTAGCTGCATTTGGTGTCTTTGAACCATAAACTTCAAACCTATGAGAGGGAATGTTGTGTTGGCTTATTGTATGTGAAGCTGCAATTGAAGTTGAGTTCACAAGAGAGTCCACATGCAGGTTTAATTATTCCACAGCTTTGTTGGAATACTTTTCCCTTGTGTTTGCCAAACACAACTTGCATTGAAAATTAATGTTTACAGTGGTAATATAAAGCTAGAAAATCTGTCATATTTGACTGCTATGTTTTCATTTGTTTAAGTAAAACTCTGTCTTTGATAAATAAAAACATAATTTGAATTACCAAAATCTTGTTTTTATACCAGAAGTGAGGCTCAGCTAACATGTAAATGCTAATTCCCCTTATCAAAGGAAAAGACCTCAATGAGAACACTTGTAAACTGAAGAATTAAAATGTTTTTGTGTGTAGCTCTTCTCTGTTGTGAACATTAGCTGTCTCTGTTTTTCTAAAAAAGTGGATGTAGCAAATGCATTAAGCCACCTACCCTAGGCTTCTCCAGATTTGCCATGTAAACAATCCATAAATATACAAGATAAAGATACCCTCTAGTGTGATCGTGAGCTATGATTTATCTTATAAAGAAAACATATGACGTGAGTAGATATTGAATCTCTTGGGGAAAATGGGGTCTTGCCTCCAGTTCCCACAGACAATGTTGATGTCTTGTGGGAGCGTCGTTTGCGTGGTCACTACTTTCTCTCATGTGCCAGGAGCAAAGAGCAGCCGAGGATTTGGGATCCGGCAGCCAGAGCCTCAGAATCTTGGGGCTGGCTATTCAAATTTTTCCATTTCTGTCTCTGAGAAGTCAACTGAATTATAGGATTATGTGCAACTTTCCAATTTATCTCTGTCTGGCAGCTGGAAAGTCCATGCTTCCTGGAATTTGCTGAACAGAATGATCTGAAGCCACCTAACTTTCTGCTTTACGGCAAGTTCAAAATTGACCTTTGTCTTGGGAAGAAAGAGCAGCATCCAGCTAATTGCAGTGTTGGTTTAAGTATGTGTAATGTAGCATGTAGTAAACGCCACTGCAGAGATGTCAGGATCACACAAAGCCAAAATAAACCCTTTCTTTGAGCCACAAGAACTGAAATTGTCTGAATTCATTCCCTAAAAGATAATATGTGCTTTGAATGGAATTTGACTGAAAATGGCCTGAATACATCCCAGATTTGTATAGAAATTAGAATGGTGTAGAATTTTTTTCTTAAGTGAATAATTTCCCCATCTGCAACCTGGTAATAAGCATGTTACTTGCCTCTTGGGATTATCGTGAGAATCAGATGAGAGGAGACAAGCTGTTCCATGCAACAGGCTATTGAGTCCCAATCTGAAAACAAACACAGGCACATATCTGAACATCGCCATTTGAATAAGTTGAACGTCTTGAAACAAAATGATCAATAAGTGCTTTCACTTGAACAGAACTCATTTAATATGTAACAAATTTCAGTGAAAGTAAGAACTCTTGAGTAGAGTTTCCAGAGATCTGAACTGAACATAGAATGCTTAGATTTTTTCTTAATAATTGTTTATCTATTTTTCTTTTATACATTTTTGAATTATTGATTACTTTTTAAATTTGTTATTTAATTTTAATGACAAACTATAATTGTGTATATTTATGGAGTACAATGGATGTTATGATATATGTACCCAATGTGGAATGACTACATCAAGCTGATTAACATATCTATCACCTCATATACTTATTCTTGTGGTGAGAACATTTGAAATTTACCCTATTAGGAATTTTGAAATATACAATACATTATTATTAACTAGGGTCACCATACTGTGCAGTAGATCTCAAAAACTGATCCCTCTTCTCTAATTGAAACTTGACCCCTTTGACCAACATCTCCTCAACTCCCACCCCAGCCCCAGGTAAACATCACTCTGTTCTCTGCTTCTGAGTTTGACTGTTTTGGACTCCGCATATAAGTGAGATTATGAAATATTTGTCTTTCTGTGACTGGCTTATTTGACTTAGCATATGTCCTGCAGGCTTATCCATATTGTTGCATGTGATGGACTTTCTTTCTTTTTTAAGGCTGGATAGTATTCCATTATGCATATATACCACCTTTTCTCTATCCATTCGTCTGTTGATGGACACAGGCTAATTCTTTATCTTGGCTATTGTGAATAGTGCTGCAATGAACATGACAGTGCAGCCATCTCTTCAAGATATTGATTTCAATCCCTTTGAATATATGGCCAGATATGGGATTGCTGGATCATATGGTATTTCTATTTTTGTTTTTCTAAGGAAACTTTATACAGTTTTTCATAATGGCTATACTAATTTCCACCTATAACATTCAAGGGTTCCCTTTTCTCCACATCCTCACCAAGACTTATCTTTTGTCTTTTTGATAATAGCCATTCTAACAGGTATGATGTACTTCTTATTGTAGTTTTAATTTGCATCTCTCTAATGATTAGCAATTTTTTCATATACCTGTTGGCAATTTTTATATTTCTTATTCTTTGCCTATTTTTTACTTTCTGTATTGGTATAGATTCACAGGAAGTTGCAAAGATAGTACAGAGAGGTCCTGTGTACCATAGTACTATATCAAAACCAAAAGAATGATTCTTGGTGCAATGTTTGTGTATAAACCTCTGTCGGGTTTGCATTCATAATCATAGCTTGAAGATACCACTTCTACTCGGTTGGCCACAGAAGTAGGTAAAAATTTAGCTGCCCCCAAAAATATCTCTTCTATTGGCAGGCATAGTTCTCTGTAATCTCATTTGAATCACTTTGAAATCTACGAGTCAGGTCATGATCAAAACAGGACTTTTACCGGTCCTCTGAAAAATTTTTTGTAGTTTTTATCAAGCTTGTGGAATGATAAGCCAATTCTAGCCAAAAGTTATTGTGCTAATGTTAGAATATTTGAAACTAAAACATAACTTGTAACATTAAAAAACAGAAAATTACTTGAATATTCAACAATAGTTTGGTAAATGATTTTTACAAACATATTGAACTATTATGCGGTCTTTTATAATGACAGTATAGGAAGACTTTATTGACATAGAAAGATGTTCACTGTGTGTCATTACGTGAAAAAGCTTATAAGGCAATATATTCAGTACCTATTGAAAACAATGGAAAGATTATGTACCAACTTGTTAGAACTATTTTATCAGTTTATTTTCATTTTATTATATATTCTTCCTTTTGTAATCAGCTATATTGTTGTATAACTTGCATGCAATAACATCTTCTTATTTTAAGTGTGTAGTTCAGTTACTTTTGAAAAATGTATGCAGTCATATAAACACTAGCATTATCAAGATAGAGAACATTTCCATCACCCTCCAAAATTTCCCCTTTCTTACCACCAGCCACAGGCAACCACCCATCTGCTTTCTGCCACTATATTTTGGGTTTTCTAGAGCTTCACATAAAATGAAATCATACAGTATGCAGTCATTGTGTTGCCTTTTTCTTCTTCATAACACACAGCAGTTTTCAACATCATTCATAGTGTCATGTGTATCAGTAGTCCATTCCTTTTTATTGTTGTGTTATTTGCATTGTGTAAATATACCACGATCTGTTCATTCATTTCCCAACTGAAAGGCAGTTACCTGTTTCCAGGTTTGACTATTATTTAAAAAAGTTGCTATGAACATTTGTGTACAAGGCTTTGCATACACCTAGAGTAGAACTGCTGTGTTAAACAGTAGCTGTACATTTAACTTTATAAGAGCATGCTACACTGATTTTCAAAGTGGCTGTAACATTCTGTATCCCACCAGCAATGAGAGTTTCCATTTCCCCACATCCTCTTCAACACTTGGTTTAACACTTTTTTGTGTAGCCATCCTGGCAGTTATGTAATAGCATCACATTGTTTTTCACCTGCATTTTCCAAACGACTAAGGATGTTGAAATTTTCTCAAGTGCTTTATTCTTTATTGTCAATGTTGTGTCTTCTATTGGTCATGTGTCTGTTCATATTTTTGGCCTATTATTTTAAAATTGGGTTGTACATCTTATTATTGGCTTTTGGGTGTCATTGATATAGTGTGGATACAAGTCCTTTATGAAATACACTTTCCTTCCAACCTGAACTTTGACTTTTTAGGGTTTTTAAACAGGGTTTTCAGAATAGGAGTTTGAATTTTGAAAAATCCCAATTTTATCAATTATTTCTGTTATCCATGTTTTTGATCTCATATCTGGTTCATGTTTGCTTAACCCAAGGTCATAAAGATTTTCTCCTACATTTTCTTCCTGAAATTTTAAAATTTTTTCCTGTAAAATTTTTTACATTTTCTGTTTATGTCTGTGATGCATTGTCAGTTAGTTATCTTTGTGTTTTTTTTGTTTGGTTGGTTGGTTTTTGTTTTTGTTTTTGTTTTTGTTTTTTGAGACAAAGTCCCTCTCTGTCACTCAGGCTGGAGTACAATGGTGTGATCTCGGCTCACTGCAAACTTCGCCTCCCCAGTTCAAGTGATTCTCCTGTCTCAGCCTCCTGAGTAGCTGGGATTACAGGTGTGCACCACTGTGCCCGGCCAATTTTTATACTTTTAGTAGAGACAGGGTTTCACCATGTTGGCCAGTCTGGTCTCGAACTCCTGACATCAATTGATCCAACCGCCTCAGCCTCCCACAATGCTAGGATTACAGGCGTAAGCCACCATGCCTGGCCAGCTAGTTATCTTTGTATATGGTCTGAGGGTGAGGGTCACTGTGCTCTTTCTCCATGTAGATGTCCAGTTTCTTGTCCGATTGTTCCAGTAACATGTACTGAAAAGTCTATCCTTTCTCCATTAAACTACCTTAGCTTCTTTGTCAAAAATAAATTATGTTTGTTTATAGCTGGTCTGTAGTTCCATTGGTCTATATCTCTATCCTTACACTAATGTCCCATGGTTTTTATTAGTGCAGTTTTATTATACCTTTTTAAATAATGTAAGTCTTCCAAATTTGTACTTTATCAAAATTGTTTTGGCTATTCTACATCTTTTGAATTAGCATGCAATTTTATAATCAGCTTATAAATATGTACAATAAACTCTGTTGGAATTCTGATTGAGGTTTTGTTGAATCTTTAGATCAATTTGAGGACAATTGACCTTGTGACAATAAGTCTTCCAATGTATTGACATGGTATCTCTCTTCATTTACTTAGGTCTTTAAATTATCTTGGTAATATCTGCTATTTTGGTATACAGATATTGTAATACTTTGTTCAATCCACCCTTGAGTATTTCATATTTTATGATACTATTGTAAGCTGTATTATTAATGTAATTTTCATTTCCAGCATTTATTGATAGTATGTAGAAATACAATTGTTTTTGCGTTTTGATCTTGTATCCTAAGACATTGCTAAACTCACTTTTAAAGTCCAGTAACTCAAAATAGATTCTTTAAGACATATTATGTAGACAATTCTTTTGTCTGTGAAAAAAAGGGAGTTTAATCAATTTCTTTTCAATCTCCAAGGATGTTATTTCTTTTTTTCACTTATTGCACTGGCTAGGACCCCAATTACAATGTTAAATAGAAGTGGTGAGAGCAGATATCCTTGCCTTGCTCCTGATCTTAGAGGAAGGCAATCAATCTTTTACTATTCAAAGAATGTTAACCGTAGGTATTTTGGAAATTTCCTTCTATTTCTAGTCAGCTATATTTCATTGATGTTGAATTTTGTCAGAAATGTTTTCTGCATATCTTGGATTATTTGCATGTTTTTGTCTTGCAATTTTTAGGCTCTTAATATGATGAATTATATTCATTGATATTTGAAGGCTAAAACAAACTTGCATACCTGGGAAAAACTCCACTCAGTCATGCTGACTTCTCCTTTTTATATACGGCTGTATTCAATTTGCTAAGATTTTGTTGAGGACTTTTTGCCTATGTTCATGAGGGATATTGGCTTTTGTAGTTTTCTTAAAATGTTTTTATCTGCTTTTGGTATTAGGATAATGCTAATCTTATAAAATAGATAGTTAAGCGTTCCTTTCTCTTTTCTTTTCAGGAAAGGTTCGTGTAAAAGTGATTTTTTTTTAAATGTCAGGTCAGCAGGGACTAGAGTTTTCTTTTTTAAATATTTTACTGTGAATTTAATTTTATCTAAGATAATGAGATATCAAAATTTTACATTTCTTCTTAAGTGAGCTTTAGTAATTTGTGTCTTTCAAGAAATTCATCCACTTAAATTATCAAATTTATTAGCTTCCAGAGATTTATAGTTTTTCCTTATTAATCTTTTACATCTATAACATCTGCAGGGATGTCCTCCCTACTGTTTCTGATAGTGATGATTTTTTATGTTTTCTGCTGGGGTTTTTTTAAATCAGTGTGGCTAGAGATTTATCAATTTCATTGATTATTTCAGAGAATCCAGGATTTTCTGTTTTTAATTTTCTCTATTGTTTTATTTCCTTTTCATTGATTACTGCTCTCTTCTTATGTTTTCTTCCTTCTGCTTATGTTTGTCTTATTTTTCTAGTTTCTTACAGCTAGAATTTAGACAATTGATTTGAGAATTTTCTTGTCTATTTGTTTACTTGTTGTTTGTTATTTAAGTTCTATTAGATTTTGCTCCACATCTTCTGACACTTCACTGTTAAGTGCATACACATTTAGTGTGAATATGTCTTCTTAATAAATTGATCCATTTGTCATTATAAAATATCTCCTGATATTTATACCTGATAGTATTATCTTTTCTGAAGCCTACTTTTGATAGTAATATAGTCTATCAGTTTTTTAAAAATTAATGTTTACATGGTACATTTCTTCTATTTTTTATTTAAAAAAAATAGGGACAAATGTTTTCTTTTTACAGTACATTTTAAACTTTGAGTTATAGTAAGTAAAACTATTTTAGTGTACATTTCCATGTGTTCTGACAAATGCACTTTCATGTAGCCCCCACCAGTATCAAGATACAGAACATTTTCATTAACCTCTAAAAGTCCTTCATGCTCAGTCGTCACCACCTCCCCATCCCCATCCCCAGCCCCTGGCAAATAGTGATGTTTTCCATACCTGCCAGTTTGCCTATTGTAGATATTATATAAATGGAATCATAGAGTATTTCACCTTTAGGGCCTTTTTTTTTATTACTTAGAATGAAGCATTTGAGATTCACCCATGTTGTTGTTTATATCAGTATTTCTTTAATTTTATTATAAGTAGAATTCCACTGTATTGGTGCACCACAGTTTATCCATTTATCAGTCGAAGGGTATTTGAGTTGCTTCCCATTTTGGGTGATGATTAATAAAACCTCTGTAAACATTTATGAACAAGTTTTTATGTGAACCTAAGTTAACTTCAGTTGGTTATTTACGTGGTAGAAGAATTGCTGTGTCACATGGTAAGTATATGTTAAACTGCATAAGAAACTACCAAACTTTTTTCCAAAGGGGCTGTAACATTTTGCATTCTGACTAGCAATGTATGAGAGTTCCTGTTACAATTCATCCTTGTCAGTACTTGCCAATACTTGTCAGTATTGGCAGGTGTTTTGTTTGTTTTT
Source organism: Homo sapiens (assembly GCF_000001405.40). Classification (NCBI taxonomy): domain Eukaryota; kingdom Metazoa; phylum Chordata; class Mammalia; order Primates; family Hominidae; genus Homo; species Homo sapiens. The sequence goes on along the minus strand of NC_000007.14, from coordinate 159,243,165 downwards.
TAATTTTGATATTTTAATAGGTGTATATTACTATAATTTTAACTTGTACTTGCCTAATGATTAATATATGTCCTTTTAAGTGAAATGCACATTTAATTTTTTTGTTCATGTAAAAAATTAGGTTGTTTTGCCGGGCGCAGTGGCTCACGCCTGTAGTCCCAGCACTTTGGGAGGCCGAGGAGGGCGGATCACGAGGTCAGGAGATCGAGACCATCCTGGCTAACACAGTGAAACCCCGTCTGTACTAAAAATACAAAAAATTAGCCGGGCTTGGTGGCGGGCGCCTGTAGTCCCAGCTACTCGGGAAGCTGAGGCAGGAGAATAGCGTGAACCCGGCAGGCGGAGCGTGCGGTGAGCCGAGATCGCTCTACTGCACTCTATCTAGCCTGGGGGACAGAGCGAGACTCCGTCTCAAAAAAAAAAAAAAAAAAAAAAAAAATTAGGTTGTTTTTTACTGTTGTGTTTTAAGAATTATTTATATATTCTTAGGACACAAGATTGTTAATAGGTATTTTACAAATAGTTTCTCCCAGCCTGTGCATTATCTTTTAATTTATTTAACTGTGTCTTTTGAAGAGCAGAAGTTTTAGATCTTGATAAAGTCTAGTTTATCAGTTTGTTCTTTTATGACTCATGATTTTTGTGTCCTATCTAAGCAGTCTTTGCCTAACCCAAGTTAAATTTGTTTTTGCTGTTTCCTTCTAGTGGTTTTGTAGTTTTGTAGTTCTAGAGGTTTTGTAGTTTTAGGTTTTACATTTAGAATTATGAATAATTTTGAATTAATGTCCACATATTGCTCAAGGTATAAATAGAAATTTATTTTTCCTTTTTAAAAAACATATGACTAGGCTGGGCGCGGTGGCTCACGCCTGTAATCCCAGCACTTTGGGAGGCTAAGGCGGGTGGATCACGAGGTCAGGAGTTCAAGACCAGCCTGGCCAACATGGTGAAACCCCGTCTCTACAAAAATACAAAAATTAGCCAGGCATGGTGGCACGCGCCTGTAATCCCAGGTACTCAGTGGGCTGAGGCGGAAGAATCTCTTGAACCCGGGAGGCGGAGGTTGCAGTGAGCCGAGATTGTGCCATTGCACTCCAGCCTGGGCGACAGAATGAGACTCCGTCTCAAAAAAATAAATAAGTAAAAATTAAAATTAAAAAAATGACTTTTCAGTTTTTTCCAGGACCATTTGTTGAAAAAAAAATCTTTATTTCATTGAATTGCTTATGTACCTTTAAAAAATATTTTGCCCATTCAGATGTGAATCTATTTCTCAACTGTTTATTCTCATGCATTGAGCTATGTGTCTGTAATTTTGCTGATATCACACTGTCATGATTACTAGAAGTCTTTCAACTTATTCTTTATTCTTATTTTCCAAAATGGTTTTGGTTAGTCTAGTTCTTCTTACTTTCCATATAAAATTAGAATCAGATTATTAAGTTTTACCCAAAAAATCCTGCTGGAATTTTGTTTGTAATTCCATTGACTCTGTAGTTTAGTTTGGAGAAAGTTAACATTTTAACAATATCAAGTTGTCCAAACTTTGAAAATGGTATGTATCTCAATTTATTTAGGTCTTCTTTGATTTCTTTAATCAGTGTTTTGTAGGTTTCAGCACATAAATTTTGCAAGATTTTGTTATATTTATATCTAAGTTTTTATATTTTCTTATTGCTTCATGTTTAAAACTGAAACATGTAATTTCATTTCCAAGTTTTAATTGCTAGTATTATAGAAATACAATTGATTTTGTATATTAACCTTGTACTGTCTGACCTTGCTGAACACACTTACTAGTTTCAGGAGCATTTTTATTCATTCTTCGGAATTGCCTAAAGAGGCAATCATGATCATACTACCTGAGCATAGAGATGGTTACTTTTTTAATCAGCTTTATTTTTCTAGAGTAGTTTTAGGTTCACAGCAAAATTAAGCAGGAGTACAGGGAGTTCAGGTTCCATGAACTCCCTTCCCCCGCACAAGCATAGCCTCTTGCATTATCAGTGTCCACCACCAGAGTGGTGCCTTTGCTACAATCAATGAACCTACACTAACACATCATTGTCACCCAAAGGCCTCAGTTTACATTAGGGTTCACTCTAGTTGTTTATTCTACGGGTCTGGTTAATGTACAATGACACACATCCTCTATTATCGTGTCATACAGAGTCATTTCACTGCCCTAAAAATCTCCTGTGCCCTGCCTGTCCATCCCTCCTTCTCCTCACTCAGTGGCAGCCACTGACCTTGGTACTGTCTTTATAGCTGCCTTTTTCAGAATGCCATCTTGAATGTCATTAGAATCAACGATATGTGGCCTTTTCAGTTTGGCTTCTTTCACTTAGTACTATGCGTTTAAAGTTCCTCCATGTCCTTTCATGGCTTGATAGGTTGTTTCTTTTTAGCACTGAGTAGTATTCCACTGTCTGGATGCACCATCATTTATGTATCCATTCACTTACTGAAGGACATCTTGGTAGCCTCCAAGTTTTGGTAATTATTAATAAAGCTGCTATAAACATCTGTGTGCAGATTTTTGTGTGTTTTCAACTCATTTGGGTAAATTAAAAGGAGCATGATTGCTGGATCATATGGTGAGAGTATGTTTAGTTTTGTAGGAAACCACCAAGCTGTCTTCCACAGTGGCTGTGCCACTTCGCATTCCCATCAGCAATGATGAGAGTTCCTGTTGCTCCATGTCCTTGCTAGCATTTGGTGTTGTCAATGTTCTGGATTTAGGTCATTCTAATAGGTGTGTAGCAATACTTCATGGTTGTTTTAATTTGCTATTCCCTAATGACATATGGTGTTGAGCATCTTTTCCTATATTTATTTGACATCTGTATATCCTCTTTGGTAAGGAATTTGTTCCCAGTGTTTAATCAGTTTGTGAATTATAGAGATAGTTTTATTTCTTCAATTCCAATCTGTGTCAATTTTTGTCCTCCACTCCTCCCCCCGCCACACACACACACTTTTTCATATTGAACTGGCTAGGATTTCTAGTATGATGGTATAATGTTGATTTTGAGTTGGAGAGGTGAGAGTGAATATCCTTTACTTGTTCTTCAACTTAGGATGAGAGCATTTAGTCTTTCAGTGTTAACTATAGCATTGCAGGCATTTGTAGATGCCCCTTGTTTTGTTGAGGAAGTTTCCTTCTAGTCCTACTTTGCTGGGAGATTTTTCTTCTTATTTTAAATTATGAATGGATATTGAATTTTGTCAAATGCTTTATCTGTATCTATAGGAACTCATGTGGTTTTTCTTCTTTAGTCTATTTACATAGAGAATAACTTTGATTGGTTTTTGAATATTGAATCAGTCTTGCATTCCCAGTATAAACCACCCTTGGGTATGATGCATTGTCCATCTTATATGTTGCTGGATTTGATTTGCTAATATTTTTGACAATTTTTATGTCTACATTAAAAAGGAATATTGAAGTATGGTTTTTTTCACTCTGGAATATCTTTGACTACTTGTTATCAATGTAATGCTGGTCTCAAAATGAGTTGGAAAATATTGCAGTCTCTTCCACTTTTGTGGAAGAGTTTTGTAGAATTGTATTATGTCTTCTTTACATGTTTGGTGGAATTCAGTAGTGAAGCCATTTAAGCACAGAATTTTCTTTGTTGGAAAGTTTTTAACTTTGAATTCAATTTCATTAATAGATTTGGGATTTCAGATTACTTCTTTTAAAGTGTCTTTCAAATAATTTCCCCTTTCATCTACATTTTCTAATTTATGGAAATAAAGTTGTAGACTGCATTCCCTTTTTTTTCCCTGTAATGACTGTAGAGGTCTTTGGTAGTGTGGTTGAGGACCCCTCTTCCAATACTGATAATTTGTGTCATTGAGTCATTTTCCTCCTCTTTGTCTCCCTTCTCTCTCCCTTCTCTTTCTCTCTCTCTCCCCTTCTCTCTCTTTCTCTCTCTCTCCCCTTCTCTCTCTTTCTCTCTCTCCCCTTCTCTCTCTTTCTGTCTCTCTCTCTCCCTCTCTCCTCCTTTCTCTCCCCCTCTATCAGTGTGGCTAGAAGTTTTTCACTTTTATTAATCTTTTAATGGATCAGCATTTGCTTTTATTGATTTTTCTCTATTGTTTTCTGTTTATATTTATAATTTCTTTCCTTCTGCTCTTTTAATATAGTCTCCTTTTCTAGTTTGTTATATAGAAATGTTGGTTTATTGATTTAAGACCTTTCTTCTGTTCTAAATAGGCATTTAATGACCTTTGTTTCCCTCTAAGCATTATTTCAGCTGCATCCCATGATTTTGGATATGTTTTCCTTAACATTCAGCTCAAATTTTTCTTCTGCTTCTTATTTGACCCATGGGTCATTTTATGAATCATTTAACTTCCAAACATTTGAGAATTTTCCAGAAATATTTCTGTTTCAGGAAACATACGTTGTATGAGTTCAATTTTTAAAAAGTTGTAACAGTTTGTTTTTGTCTCTCTTGGGAATGTTGTATGTGCTCTTGAGAAGAATATGTACTCTGATATTCTTGGACAGAGTTCTGTAAATGTCAGTGGGGCCAGCTTTGTTGATTGTGTTGTTCAGGTCTTCTGCATCCTGATTTATTTTCTGTTTATTTGTTCTATTGATTACTGAGAAAAAACCTTTAGTCTCCGTCTAGAATTTTTCATGTGACTGTTTTCTCCTTCAAGTCTATCAGTTTTTGTTCGTGTTTATGTATTTTGAAGGTTTGTTGTTAAGTACATACATTTAAAATGTTATATCTTCTTGTTGAATTAACACTCTGATTACTATAATTTCTCCCTTTGTATCTGTTTGAAATCTATTCATATTAGTACAGAAACTGTAGTTTTCTTTTGGTTAGTGTGTGCATGACATATTTTTGCTATCCTTTTACTTATAATATACATATCTATCTCTCTATATTTAAAGTGGGTTTCTTATAAACAGCACGTAGTTGAGCCTTGCTTTTTTGTCTAATCTAAACATCTTTGTCTTTTAATTGGTTTGTTTCGGCCGTTTCCTTTTAATGAAATTATTGATATGGTTGGGTTAAAAATCTGTCATCTGACTCAATGTTTTCTATTTGTTTTGCCCTTTATTTACTCCGTTTTTCATTTCCATTTTGGTCTCAATTTTACTGTTTTGTTTTGTGATTATCCCTATCAGTGCTCTACAAGTTTCTCAGAGCTGTTGTTTATTTCATTATTTTTGAAAAATTCTCATCCATTATCCCTTCAAACACTTCCTATGCCCTGTTCACTCTCTCTTCTTCTAGGACTCAAATCTCAAGTATTTCAGCCTGTTGGTGTTGTGCCACAGTATTCTGTTTCCATTCTTCATAGGCCGTGTCTTTCAGTGTGACTTGACTGACTTTTTTGGGGGGGTGGGGTGCAGAGGCTGTGTGAGGTCTGCTAATGAGCCATCTGATGACACTTCATCTGTGTTACTGTTTTAAATTTCTATCTTTTCTTTCCGATTCTTTACTATATTTTCCATCTCTGTTTAAAATTCACACTTTTCCTAGTGCTTTAAATATACTAACACTATTTTTAGAAATTCTTACCCAATAGTAGAACACCTGGGTCGTATCTGGATCTAATTCTGTGCTTTGTTTCCTGTCATATTTTCTTGCTTTTCTCATCTCGTACTTTTTGTTGAAAACCTGGACCATATGTGTGGGACGCAGAAGCTAAGGCATGTGGTGTTTATGCCTTTGGACAGACGGGCCTCTTGTGAGGCCTCTGTGTGGGGCTTGGATGCATCGGGGTCTTAGTTGAAACGGATTTGTTTTCAGTTTTGTTTCTGTTGTTGTTGCTATGCGGCCCTCAGGCCTGATGGACTTCAGTCTTGCTAGTGCTTCCTTGGGCTTAGTGTGGCAACTGGTTGCCGGAGGGCTTTCCCTCTGAGCCTGACCCTCAGGCCCGGATCTGTGCACTCCCTCCCCTCAGTGGTAGTCGGAGGTTGCTTTTGATCCAGCACTGGGTGGCCTGGTGGCTATAGCTGGGCTGTCCGCTCTGCTCTCCCTCCTCACTTAGCCTCAGGCTCAGGCAGGCCTGAGGCTCTTTCAGTAATCCTGCCCATGGCAAACGAACCCTTGGAGCTGCATGTGAGTCAGGTTCCCGCCTGTCTCCCAGCCTCAGGGGATCTGTAGGGGTCAGGACCCTGCTTGCTTTCCTGTCCTCCACGGTCTCTTTCCCCCCATTTTTCCCCCAGCTGCAATGGCTCTTCCCTGCGCCCTGAGGTCCTTGGGGTTAGCTTCACTTTGCAGTGGTTCTGGAGTCTTACCCCACTCATGAAAATCTCAGCATTCAACCAAATATTCAAGTGTTCTCCACTCTAGGTACCTGAGGTGCTCTCTTCTCTCTCTGTGCAGCTCACTCCTTTCTGGACCACCAATTCTGGCCGCCTCAGCCTCCCACATCTGATTTGTGTTTCCAGAGTTCAGTGAGACACTGGGCTCTGTGAGAGCCGCCGTCTCTGCACTGAGTCTGGAAGGCTGCCTCTGGGTAGGGGGGATCTCAGGTCGCTGCCCTTGCTAGCCTCTCGTAGGTGTTTCAGTTCAGCACACCACTCACTCCATACATTTTGTTCAGTTTTCTAGCTCTTGATGGCAGGAGGGCATTACCACAGCAGTTAATCTTTTAAGAGTGGAGACAGAAGAAACAGATGCATGTTCTCTTTATATATAAAAGTAAATAGTTGAAAAACAAAAATCTGCAAATCTAACCTTAGTCTGCCTTCCTGAAAACACATCCAGATTCCCCAGAGTCCAAGTCGCTAGAGGAGTGTGGGAGCCTCTGCACTGCCAGAAGCTCCTGTTCTAAGCTCTGGTGGCACAGCAGCACCCCCACCCCTCATGCCAGGTGTGACTCATTCATGCCGTCCTAGTTCCTCGGACACTGGGCCACCTTCTCGCTCCTTAGCCTTGCCAATTCCCTCTCACTCCTTGAGTCTCCTCCAAGAAGTCTTCCCTGACTCCTCCTGGGCCTGCAGCTTCTGGGTTGATCAGGGGCCCTCTCCAGTCATCTTGATACTTGTCCTCTGCATGTCCTTTCACTGCTCTTGATATGTTGTGAAACCTGCCTGATTATGTAGCTGCTCTCCTCACTAGGCCTTGTTCTTTGAGTACAGATCTGTGGTTTGTTAATCTTTAGATCCAAAATGCCTAGTATGTATTAGTTAGGGCAATGCCACATAATGTAACAAATACCCCCAAATGCAGGAAGCTTAACACAATGAAACTTTATTTTTAACTCAATTCACAGATAGTTGAGTGTGTTCCTGGTCATCAGAAGAGTGGAGTCTTTTCCATGCCGTTCATCAGTCCAGGAACCCAGACTGACATGGATTCCTCTATCTTCAGCTCCCGGTTTCCAGCGTCACCCAGGAAACCACATGCAGCCTTTAGGATGGAATGTGGAGCCCCCTGCATGGAGGTTTTCATGGCGCAGGCCTGGGAGAAGCACAGACCACTCTGCAGTAGTCCATTCCCAAGAACCGGTGCACATGTTGGAGGCGAGGTGAAAGGCAGCTGAGAAATGTGCAGGGCTCAGTGTCCCGGGGGCAGCCACCTCCGCAGGACAGGTGTGGGAGGGGGAGTGCGTCATTGCCTCCAACTGGGTTCTCTTCTCCACCACATGGCACAGAGTGGGCACTCAGCACATTGCTTAATGAATGAAACCCACTTCATTTCAGTGTCGTGACCCTGAGAGAGTTTCTTAAATATTTTCACATGCTGAAGCAACTGCAATTCTGGGGTCATTTGTGGAATACTATATTTATTGATGTAATTTTTCATTAAAATTATGTTATAATCATAAATATAAACAGTTTTTTAATTTTTAATTTTATTTTTTTCTAAAAAACTGATTAAAGTTTAATACATTAAAACCATGTAACACTTTTATATTGCATTGGCCATTTCTGAACAATACAAAGTAGAGGCAAATAGAGACACTTCATAATAATGTTGATTCCCCATTCCTTTCCTTAAGACCCAGCCCTCCCTCAAATATTCCCTCCCACCCATTACAGAACTCTATCCATAATAAAACACTTAAATACTTCATAAATAGTAAATTATGAAAAAATAGCAATAATTGTTTCTTTCCTTCTTGTAAAAAAGAACATGGCAACAGACAGGCAGCCAGAAACTGGCTGAGGGTGTCTAATATAGACAGTTATTTGGGGTATGGGCTAACCTACTATCAAGGTAGGGAAGGAGAAGGGATAGAACAGGAATTCAACAATCTGCCTGAGATACCAGGCCCCCTTCCTCCCCTAACAAGAGTGGAAGGATCAGATGGGAAACCACAACTCTTGTAGATGGGAGGAGAGGGCACATGCGGCCCCCATTTCCAACCTCCCTGCATGAAGACAGCGGGTAGGACACATGGCACAGCAATGACTTCACTGAGGCAAGAATCTGCTCTCTCCTCATGAGTTTAAGAAAATATCTGTGGCCGGGCGCGGTGGCTCACGCCTGTAACCCCAGCACTTTGGGGGGCCGAGGTGGGCGGATCACGAGGTCAGGAGTTGAGACCAGCCTGGCTAACATAGTGAAACCCCATCTCTACTAAAAACACAAAAAATTAGCTGGCCATGGTGGCAGGCACCTGTAATCCCAGCTACTTGGGAGGCTGAGGCAGGAGAATCGCTTGAACCCAGGAGGTGGAGGTTGCAGTGAGCCAAGATCGCGCCACTGCACTCTAGCCCAGGCGACAGTGTGAGACTGTTTCAAAAAGAAAAGAAAAGAAAATATTTGCTAGCCTCATAGATATGGACTGCCTGTTAAACAGACAGAGGTGTCTCTACCTTAGCTCCACAAGCAGGAGAGCACTGTTGGAAAAGATGGGAAGAGAAAAGAAATCTCCTCTGGAGAATGATCTAAAATTCATTTGATAGGTCTTCATATTTACAAAAACAACCGAATATATTTCAAATTGCAAAACAGTAATAATCATTACACCCTGGCAGTGAGTAGGATTCTGCCTAGGAAGGGCTATGATCTCCCAGCCCACGGCTGCCCCATGTTTTAAAAAAAGGGGTAAAGATTACCCCATGTCCCACTCTCTCCATTCCTCCAGCCTTAACAAATTCATCAAGAAAGGAGGAGTTTAAAGAGGAGCTGTCCTGGCAGAGCAATCACCACACTTCTCTTCACAAACACCATGGTTCTTCTGAGGGAATCTTATGACTAGGCATCTCGTCAACACTTTTGGGGTTTTGATCTGAAACTGGCTTGAAATTGCGTGCTGTGCGCATTTTTCCTTTATTCAGAATAAAAAGAAGAAAGTTGGGAGGTGGTTAAACACCCTTATCCCCTCAAAACCTTTACAGAGATTACAGGGATCTTCTTCCAGGGATCAGAGAGAAAGAACTGAGGTGGGTATAATGTGCCAGCTAGTCTGTCCTGAGGAAATTATGAGTCCAGCTCCTGGTGAAAGATGAGGGGAAAGAAAACTGCCAAGTCCAGCCATCCCATTCCCAGCATGAAGAATGGGGGTCTGAAAAAGCTCAATTGTGAAAGCCAAGGTTAGCCCATTGAAAATCCATCCACCCAATTCTGGAGTGGAGGGGTTGCTGCAGTCCTCAACTGTCTGAGGCACTAATGCCCATTCATGAGGAAGGGGAAAGAGACTAGGTTCTTCTTCAGGAAGAAGATGGAGAGCTCCCCTCGCTTCCATTACATTCCTTTTTAATGGGCAAGTAGAAGAAAACTCAGCATTGCTGGGGCAAGGGCTGACATCTTGGGATCACAGAGATGGCAGAATCTTGTTTCAGGTCTTCTGAGGCTTTGTGCTCAATGGGTGAACTCTTACTCTGCAATGTCAAGCTTTTCCAAGGTTGTACTTGTGGTTAGCATTTGCAAGGTCTCTCCAACTACAGGTGAGAAACTGGGGTCAGGAATAGGTAAACCCTCACTGATTTCCTCCAAAGGTGGAGTCTGAGGTAAAACATCAGGACAACCAAGGTGAACACCTGGCTCCACTTCCGCCTTTGTTGTGGTTTGTGCCTTGTGTTCCCCTGAGACCGATGGCTGGTAACACAGGAGTTGTCACTGGAGCCTGCTCGCCCAGAGAAAGATGAGCCAGACCGAAACTTTTTGGAAGGAGAAGGCTTCAAGGGGATCTTCTTCTTTTTTTGAGACAGGGTCTCACTCTTTTGCCCAGGCTGGAGTGCAGTGGTGCAATCTTGGCTCACTGCAACCTCTGCCTCCTAGGCTCAAGTGATTCTCCTGCCTTGGCCTACCAAGTAGCTGAGGTTACAGGCATGTGCCACTACCGCCCGGCTAATTTCTGTGATTTTAGTAGAGATGGGGTTTCACCATGTTGGCCAAGCTGGTCTTGAACTCCTGACCTCAGGTGATCCATCCGCCTTGGCCTCCCAAAGTCCTGGGATTACAGGTGCGAGCCACGGCACCTGGCCGGGATCTTCTTAAATGCTGTGTTGCACATGAAGCACTGGAACCGTTCAGTGTAGAAGCCTGGGCGATGCACTGAGACAGTGTCCCCATCACATACCAGGGCTTTCCAAGAATGCTCCAGCTTCTTAACAAACCTGTAAGACTGTAGAATGTCAGTGATGCCAATACAAAGCAGGATTCTTTCCCCCTCACTATTCTGGGCAGGGATGCCACCCATATGGTCATCAGTCTCCATGGGGCTGCCCCGTCAAGCCTCTCCCTGGGTGGATTCCATGGCTGTGGAATACAGAGCCCTTTGGGGGGCTGGTCTTCAAGTGTGAACTGAGCATTGTGTTTGGCTGCTCAAGGGCTCTCGTGCATGATCTATGTTGTGGATTGACATCAAGAGGCTATAGTCCATTATCTCAAAGATCTGCAGCACCAAACAGCCACGCTGCAGGGTCTTACAGAGAGCGTTGTACATGTTAGCATCCAAAAAAAAGACCATCGGGATGTCTTGTAAGAAGTCTAGGTTTTTAAATGTGGGAAAATGTGGGAAGAGGCTTCTCTTGCTCTTTCTGGGAAGCCTGCTCTTTGTAGGTTGAACTTTTGAAGTCATATTTGGTATGCATTTTGACCAGTCTTAGTAAGAGATTCTTCATCACCGCAATCTGCGTGTTCTTGCCACCTGCCTTCACACAGCACAGTCCATAGAATTTAGGCAGCAAAGTCCAAGAGTTCTGGTTGAGGTCGATGTGGTATCCTGGAATCAGCTTCTGCAGAAACTCCGCCTGTTTATGTTGGACTGTTTTAATAATGAATTCATCGTGGATGGACACATGTAACAGGGAACCATCAGCTCCAGAGCTACTGAGTTCAATCAGTGGCTCACTGCAGAGGGAGTACAAGTCATCATCAGGGCAGATACCAAATAGCTCCTGAAAGTAGCAGAAGGCAACAGGTGTATAGGTCTTGAAAGGAAACTCACTGCAGTGATGAGCAGGGGTCCCACTGGGAAAGAAGATATTCTCCACCACGCAGAAATCTTACATGAGGACATGACGCTCTGGTGTGGGATCCAGGCTCCCCACAGTGTGAGTAATGCACAACTGGATGGCACATTTCAAGGCTGATGAGGTCGTCTTTCTATAGGTTGTCTCTCCTGAGGAATCAACACCTCGATGGCCTATTTTCTTGATGGGTATGCCCGAGGCACAAGGCACCTCAGACGCCATAGGTCTCTGGATTCCAGATGCTGAGGACGAGGTACAGGAAGCGACCCCTGGATCAAAGGATGAAAAACTGACCGCCGAGGAGGCCCTGAGGAGACCGACGGCCATCTTGGCAGCCCCTCCCCTCAGCGGCCTGGCCTCTTTGAATCCGGCTTTTCCTCTGCTCGAATGGAATCTTCCTTCCCCAAGTCCCTTCACAGAACCCGCGTCTGGGCCACCTCCCCGCCGCCCCGCGGGCCCCCTCAGACGCGTGGAGCCGGCTCTAGACCAGCTCAGGGCCGCCCCATTCGCCTGGCCTGGGGAGAACTCCCGCCTCGCAGGCCCTTGGCGAGTTTACCCGCTCTCCGCAGGAGGCACTTTACTCTTTCACAGAAGACTAAGCCCCAGCTGGCTGCCGGGATCCGCGTCCGACCAAGTCACACCTGGAGAAAAAACGTGGCATGAGAAGCCCCAGCGGAGTGAACGCCCCCGCTCCGTCCTCCGGCCACGGCCTCTTTATGGCCCAACCCGGCCGCTCCACTCGGGTGGCCCAGAAAAATCCGACCACTGCGGTAACAGGTTTTATTATGAAATTACAATCATGAGCCTAGATATCCACTAAAAAGCAGTCAAATCGAACATAATCAATTTAATTAATTTAAATTAATGTTTATTCACTCATTCGCTGTCCATCTGGTCACACTTGCTCACACACTGGTAATAGCAAGCGCCAAAGGCTTAAGAAAAAATAGTGAGAGAAAAATAAAATTGAGATGCAATATGCAAATCACTTGCTCACTATGTGTTCCAAGGGAAGGACAATCACTGCTCGTCCTGGGCAGAGAGCCGATGTTCCCTAGGACCACAGCTGAAAAATCACTGGTTTTGTGGAAAGTTGGGTCCTAGGAATTGGGATACGGGACTGGACATTTTTAAACGGGAGAAAAATAGAAAGTACCCAGCACAGCCAGTGACATTTGAGGAGCACAGGCATGAGCGAGGTGCCTCAGGACAAGACCATGAGCGGAGGGCGCACCTGGAGACTCAGTGCTGGCCTAAGGTCCTGGCCAAGTGCACAGATCCTCACCTCTATCTCTGCCTGAGCCTCTGTCCTGAGCCTCGGTCTTCAGTCAGTAACTGCCTGCTGGCCGTTTCCACCTGCATGTCTGGTCGTGATTCAAACACCAAAATTCATCCCGAAGCAGCGCACCCTCCGAATACCCCATTTCAGGAAACAGTGCTGGGACCTTCCGTCCTGCTGGTTAGGCAATCATGAGCTTGGGCTGTTCCCATCCCTTCCCCCCTTGCCCAGGGTCAGACACCTCACCCTGACAACTCTTGTTAGTTAACAACTCTCTAGTCAGTCTCTTTCATTCCCATTCTTTCAGTCATCAATGTAGTCTTTGTCCTCTGATCCTGCCACTCAACGTGTGTGACAGCATCTGCTGCTTGAGTTTTCCCTCTGATCAAGTCTATATGCTCCCATCATATTCTCAGAATGCACAGTAACAAATTGAAGATGCTGAGATACCTGCTTCACTGCATATAACTCATTGTTTCCCAAATTTTAAATCTATGAGTCCGCCCTTCTTTTTTGGTGGACACTTATTACTAACTCAATGAACAAGTGTTTTACAGAACACCCTTTGGGGAATGTGTTCATAGCACAAAGTCCACACGCTTTTGTTTGACACTGAAGGCTTTCTGCAAACCTCCTGTATCTCCTGCTCCAGTGTTGTCTCTCATTATTCCCTTTTACTTATATTCCTTGAATGTGCTATGCACAGCCTCCATGTGTGTTTCTGTGTCCTCCATGACCGAGGAATATCGTCTCTGTGTTTCTGGGGTTACTTAATGCTCCGTCTTACCTCAAAGGCCTGGCCCTCTTCACTTCTTCCTTAACAAGACCCCTGACAGCTCAATCACCCAGGAAACGTATTTCTGCGGATTCATGTGTCACTCGATTTCTGGGCCACTCATGGCACTTTGGGGAACTCCTATTGGTAGAGATCATTTTGTCTCCATCAGGGGCTGGTAGCTCTCCCTCACCAACTCAGCCTGACCTCTGCTCTTGCTGGGGACGCAGACATCTCAAACATTCTATCGTATCTTCCATCGGTCCCACTGTGCAATCTGCTCCTTCTCTATGGAGGCCTTTGGCAGGCCCACCATATTCTAGCTCAGCTCCTATCTGTACCCTGCCCAGGATATGGAATATTTCTGGTTTCTTTCATAGCATGCCACACAGGAGCTGTGGGAAACTTAAGACTAATGACTTTCTCTCTTTGCCCAATCACTATCTTTATTCTGTTAGAATAACACACATTGGCTGTGAAATGAAGGATATTCCCAGAATTCTTTTTTTTTTCTTTCTTTTCTTTAAAGACAAAGTCTCACTCTGTTGCCCAGGATGGAGTGTGATGGTATAATCATAGCTTACTGCAGCCTCAAATTCCTGGCTCAAGTGATCCTCCTGCCTCAGCCTCCTGAGTAGCTAGGACTACAGGCGTGCGCTTTTTTTTTTTTTTTTTTTTTGGTAGAGACAGGGTCTTGCTATGTTGCCCAGGTGGGTCTCTAACTCCTGGGCTCGAGCGATCCTCCCACCTCAGCCTCCCAAAGCACTGGAATTACAGGCCTGAGCCACTGCACCTGGCCTATTCCCAGAATTCTAAATGGGGATGGGGCACACATCCCTATGCATCTAGCATCATCCTTAGCCTGTCCAACAGCCTTCCTGGGCTCTGTCATTTCAGTGTGCGCTGTAAACAGCAGCGGAAGCCAAGACACATTGCTCCGATGTCTCGCTTCTCCTCCCTCCCAGTCTCCAGGCCAAAGGGCTCTCTTTTCTTCCCCTGCCTGCAGGAGGCACTTTCTCTGCCTTTTCTCTTCAACGTGGATTTGCCCCCCTCTCCTCCATGATTTCAAGAAGACAGAAGGACAACTGGAGGGCATGCTCTTCACGGAGGCAAAGAATTTTTTTAAAGCTATTAGCTTAATATTTTCAAAATATTAATGTGTAACACATATGGCTGTGTTTTATAAATATAAAGTTTGCAAAAATAGAAGCGCTATAAATATTATTAGTAATCACTTGAAGAAATTGAAAGTGAGGAGAAAAATGTTAAAGACAGCCTTGCCTTTTGCCCAAGTCAGCCACTTCTGTGCTCTGGGCCCAGCGAGGACAGCAGAAGATCCGAGTCCATCCTCCAATCACTGCAAAGATCCTACAAGGGTGGTGGCTGATGAGCAGGGTTGGCAATCCAGGGGACCCTGCGAGTTCACTGTCCACTGCGGAGAGGATGCTTCTCTCCATCGTAATTGTTGTTTATGAACTTCCCGCCCCGGTCTAGGATCTGCTAGGGATCGGCTGCATGCTTCAGTTCTGAGAGGTCCACACTGCAGAGTCAGAATGAGCCTCTCCGTCCCTTGTTTATCACAAAAACCAAGTGTTTCTCCCTGATATGGGATCCTCCTCCTAGCCTGACCCATCCTCAGCACCCCAACTCACTACAGAAGCCAGAAATTCTAATGCCCTAGCAAAACAGAGATTTAGGCCAAAATATGCTCTAAAGTCAAGGCTCAAGTTTCTGAAGAAGTAGATTTATTTTACTAAAATTAGCATCTTTCCAAATTAGATCATAATCTGTAAAGCATTAACTGTCACAGCTTGAGCCTGAATTTGGGTTGCTTGGTGAGAGGTAGTCAGCCCTTCTCAAAAACCGACTGAAGTTTTGTAGGGGTGTGGGGCTTTGGGTGGGCAGATCCTGATGTCAGCCTTCCTCTCATAATGGACTCCTACAAAAGAAGACTCAGAAAGGTCTCAAGCACAGTCTTAATCAGCGCCCAAGTGCAGCAGCCACCTGATAGATTAGTCATCCTTTAATTAATGACCTCAACGTGCACTGTGTTTGAGTGGGTGCCAGGCGGTGCCCTAGGAATGCCAAGCTGAGTGAGACAGGGCCTCTTCTCCGGAATGCTCACATCTGATCCTAAACAGAGACATGCAATTCCAACAGTTAAGTGCTCTTATAGAGGGAAGCACAGGGCAATTTCCTGGACTCTGCTCCCACAGCTTTTATGTAACACTGAAGACCGAAAACCATGTTGAATTCCACCTCCACAGAAACAAACCATCTCATTGACTTTATCCATCTCAATCCAATACAAATCCAGGAGTACATGAAGTTCAGCTAACATGGAGCACTTTCTTTATTTGGTGTTTTATCTGAGTTGACATTCTTCTATTTTTGGAACACTTGGACACATTTTAGAAATTTTTGTTAGTCAAACAAATTATATTCAGGGATTGAATTCCAAGGCTGGTGACCCACCCAATGCTGAGTCGACCTGAGGAATCATTAGAAGTGCCCCTTTCTCCAGGGAGCCCATGAAAACTTCCTCAGGGTCACAGATTCTCTTACCAGGGCCTCTAGCACAATTCTGAAAACTCAGCAGCCACCCTTGCCGTTCAACAGCTTGCGTTAGGTCAGAAATGGGCAGGTTGGGAAGCGACTTGCAGGCATGTCTCTGTCACAGTCCAGGATGAGGGATGGAGGGTCCATTGCAAACCCTGGGCCTGCAGTGCCCTTAGGTGGAGATTCTAGGCCTTCTTGGAGGGTGACCAGCATAGCCGCATTAACATGACATCTCGAAGCTGGAGGAGAGAAGGAGAAGGCTACTCCAACCACAATGAGCCCGGGCCTCTTACAGTGCTGGCCCAGCATCAGATGGATTCGTCAGGGTGTCTTCCTCCGGGTTACCCACGGCTGATCAGGAGCAGGGAGCTCTGTGTTAACCTCTGTCCTCTCAAAACACCTAAGGAATTGACCTCCTTTCCTGTCTGCTCCCACAGTGACTAAACCAATTATAAAGAAATTAAGAGGGAGCCTGGGGGCCTCAAAGAAAGTGGCAAACTGCCCCTCACTCTGGGCCAGGCCTGCTCCGAATCTCCTGCAGGCATTTATGTGTCTTCAAAGCCCTCTAATAGTCAATCCATCATATGCTTAACATAAACTCTTATTCTGTACTGTGTATAGTACACAGATATAAAATCCTAAATCATATTAAACCACAAATCATTAGCAGATGGCTGTGCAGCTGTCACACACACACATTGAGTGGGAGCATCCTCACAGCTGGCAGACACTTCCAGGATGGGTGCCACCTCCCTCCTGGCTTCTACCCTTCCCAGGGCACCCGTTTCTCAAGTCACGGCCCAGCCCTTGCCTGGCTGTCCTCAGAACGTCCTGCCCTGTTGCCCTAAGGCAGGCAGAAATCCCATCTTCTCCTTCTGAAGCTGGAGGAAAGAAAGCACGTGCAAATTCTAGAACACTCCAAGTCCTAACTCTTTACAAGTCTTGCATAAATTTTTATACCTGACTCATTCTTGTAATCCCATGACTTACCAGGAATTGGAAATGAACTACAGCTAAGTGTGAGGGGTTAGGAACAGGAATCGGAGGCTCCTGTAGAGATGAAATGAGGGGACAGGGGTGCCATGGGCAGGTGATGGGAGAAAGCTCAGCCAGGAAGAGGTAAGAGGTAACTGAAATCAGGCATTCCAGCAGGGGAGCAGAGACTTGGAGACACGAGGCCTTGGGAGTTCTCCGTACAGGTAGCAGAGGTCAACCATTGACTTGGGGAGGACCAGACTTCCTGACAGGGGCCCAGCTAACTGGATAGAGGTGAAGATTCAGTTCAGGAGCAAAGCTGCCAGCACCAGTGTGGTCTGAGCTGGTAAAGATTACCTGGCTCACCTCTGAGTCAACTAAGGTAGACTCTTGAGTTCTTCAAGTTCTCCAACTCTCAGCCTCCTTCCCAGGTCTCAGAGCAGAGCACAGACTGAAGGTGAACTCAAAGACTCAAGTTGTATGCAAAACATGGCCTTCAGATCAGGAAATGGGGCTGGTCATGACAGTTTTACGATGTTTTGCTTGCTGCAAGAATTCACAGTGTGTCGTTATTAGTGTCAGACATCAAAATGGAGCCTCCCTTGCCTTCTCTGTGTATTGCAATAAAGACCATTCTCATTTCTCTAAATTTGCTCTTGATAACCATTAGTGAAGGCTATATGGCACTTGACATCATAGCAGACACTCTTAGGTTGGTAAATTATGTTTGAAGAGAACATTTCTCTCATCCTGGCCAAGCCTGTGGGAAAAATTTTGTTCATCGTGTGCCCAGAACTAATTCTTGATGCCAGGACCAAAAATATTAATGATCAGTGCTTCCTTCTCAAAGACCTGCATCCTTTATAATATTTTACAATGTGTTATTTTGGCAGGAACGATTACTATTCCAATGTGGAGTAGTGGCTCTCAAGCTGGAGAGAGGATCAGACCCCCTGGAAGGCCAGTTAAAATGCAGGCGGCTGAGAAAGTATCCCAAGTTTCTGATTCAGTAGGTCAGGGTGGAGAACTTGGGCAAGGTCCCAAGGGATGCTGATGCTACTGGGCTGGGAACCACTCTTTGAAAACCTCTGCTGTGTAGAGAGTAGGTGGGAAAACTGAGAAAGGTGGACAAGCCACACCGAGGACGCAGCTGCAGACAGAGGCCAGCCTGAGCTGCTTTCTGGAGAAAACCCCCACAGCTCAGCAACCTGGACCGGTTGGAAGAGGTGAGTGGACTCTTTTATTTTATTTTATTTCTCCACTCATTGTCCACTCATGCCTTGAAGTTGGAAAGAGGTAAATTCAGGGGACATAAAGACCTGAGGACTGTTAACCTATCAAATAAATTACATCAAGAGAAACCACATGTTAACTGTATACACAGACTCAGAAAATTAGAATACACATATGAATGACAGATTCCCAGCAGAATAGTACGGGAATCTAGAATGTTTCATCAACAAATCTAGCCTTCAAAACTATTATAAGAAGAGTATCTGACTGTCCATAGTGTGTCTTTGGGGAAACTGATGTAGACAAGATGCTGGGCTAGATGCACCATTGGTCTGACCGAATGTGACCATCATGCTCTTAAATTTGTATCAGTCATTGTCTGGGAGAACGAAAATATACTAGCATCCTGCATGCTTTGATGAAAAGAACATAATCACTTTTCTGTATCTTGGACTAGACCAAGCAGGAACTTTACTTGTCTTAATCCCTTAAAATTTTGTTTGTTTTTGTTTGTTCATTTGTTTGTTTTAGATCTAGGGCCTCACTATGTTGCCCAGGCTGGTCTTGAACTCCTAGGTTCGAGTAATCCTCCCACTTCAGCCTTCCACGTAGCTGAGACCATAGGCATGAGCCACAGCACCCGGCTTGTCTTAGTCCCTATTTTGTCCAAATACCTGCCACATAGAATGCACTTAATATATGCTTTTAATATATACTTTGGTCTACAGTTTTCTTATGATGTCTTTTTCTGGTTTTAGTATTGGGATAATACTGCCTCATAGAAAGAGTTAGAAAGTTTTCCTTCCTCTTCTGTTTTCTGGAAGACTGTGTAAAGGATTAATATTAATTCCTCTTTGAATGTTTGGAAGAATTTATCAGCAAAGCCATCTGGGCTTGTACTTTTCTTTGTGGGAAATGCTTTGATTACTAACTCAATTTCTGATTATAGGTTAATGCAGATTTTTCTATTTCTTCTTAAGTCACTTTTGGTAGTTTGTGTTTTTTTTCCAAAAAGTACTTTTCCATTTCATCTAAGTTATCAAATTTGTTGGCATACAATTGATTTTAGTCTTACTTTATAATCCTTTTTTATTTCTGTAAAGTTAGTAGTAATGTATCCTATTTCATTCTTGATTTTAATAATTTGAGTCTTCTTTCTTTTTCTCCTCTTCAGTCTTACTAAAAATGTGTCAATTTTCTTGATCATTTCAAAGAACCAACTGTTGGTTTCATTTATCTTCTCTATTGCTATTCTATTCTCTATTTATTTTTGCTCTTATATTAATTATTCTGTTTTCTGCACTTCTTTTTTATAATTTCTTAATGTCAAATGTGGGCTTATTCACTTGACCTTTCTTCATTTTTAACATAGATGTTTAACAGTTATAAATTTCCATCTAAGCACTGCATTAGCTACATTCCATAAGTTCTGGTGTGTTATGCTTTATTTTATTTTATACTGTCTTTGATAGATGTTTTGAGGTCATAAAACTGTTGCTTCTGTAGTATTTTTAAAGAAGCAAAAATACCGATTTGTCTGTAAGCTAAAGCTCTAAGGTCTGGCTGTGGGGCTTCTGCAATGCATTGCACACATTGTACTGAGAGTTCGTGTCTTTGGTTTGAGCCTTTAGATTCTGGGGTCTGGACAAATGGCCATAGTGAGGACTGGGAACCTAAGTGTGGCCATGATGCCTGGCCCCATCCTCCCTGCCCTAACTGTGCCTACTGGCCATGCTGGAGGGGTCAGACCCTCCAGGAATTCACAGCCCTGTCTCTTTCCCAGGATCTGCGTCTGGTACATAACAATTAAAATTAGCAACATCCTAAAAATAAGGGTTACCAACATTAACATTATAATTAATGTATGTAATTAAAACTACTATATAAAAGAGAAATCCTTTTGTATGCAAAGTGTACAAGGAAAATTGGGTGTGTTTTTGGTAAGGAAGATTCAAAGAAAGGCATGAGAATGTGGTGTTTATTGAGAAAAAATAATTTTATCTAGTTTAGAAGTTATGTAAATGTTTCAAATTGAAGGGGAAATGATATAGATAAAACTAAATAAATATAGAAAGTTTGGGAAAAAACTTTTAAGAGGTTATAAAAGGTTTATGAAAATCTTATGTATTCAAAAACTGACAGGGGTTGGGTTGATTTGTTTATAAGGTTTTATTAAAATTAGTTTTAGTATTAATAATACACTGATGCAATGGTAAAATCTGGTTTTCTCTTTTGAACGAGATTTTCATGTAGGAAAAGATTTTTACTCACCTTTTGAGTAAACTTTAAAGAGGGGGGGAAGGAGAGATTGACTTTATTAGGTCTTTTGATTGTTTGGAAAACTGAATCTCCTCTCTCTCAAAGAGTAAAAGTTTTGGCTTTTTAAATTTTTTGAATTATCACTTTGACTAAATGAATGACTATTATTTTACAGCGACTTATGATCTCACTTTGGTCAAGTATTGTAAGTCTTCCTTATTTTAATATCAGATGTTTTAAACCTTTGATATTTGACAAACTTCAAAATCAAATTTCTAAATTCAGTCTTTTTGACTTCAAACTTACATTTTGAACATTAGAGCCCTGGAAATCCAAGAGAGACATATTAGACTTACTTTATATGTTAAAATTATACAGAAAATATTGTCAAATAAGTGGTGTTTAACTTTCTTTGAGTTGTATTTGTATAAATGTGTTGTTAATGCATTCCAGAATTGTATGAGATTCCTAAATTTCTGATGTCTTAGTATATGTTATCAATTATAATTATGGTTGTTATGTTAAATTATTGTAGGCCACAGAAATAACCAAAGTTTATTGTCAATTATGCCTTTAACCATGACCATAATAAGTCTTGTCCACAGTTACTCAATTCTCATGTATTTTTCTGAAAACTTTTTAAGCAATTATAACCCTAAAGTGTTGAGTCTTCAAGGAAGTTCACAAAAAAGATGGAAAAGATAAGCACTCTTGAACACCAGTTTCTGGTAACTTTAAAGTAATGTTATTTGGACTGGGTAAGAATTCCCAGAACTCTAATAAAGAAACTAACTGGTTTATAAAACTATTAACCCAAGCAGGACAATAATTAATTGAATTCCAAGAAAATACTTTGCCAAATTTTCATGCTAAATCAGTCAGTACTGATATTGTTAAGATATGCAATTTGAATATACTTTATGTTCCAAATCAAATTACCTATGATAACCCAAGTAATAAACAGTACTATGCATTTGCATTGGAGTAACAAAATTAGTACTTAAGACAATATAAATCCAATATTTAGCATGGGCTCATGGAGAACCTGGGTGGCCTCCTGGTTCTTCCTGAGTCCTTAAAGGTTTTATTATTAAAAGCTCTGTACTCCATGACTTGTCATAGAAGAGATAAAAGGATCTAAATAGAAAATATATGTATATATTAATGTGGTGACTTCTAAATTCCTAAAATGGTTTATAACCGATGTTTGGTTTGTCAAATCCATAATCCTGAGAAGACAATAAAAAATTTAGGTAAATTTTGGTACCTGATATGCCATTTAAACATTTATAGAGGGATTCCATTTAATTGCTATTTTCAGTGCATGTTTACTGGTTGTATAGAAACCTTTGCATGAAAGAAGTCTGATACTTCAGTAGCGAAAAGCTACACACACTAGTAAATGTGTTTCCTTCATGGGACATTCCTGGATAAATATTTAATGATAGAAGTACTTGTTTCAATGGGTGAGTTGTAAAATGGTTAGGTAAGGTATTACAGATGCAATAGTATCAGGCAAAGCTAACTGAATCAACTGGATTGCCTTGGTTAAAGGTATTACAGATTGATGACAATCAGGTCCGCTTCTAGTGGAGAACACAAGTTGACCCTTTATGAAGTAGTCACTGGAAGGCCTGTGCCCCTAATAATAAATCTCATATTTTTTGCTCCTAAACTCTGACTTGTCTAAATGCAGTTAAACTGTCATGCATTATGCCAAAGTATATTTTCACCAGGTGAAGGAAGCTTTCTACGGTCCACTGATGGAGAACAATCAAATCCTCATGATCTAGAGCCTGGAGATTGGGTCTTCAAATAGTGACATCAGAGAAAGACTGTACTTGCCATCCACACTGCAGCGAAAGCACTGGGGTGTCAAACCTTGGGTCTGTAATCTTACAACTCAGAAGGTCCCCTCCAGACTCTTGAACAGTACACCCATTGTTGATTTTATGGTAAAGATAACCAAAGAAGTTTCTCCCCCAAAGTAGACACATTCTAGATGTGGATAGCTTTCCCAAATTCATGGATCTAGACTCCTCAGCCATCAGGAAACGTACCCCTCTTTCTTTTCCTTATGCCTCTGTGAACAATAGAACTTGGAAAGGGGTCTTGTGTGCATCCACAGGGTATACTTTTATTTGTGGTGGATTTAACGGCCAGCCTTATACATGGGCAAACTTATGCCTCGATGGATGGAAGATGAAGGGCTAATGCAGGCTAGGAATTTTAATGGTACTTTTGTTGCTCTAGTCAGACAGAATCAGAACATTGGCCCACTCCTCTTAATCTACATCAGATGTCAAAAAGAGCACTGCCAGGAGGCCTTCCTCTTTCTGGGTGGGCATCATTTTTAAGTCTCCTTTATCATGATTTAAAGTAAATGAGGTAATAATTAGAAATTTATCCCTCATAATAGGTTCTGGCAGATTCCACTACAAAGGCCATGGTTGTACAATAGGCTTGTTTAAATTCTCTTTTTCACTATAATTCTTATGTGTACTTCTAAGAAAACTAAAATCATAGTATTTCAAATACTATGGATGATTCAACAAGTGCCAGCAGCTACATAGATCAATGACTTGGTTGAGGTCTGATTTTTTTTGGCCACTCTGTGATGCCATCCCAATTTGGCTTTTGGGTGCTCTTAAAATCCCTCACCGAGATGTATTCTCTTTCTTCTCAATGTTGACAAGGCTATTTGGGAATAAGTCTTCCCATAAACAAGGACATCTTGACACTCAGACTTTGATCATCGATGCTTTCAAGAAGAAAGGTTTTTGATCAAAGAGGGAAAATGAGAATGTGTGTGTGGAAAGTATGTGTATATATGTGTGTGTATATATTTATATGTGTGTATATGTGTAGAAATATGCCTTTTATCTGAGGAATGGGAGCCCTCTTAAACTACTAGGCCTGAAGAGGCATTAAAATGAGACAGCAGTCACGTCCTACTTCCCCCAACCCTTGAGCTATGTAATCGTCTCTTTAAACTGCTTGTATTGCCACATATAAATATAAATTAACCTAACTATGCCACATGCCAGACACCATAACCCACATCCTATAGCTCAACAATGTATAGCCAATCACTAATCAATGTTATTTCTGTAAACCAATAAGAATTCCTGACAAAAACTGTATCAGCCCACCACTTGTCCCCCTTTTTGTCTTTAAAAATCTGCTTGTAACAAAGACTGAATGAAGTACTCCCCAAGGCAACTTGGAAGTGTGTCCCAGGCAGCTGTCCTCAAACGTGGCCCAAGTTAACTCTCTATATTAATTTTGCTTCAGCTTCTTCCTTCAGGTCAACAGCTAATATACTGAATTTTTTATTTCTATCATTCTATTTTTCAATTTCAAAAGTTTTCTTTGGCTCTATTTTACAATTTCTATGTGTTTATTAATATTCTCTATTTGATGAGACATAATTCATGTACTTTTCTTTAGTTCTTCACACCTGGTTTACCTTAGTTCTTGGGCATATTTATAATAGCTGATTTAATGCCTTTCTCCACTAAATCCAATATTTCTTTCCTCAGAGAAAGTTTCCATTGACTGTGTTTTCCTGCTTTGGGCCAAATTTTCTTTTTATTTGGAAGTCTCTTAAGTTTTGTTGAAAACTAAGCATTTTAAATAATATAATGTAGCAACTCTGGAAATCAGAACACTCCCTTCTTCACAGAGGCTGTTCTGTCTGTTTGCTATTTGTTTTGTGACTTCCTGGGCTAATTCTGTGGAGACTGTGATCTCTGTTGTTAAGTGGCCACTGGAGTCTCAGTTGGTTTGGAGGTCAGCTAATCACTGAACATAGATATCCTTAAATGTGTTGAGTCTTCCCGCCGCTGCCGTGGGGCTCTGTTCGGTGGGGGTGATATTTCCTTACCCACCTGTCAGGCTGTTTACATCCCTGTCTTCTGCATCGCTTCCTGCCTGAGGCAATCACGAGGTAAAAGACTTGGACCCCTGCAGCACTCTCGTAGGCCTGTGCAACCCTGCACCTGTACAGGACTCTATTCTGGGGATTAGCTTGGAACTTTTCAAAGCCCCTTCTGGGCATCTCAGTCTTCAGTCCTCAGATTGTCCTTTTTTTTCTTGTCAGCCTTTTTGTTCCTTTGCTCCTAATGCTAGTGTTGCCTCAGGCATCTGTCTGTCACTGATTTTTTTTTTTTCAATAAATGCCACAGGGGAAAAGCTGTCCACACTGACTAAGCTCTGAGTCAGGTCAAGTAAAGACAAGCCCTTGAGTGGAGGTTTCCAGGGAACTTCCAGACATGTCTGTGAAAGGAAAGTAAAATCTTGGGACCCCAAACTCACTATGCCAAAGGGAACATTGAGCATGGGTACTGAGTCATGTAAAAAAGGAAACTGCTTTCCTTTTGTTCTCAAACAGATGGCTGCAACATCGAA
The DNA here is from genome assembly GCF_000001405.40 of Homo sapiens. Lineage (NCBI taxonomy): Eukaryota > Metazoa > Chordata > Mammalia > Primates > Hominidae > Homo > Homo sapiens. Next base: position 159,218,271 of record NC_000007.14, on the reverse strand, counting down.
GGCTGCATAGCTCCCCAGGTGGCCTCCATCACAAATTGCTCACAAGGAAATTCCTTGTAGGCCCTCAAATCTTTGATAATATATATTCCCCCTATAAATGAACCGTAAAACAGAGTTGTGTTGAATCTCACCCTGACAATGTAAATTAACAGCTTGTCTCACAGGTGTGGGACAAAGACAAGACTAGAAATTATTCCTCCACCCACCCTGAGGTAAATGCATATTTGACCTCTTCCTTACACTATACTTACTTCATCTTATGCAAAATGTAGACCTATGGACCATGAGATGAATGCATAGTTGACTTTTTCCCCACTCCTCTCTTTCCACGTGTCAAATGTGGATTCAGCAGGCACTAATCAGGGCCTCACAAGAATGCAACTGCTTGCCTCACAACCTAACTCCTGCTCTTTTCTTCTTAATTCCTTTCCCTCCCAACCACTCTTTCACCCATAAATACTGAAGTCCTCAAAACTCTCTTTGGAAAAAGCACAGGCCACAGATCCTACTGTAACTTGTTTTCCAGGCATTTCCCCAACTTTGGCAAAATAAACCTTCAAAACTACTGACATCTGCCTCAGACACTTTTTAGTTTACATATCCCATGTCCAATCCCAGAGTACCTGAGGACAGGAGCTGGGGAGCTCAGACCGATGCTACCCCTTCTAGTGGCTGGGAGGCTGCTAATTTCCACAGCAATCATGATTGTGTGGCTGCCAGTTTTCAAGGCTACTGCAGAGCTGATGGAAGAGTGTTGCAGTAGGAAAAGTTAAAATGCCACAAAGCTCTTAGGAAGATTCAGCATTTTTCTTGAATACAATTTCTTTGGGTTGTTGCAAGAGTGGTTAATTTCTAGAGTCTTGAAAAGGTTTATTCTTACAATTTTTCCAGTATTCATACTGCCTTCGTGGAAGAACGTATTTTTGAGGTCCTTACTCCACCATGCTGTTTAATCTGCAGGTGGACATTTTAAAACAAAGAGCACTTACCTAGTAAAAGGTGCGTAACTACTAAAATGTCTAGTAGTTAGGGACTACTAAATTGGTATACAAGTAGCAAATATAGAAAGCCTGAAGGGGAATGAAAAAGGCAGAAACTATTAGCTTAACAGAACCTCCCACCACAAGGCTGAGATACAGATCCCTCCGGGAGGGTGTGGCTTCTCCAGGCAGTGAGGACACTTGCTGGGGGCACAGACCATGGCGAGTCAGAAGCGAGCACAGCCATGCCTCTGCCCAGCCACCCACTGGAAGCCACACTGAAAGAACGTCAGATGTGAAGCCCCTTCCTCTTGCTATGGTGCCTGCAGTCCCTCTAGCACCATATTGACAAATCCTCACGTCACCAGCTGGCAAAACAGACGTTTACACTGTCCCACTTCAGCATCGCAAAACAAAGCCAAGAAAAGTGAACTTGGAGCATAAAGGCAATATACTGATAAGGGGCACTGCACCTCTTGATAATATACTGATAAGGGGCACTGCACCTCTTGATAATATACTGATAACGGGCACTGCATCTCTTGATAATATACTGATAACGGGCACTGCACCTCTTGATAATATACTGATAACGGGCACTGCATCTCTTGATAATATACTGATAATGGGCACTGCATCTCAATAATATACTGATAATGGGCACTGCATCTCTTGATAACGGAAATGCAATCCTCTGTAGTGCATCCAGCTCCAGCCCCTCTGCCAACCATGCAGAAGCCAGCAATCTATAGGCATCCCCAAAATGGAAGCTTCTTTATTCAAATGACATCTAGTCTTATCAAGACCCAAGTCCATTTGATCCAGGAAGCCTTCACCCTGTTAGTAGGCTTTCACATTTTCTTATGCTTATCTGGTAGGTTCTTTGAATGTGTGAATTTGTATTTATGTTAGTATTCTGTATCTTAAACCTGAATAGCTGGCAGCCTAAAGTTGGTGAGCTTTCAATTCAATAATAGAATTGGCCACTTAGTGAAGCATATTTTATAGTCTTGGAGATTGATTCAGACTGATTATATTTGGGAGGTATGACTAAGTCCTTGAGCCGCTATCTTCAGTTCCAAAATGTAACCAGGTTGCCAGCTGCTCTTCCTTATAGGAAAGAGCTACAGGGCAGAGTCGGGAGCCACGTGGCAGCTACAGACAGAGATGCCCCATCCCGCATGCTCACCACAACTGGCTCCCAGGGCATCTTGCAGGAAACCTCCTGGTAGAATGTTTTAATAACTTTATTTGAGAAGTCATCTTCCAAAACGGCTGCCTAACTGCATGTTTATTTATAAAACAAAGAACTGACTTGGGGAAAACATGACAACTAAAAACAGTTGGCCTTAGGATACTGTAAAGAACAATCATTTGAATTATTTTTCCTGCAGGACTTTGGCGGCTTCAGAGAGCGGACAATTGCCTCAGAAGTAACGTGCAGTGAATATCCTTGTCATCCTGGTGGTTTCACTGTGGATTCCCTTTATTCTCCACCTAGGAATATGATGAAAGTCACCCTAAAGTTCATCCACATTGGAATTTAAAGATGAAAGGTATTATCAAGTGTAATTTTCTGGATGTGAAATACCAGCAACAGAGAGAAGAAGGAGCAGAAATAAAGCCACTTCAGAGCACAGGCACTAACCCAGATTAGTGAGAGCAACGTTGCCACATATGCGTTTTAATCAGTTGAGAACCTCTGCTTCTGAGGAACAAATCGTCAGTCTTGTTGGGGCTGTAGATGGGGCATAAGAAGGGAAAGCCAAGATTTGAAATGATGGAACGTGGCGTTTCTCCAATTGTCAAGATTATTCTGTAACCAGAGTCTGAGGTATTCCAGGGAAATGTACCTTTTTGAGGACTTGCCAGGAGATTATTTTTGCCCTTAAGGTAGAATCATAGACAGAAACTTTTGTTCCATAATGTCAGTAGCTGAGGCAGCTGTGACACCCACTGCTCTGAGGCATGGTCTCCCACAGAGGGCCCCTGAGTCCCTCTGCTTTTCCCATTTCCAGCAGTGGGTGTTGGGCGTGTGGCTGCCTCACGGCTCACAGGTCAGCAGGCCGTGTCCCTCCAGAACAGTTTTCAGGTTTCCAGGTGGTGTGAACCACTGGGAACATTGGATGCCTGGCAGAGAAATTCCAAAAAGAAGAGGCACGGACCATGAAACTTTTCAAAGATTTAAAACCATTGGTCTCAGTTGGGGTCTTGACATTATCCCCTCTTGAAGAGAGGATATAGATAACTCTGCACTTTTGTTTCCTTATCTGCTCAAAAGAGGGGTGGATTAGGGATAGGCCAAGGGTCCATGACTGCCCATGACTAAAGCCAGCTTGCTTTTCCCTTTACAAATTGTGGCCTAGGACAGTTTTGTACAAACAACAATGCCAGCTTGAGGCATGGAGGGTAACACAGGCCTGATCACTGTGAGTATCTTACTTCATGGACAGCTGGGTTTTGAATAGTCCCATCTTCCTTACCTTTATAGCAGGCAGGCTCCACGCCCAGCTTTTACAGCTCCCTCCTGGGAAACACCCCCTACCTATCACTCCACTGGTACAGCTGGACTTGTGGATGAGAAAGGACCCCTTGGAAAGTGCAGAGTTCTGCACACTCAGTCTGCATTTCATCACCCATGTTTGCTTTATGCTCCTCACTTCCAAGTTCAAATGGCCAGTGCCACGCCTGCAGATCCCATCATGTTCCATTTGAGTCCTTTCTCCCCGTGGACATTAAACTCTCTATGGAAAATACGTTCTGCAAAAACAGTATCTCCTCACTTTTAAAATTAGCTGAGAAGTAGAAATAATAGCTTTCCATTTTTATTCTTAAAAGAGATATAGCACTTGGCCAATTCAAGGGTAGAAACTCTCTCTTAATTGCTTTGGTGGGCCTAGAGTAACTTCAAATTGACTATCCTCAAATACATGTGGGCTCAGGAAACGAAAATAATTCTGTTTTTGGCAATCACCACTTCTGAGCAAACTCGGCATCTTTATCCAGGTCTAATGACAAAGGCCTATAGAGTCCATGGGGAATCACATCTTTTAAATATCTGAAAAGAGTATTAATGCCTAAATTACTAATAATTACACTCAGCTTCCTTTGAAGCAAAGACATTGAGTGCAGAGGAGAGAAAACATACCGTAAAGGTGAACCATCTTTGCACTTGGCTCCTTATCAAGACATTGAATGCAGAGCAGACAAAACATACTGCAAGGCGGAGCCATCTCTGCACTTGACTTCTCGTCTGGTTTAAGAAAAGTGTCTCAAGGCCAACCGAATCTTTGGGTTGAAAAGAGGCATTTTAGGAAAAGATAGCAATTTGGGTTGCCTATGGGACGTTGGCTCCTTCATGGATCTAGTGTCAAGCTGCACACACCCTTGTGAGTTATATTCACATCACCGTGTGATACCCACAGAGACACTTCCCTCACACAGACTGATAAAAATTCCATGTTGGGCCAATTTTTAATCTGCACCCTGTAAATTCAAATTCCATGTGTAGTTTGGCTTAATACAACCAGCCCACCCTGTGGCTCTCTTTGGCCAGTTAACTCCACTGGCTTCCGGGGAATTCCCACAAATCTTCCCAAGGTAGGGTCTTCCATCCCAGGCCCCACCAGTATCTGCCTCCACCCATCTGAAGCCATTGCTTCTCCTTTCAGGTCCTCCTGCTGGTAGTTAGCATTAGGGAGGTCCTGCTCAGCACTACAATTGTGGGGTTCTTTCTTTGAGGCTTATGTCATTCTAGCCTCATTGCAGGAAAAACAATTAAACCAATATAGTTATCCAGCTTTCAAGGGCTGTGGTCGGGGTGAGTGAGAGGTAGTAGTGGGAAAACAGCACCTGCCTGTCTGCTTGGCTTCCGCAGGGCAGTCCTACAGCTTAAAATCACTTTCATGTGTCATTTGTTATTCTTCAGGACTGACATTTGATTTAAAAAATTTATTTCCTTCCAATTAATCTTATATCTCCTTAGAGATATTTTTTTTGCAAATATACACCATAATTTTGTCCTCCCTAAGCTTACTTTAAAAGTAAATTAAAAAGACAATCAACTAACAGGTACTTATTAAAAACTTATCTTATGGGAAGTATCACTATGCTGGGGCTAAGAGAGACATATAGCAAATCTCTTTCTGGAAGAATGTGTAAGAGAGTGAGCAAAGAGTAACCAGGAATTAAATCAGCAAGTAATAAGTTCACAGCAATGTGGAGGTTCACAGAAGGCCCTGGCAAGTTGGGGTGGGCTGTGAGTCCCATGGCAGCCCCTGCCCAGAGCCACAGCTTCAGGCCCTGGGTCACCTTATGCTGCTGGAGCAGAGTCCCCGAGCCCGATCACACCAGCACACTCTGCCTGCCAACTGTCCCACACTGAGGGACTTACTCCCTCCCCTTCTCTGAGCATATTTTGTAAATACCTTTGTTTTATAACTTATTGCTCCAACATAATGTAAACTTTTAATTGCTGGCATTGTTCATTTTTTTACTCCCAAGTCACAGCATCTGCCAAACACGGAGTAGGTCTTCAATAAATGGTGAATTGAGTTGGCACTATTTATGAACATATTGACTAGAAATGGTTTCACAAAGGTGGTAAGATTCCAACCAAGCATTGAGGATTTGGGGTAAAATTTGGCCAGTTGAAAGCTGTAGCAAGGATGTTCCAGTGCTTGGGACTGTGAGAGCAAAGGAGGGGAAAATACAGGAGAGGGATCTAATAAAAGGCAACTGTGAGAACGGGGCCAGATGTAAGGGGCCCTGGAAATGAGCAGATGAGCCCCCACTCTAGCTGGTAGCTACTGGGGGCGTCTGGGTCTTCTGCGTGGGACTGTGGCACACAGACAAGGGAAAGCAATTCTCACACCAGCCCAGTGCAACAATGATGACTTTTCCTAGATTTACCCAAGCCAGGAGGCAAGGGCCTGGGATGGGAGATACAGAGACCAGTATTATGAGAGACTAATCAAATATGAGAAGGGTTGGCCTGGTAGGTTAGAAAAAAATGATTTAATATAGCTGCCTTTAACTGATGTTTGAATTTATCTCCCCGTGACTAATTTAGTTAAGAAATTACACAAAATCTCTGTTGGTTCTTGGAAACATGAGAATCCTTGACTAAAGGAGCTATGAGCTTCCCTTGTCTGCCCCAGTTCCCTGGGCAACACAGCAGCAATACCCAGCGAAGCTTGTGCCCAGCACAGCCAGAATTAGACACAGTCCGTGGGTGAGCACAAGTGGTAGCCTTGGAGAGAAGTCAGGGTCGGCATCAGAGGAGCAGCACGACCATCAGGCTCGGCGCCCGCGGGCAGCTGCAAGCAGGCGAGACCCAAGTCCAGGCACCAGGAACACAAAGCAAGATGCACAGTAGAGACACATTGTGGCAGGTGACACAAACGTTGGCTTCACTGACAGTCACTGGAAGGTCGGTGCTAGTGTCCTGGGCAGTGGCGTCATGAAGACAGGGCCATCTCTCCTCCCTGCTTATCTGCTCCCTCTCCCGGATCCCTGCTCCGTGAACACCGCTGTCATCAGAGCCAGGTTCACACGCTGGTCTCTCAGCAACTCCGGCAGAAAGGAGGGATTTCCACTTCCCTATAATCCTGTCCAAACACAGAAATTATGTTTTCTTGGCTCCACTAAGGCCACAAGCCCAACCCTGAACTAACTGTGGTAGCCAGAGGCGATGCAGAGCCCAGAGGGCCAGGGCCGAGTTGTGGCCACTCCTGGGAATATGGAGAATGGGTGATTCCCCCAGGAAAATCCCAGTGCTGTCATCTTAGGAAGAATGACTGGATGCTGGACAGACACACACACAAAAAAAAAAAAAGAGAGAGAGAGAGAGAGATGCTCACTGCAGGAGAAATGGGCCTTGCAGTGAATACAGGTCCCACTGGGTGCTGGTTCATGACCCAGGCTGGGGCTCCCCATTCAAAGTTTGTAAAGGGCTCTGGGGAGTTCAAAGAAAAGGAAGATAGTAGTTTTTCTTAAATGTTTCCCTGCAGACTTGGAAGTAGAGGAATAAATGAAAGACTGCCCTCCACAATGCTTACACCTCCCTCCAACCCCCTGGTTTTCTAGTCAGATTTAAACCAAGCTGATTATACTTACTCTGGGCCAAATTAATTTATCATTTCTTCTGGGATTAACCTCTGGAAATATGCCATAGAAGAAATGGACTGTTAAAGTTTCTCTGGATGAAAACACACAGCCAGGATTTAGCTTTTACCATCAGCAATGCTTTGCTAGCAAATCATAACATATCATATACATGCCATTGTATGGGAATGTGTGTCGACATCATTTACACTCAGGATTATATGCAAATCCACTACTCAATGACCTTCTAGTGATTTTTAATACTAGTTTATACAGTAGTTGAATTTGTTAAAGTTTTGTTTGTATAAGAGATATCAGTGATGGCTATATTTTCATAAATCTGAAAAAAATAAGGAAACTAGCCTGGAAAGATTTATTCTTAGTGAATCCAGAGTCACTGAGTTCCCATGATACTATTCAACTCTTGGAGCAGAGGCCATATTTTTCCTTCATTTTCTTTGTTATTTTATAGTAGCCAAATATTAAACTAAGAACATATGCAGAAGCAAAAACAACACACCTCTCAAATCAGTGGACTCAGACTATTGCTGTCATGAGTGGAGGCATCTGGTCTCCTTCAGGACTGTGAAATATAGTGTGACATTGGGTTCTGGGCACCATAAATTAAGATGCCCACTGAGATGTCTAGAATGGCCAATGGGAAAGGGATATAGCTCACGAAACACGCAAGGGAACTTGTGAACACAAAGGAAAAATGACACTTGAAATTCCATGGTGGGGAGGAGGAATTATATCTGTTCTAGAAGACCCCCAAGGAAGAGTGACAACCAAGGAAAAGAAAACTCAGGAGGAGATTTTGGCTCATTCAGAACTGTTCAAAGCTGCTCTTGCTGGCCTTTGGTTGAAAGCATGAGGGATTTCTTAGCCCTGAATGTGCTCAAGAGGAATGTGGATGATCACAAAATAATCTTGTTATTAAAAAGAATCCTACTGCCGGGCGTGGTGGCTCACGCCTATAATCCCAGCACTTTGGGAGGCCGAGACAGGTGGATCACAAGGTCAGGAGATCAGACCATTCTGGCTAACATGGTGAAATCCCGTCTCTACTAAAAATACAAAAAAAATTAGCCGGGCATGGTAGCGGGTTCCTGTAGTCCCAGCTACTCAGGAGGCTGAGGCAGGAGAATTGCCTGAACCCAGGAGACAGAGGTTGCAGTGAGCCAGATCGCACCATTGCACTCCAGCCTGGGCAACAGAGCAAGACTCCGTCTCAAAAAAAAAAAAAAGAAAAGAAAGAAAAGAATCCTACTATGCAAAACTAAATTCTTCACCTGTGCCTGGGACTCTGTCTTTCTAAAGGATTTTGATCAGCCAATCAGTTTCAACCCACTTCCTGCCATCCTCGTTGCCACCACCCTCATTCAAACCACCCTCATTTCCCTCCTGGACTATGTAAAGGAAAATAAGCTAATCAGCTTCAACGTCTATTTCTCCATCAGCTCCTCCCATTATGATGTAGGTTTCTCATTCTTAAAAACAAGCATAAACCAAAATCTGGCACTTCCCATATCTCCTTCAGCTGCCAACCTTTCTCTTGTCACTTACAGCCACACTTCCTGTATGCACTGTCTAGATGCAGTCTGCATCATTTCACCCTGAACACACATCACAAACCACTCAGCCTGTGGACCACTCCTCTGAGTGTGACCTTGCCAAGGTCATTCATGATTTTCATGTCAATGAATCCAGTGGACATGTGTCAGTCCTCAAGTTGAATGATCTCTCACGGTGACTCTTGAAACATTCATATCCCTGATGCTCCCATGACTACATTTTCCTGGTGTTCTTACCAACTCCCCAACCACCACTGCTCAGTCTCATTTGTTATCTCTTCCTCTTCTATCCTTAATGCAGAAGCCCAAGAATGTGAATTTGAAGAAGGATTCCAAGTGATCTGATGCCATGATTCAGGGGCCACACAGGAAAGAACACTGCCATACATGGAACTGTTCAGGGGCCAACGTGGAGAACGCAGCTGTACACGGTGGTGTTCAGGGGCCACACTGGAGGACACGGCCGTACATGGAAATATTCAGGGGCCAACGTGGAGAATGCAGCTGTACATGGTGGTGTTCAGGGGCCAAATGTGGAGAACGTGGCTGTACATGGTGGTGTTTGGGGCCACACTGGAGGATGATGTCATACATGATGGTGTTCAGGTCTACACTGGAGGATGATGTTGTACATGATGGTGTTCGGGGCCACACTGGAGGATGATGTCGTACATGATGGTGTTCGGGGCCACACTGGAGGATGATGTCGTACATGATGGTGTTCGGGGCCACACTGGAGGATGATGTCGTACATGGTGGTGTTCATGGGCCACACTGGAGGATGCTGCTGTACATGATGGTGTTCAGGTCTACACTGGAGGATGATGTCATACATGATGGTGTTCAGGTCTACACTGGAGGATGCTGTCGTACATGGTGGTGTTCATGGGCCACACTGGAGGTTGCTGCTGTACATGATGGTGTTCGGGCCCACACTGGAGGATGATGTCGTACATGATGGTGTTCGGGTCTACACTGGAGGATGCTGCTGTACATGGTGGTGTTCAGGGCCACACTGGAGGATGATGTCGTACATGGTGGTGGTCAGGTCTACACTGGAGGATGCTGTCATACATGGTGGTGTTCAGGGCCACACTGGAGGATGCTCTCGTACATGTTTGTGTTCATGGGCCACACGTGGAGGACGCTGCTCCCCAGGGCTCCTTCCTGACCCTAACCTTCTACCACACATTCCCCTGGTTTCAAAGAAATATAAGGTAAGGATTTCCAAAGGACTCTCCCTTGGCCCCTGAGCTGTAAATAGAACTGCTTTCTCAACATCTTCACTTGGACTTGAGTAGACACATCCAAACTTCTCATCTTCATCTCCCAGCCTTCTCTTCTTCCAGATTCTCTGTCTTAGGGCCACCTCCTGGGCACATATCAAGTGAAATGGATCCTGGAGTGGAACAGAAAATAACTGGCAAAATATACCTACCATTCATCTAGTTGCTCATGCCAGAAACCTGGAAAACAGCTTTCACAGATTCTCTCCCTACCATCCAACAGGCAGCGACTCACCAGATTCTCTTGGCTCTGTCTCCTAAATGCTACACTTATCTACCCACTTCCTGCCATCCTCATTGCCAGCACCCTCATTCAAACCATCCTCATTTCCCTCCTGGTCTACGTAAAGGAAAATAAAATCTCAGGACCCTCAAACTCCTTATGCCAAAGGGAAAGTTAAGCCTGGAAACTGAGTCGGCCACACAGCCGTCCTCTCCCCAGATGAATAGCTGTTACTTCAAAACCTGTGTCAAAACATTATGCATTAGCCAGACCTCCACAGAAAGGCAAAAGGCCTCAGGCGTCTTGGGATGACTGCCCCCACAAAATCCCTTTAAGTAAATTCTTTGCCAGCCTGTAAACTTTAAAACTGTCTATCCTCCCATAAAACATGAACCTGTCAACTGTAGCTCTACGTCTGCCATCTAAATGTAGCTCATACAGCTAAAGCCTGTTCACCTCTGCAGTGGTAATGTGGATTGCTAGTTTACCTCCACACAGGCAGAACAAAGGCACGAGGAGATCAGTACTTCCTCCACCCACACAGGTGCATCTGCACAATTGATTCTTCCTTTACTCTGTTTTCTTCAAACGTTCAGCGTATGTAAAATGCAGATTTACTGGGCACTGAGTAAAGTTTCACAAGAACCATTTGCCTCACTGCCTTCTCCCCGATTTTTTAAGGGAAATGTACAAATATTAAACATCCTGAAAACATCTGAAAAAATAGCCATAGATGCATCTGTGACTCACGTTTTTTCCTGGGCATGCTCTCAAGCTGGCGCAACAAATCTTCACTGAGACACCTGCCTCAGCCACTCATTTTGGTTAACAACTACTACCTCCTCCTGCCTGGTACCCCTTCTTTAGGGGCCTGGTCGCCTCTGAAGGGAATCCACATTCTGCATCTTGTTCTCCAAGGCTGTCCCCTCTCTCTCTCTCTTTTGCACCATGCTGTCCCCTCTCTTCTCTCCTTTGCATCATGCTGTCCCCTCTCTCTCTCCTTTGCACCATGCTGTCCCCTCTCTCTCTCTCTCCTTTACACCATGCTCTCCCTCCCTCTCTCCTTTGCACCATGCTATCCCCCATCTCTCTCTCCTTTGCACCATGCTGTCCCCCACCTCTCTCCTTTGCACCATGCTGTCCCCTCTCTCTCTCCTTTGCATCATGCTGTCCCCTCTCTCTTCTCTCCTTTGCACCATGCTGTCCCCCCTCTCTCTCTCCTTTGCACCATGCTGTCCCCCACCTCTCTCCTTTGCACCATGCTGTCCCCTCTCTCTCCTTTACAACATGCTGTCCCCTCTCTCTCTCTCCTTTACACCATGCTCTCCCTCTCTCTCTCCTTTGCACCATGCTGTCCCCTCTCTCTTCTCTCCTTTGCACCATGCTGTCCCCCCTCTCTCTCTCCTTTGCACCATGCTGTCCCTCTCTCTCCTTTGCACCATGCTATCCCCATCTCTCTCTCCTTTGCACCATGCTGTCCCCCTCTCTCTCTCCTTTGCACCATGCTGTCCCTCTCTCTCCTTTACAACATGCTGTCCCTCTCTCTCTCTCCTTTACACCATGCTCTCCCTCTCTCTCTCCTTTGCACCATGCTGTCCCCCATCTCTCTCTCCTTTACACCATGCTGTCCATTCTCTCTCTCTCTCTCCTTTACACCATGCTGTCTTCTCTCTCTCCTTTGCACCATGCTGTCCCCCCTCTCTCTCTCCTTTGCATCATGCTATCCCCTCTCTCTCTCTCCTTTGCACCATGCTGTCCACTCTCTCTCTCTCCTTTACACCATGCTGTCCCCCCTCTCCTTTGCACCATGCTGTCCCTTCTCTCTCTCCTTTACACCGTGCTGTCCCCCCTCTCTCTCTCTCCTTTACACCATGCTGTCCCCTCTCTCTCTCTCCTTTGCAGCATGCTGTCCTCCCCTCTCCTTTGCACCATGCTGTCCCCCCTCTCTCTCTCCTTTGCACCATGTTCCAGCCACCAGGGCCACGTTTTGGGCATCAGTGCACACATTCTTCTTCTCCTACAGGCTTCAGCACATGTCGTATAATTTTTCTTTCTCAAACAATCTTTGTCTAAGTCCCTATCATTACTTGGGTCTCAGCTTGAAGGTTGATTCCTCTAGAAAGCCTTTCCCAAACTCCTGAAAAACGCAGCGGCCTCTGTGGTGGCCCGACCACATGATTTCCTATTTACCTTCACTGGTAAACCATAAGCTGTCTGAGTGCATAGCTATGTGTGTGTTCCCACCACAGAAAGTTGTAGTTTGGAGCAAGCTTCAGAGGCTCTTCAGGACCCAGAGAGAGAAAAATGTACGTGTTTGCCATTGTCTCATCTGGCCTTGGGCAGGTGCGCGTCTGCCTTGTGTTCCCATTGTCTCTCTGAGTCGGGCCCCAGCAGAGTCCGAGGGACGCCCTGCATGCCGTGTGCATCACCTGCTGTGTGGGCTGCCTCCTTCCCGCTGGGCTCCTTTCCTTCTGTTGGGGATATTTCTACCATCACCTTTGTCCTGGCTCCATGCACAGCAGCCCCCTTCTCTGCCATGGTCAATCTCGAATCTGGGCCTGGACAATCTGGGTGATGGGATGGAGGTCTTTGGTGCCTTGTACCAGATCCTGTGATCCTTCCTCCTTTGCTTTCCTTGGAACCTGCATCTTCCCTAATAAAGTCTACATTTGACAGAGTTTTGTGAAATGGTCATAGGAGTTTGGAAATCCAGGATATGCATGGCCTACGCATTGTCTCTGAAGCCCCAGAGTTGAACGTGTTTCCATTGCTCCCTGTGTAATCATCTTCCAGACAAACAGACAATTACAGCTACATCTAAGCAGCCAGGCTTGAGACCCTTTAGACCCAAGACTCAAGGGGACATCGAAAGACTCGAGAATATACAACTTTTATGACTCAATTATTCTAGGTTTCTCTGTCAATTCACTCCATATCAGGATCTCTGTAAACCTCAAAGAAAAACACTAATAATGAAAAAAGCCTTGGAAATGCACTCAAAGTGTGGGTAACTTGAGGTCCTCTGCCAGGAGGCATTAAAGTGAGAAAATCTGATCCTAAACGAACAGGAAGGGCCAGCCAGTGCCAGGCTCCACAGGGACACTTGACCTTATATCATGTTTGTGTAGAGCTGAATGTGAATGCTGCCCTCTGGCCATGGCAGAGGCCTCAGAAGGACTGGCCCGTAAGGCCATGCTGAGCAACAGCTCCTGGCCTTCGTGGCCCGCATGTGGCCCATCTGGCCTGGCTTCTGCTCGGCGCACTCTCTTGTGCTTCCTGCCCCCGAAGCGGGGCCGCAGCTGCTCCACCAGTGAGTGTGAACCCAGGGCCCACATTAAGGCTGGTGTTTCTCTCATGGACGGTGGAGGGTTGCCCCCAGGCCTCAGTGTCTAGGGGCTTCCAAGGGAGAAATTTGTTGCTATATGAGCACAATTTGTTGCTGTAAGGATGGCTGCTCAGAGAAAGGCCATTGATAATCTCACTGAAATGGACGTGGAGAAATGTTTTTTAATGATCAACTTTAAAAGTTAGATTTGTTAGAACTAATTCAGTTCAATGGAGAAAACACAGGCCTGGGTGCTGGAGACCTGGATGGAGTTTCGGCTCTGATTCTACCTGTGTAACTTGAAAAAGTCTCTTGACCTGTGAGATGCCGGGCTTACTATGTCACACAGAGTATCTTCCAGCTCTAAACACTTGACAGTCTTTCCCAGCTCACGATGCTGGAATTCTATGACTATTCTTTCTAAAATCTTGTCAAACGTGCTTCTTAATATCTACTCTGATTTGTTACCTCTAAGCACTCATTAAAAGCTGAATCCAAACCCTGACCTCATGGAAGTTCTGATTACAGATTACTTTTTTCAGTTTTGCTGTCACTGCAAAACAAGCATTTACGGCCATGAAATAAACCCTCGAATAATCACAGCTCCATGCAGTCTCCCCAGAATTGCTCCTGGGGATGTGTTAGCAGGAGAAACGATGGAGGGAGAGGAGCTGGGAGCCTCCGGCCAAAGTGAGGAGTGACTGGGATTCTTTTCTCTATGCGGCTGCCGCCATTTTCAGCCTATGTGTTGCTTCTTCTTCTGACATATCTCCACGTGTTTCTTTGCAGGACTAAATGATCATCATTCATCTCAGAGGTCAAATCTCTAAATAAAAGTAGTTAACGCTAGTAAAATGGACACTGATTTGAGTATGAAAATGTTGTAGGATGTAATCAGGCCCCGGGGGGATATCATGTTCCTTACGTGCCTCCTTAGACTCCACCTCCCTGTCCATTTCCCCCCACCTCCACAAACTCAGCAGGCGTGGGCCCAGACCCTCTCCTCATGGATAGGACATCCTGGTCCCAGGCCGTCTCCTCATGGAAAGGGCACCCTGGTCCCAGGCCGTCTCCTCATGGATAGGGCACCCTGGTCCCAGGCCGTCTCCTCATGGATAGGGCATCCTGGTCCCAGGCTGTCTCCTCATGGATAGGGCATCCTGGTCCCAGGCCGTCTCCTCATGGATAGGGCATCCTGGTCCCAGGCCGTCTCCTCATGGACAGGGCATCCTGGTCCCAGGCCGTCTCCTCATGGATAGGGCACCCTGGTCCCAGGCTGTCTCCTCATGGATAGGGCATCCTGGTCCCAGGCCATCTCCTCAGGCTCAAGGCACCCTGGTCCCAGGCCGTCTTCTCATGGAAAGGGCACCCTGGTCCCAGGCCGTCTCCTCATGGAAAGGGCACCCTGGTCCCAGGCCGTCTCCTCATGGATAGGGCACCCTGGTCCCAGGTCGTCTCCTCATGGATAGGGCATCCTGGTCCCAGGCCGTCTCCTCATGGATAGGGCATCCTGGTCCCAGGCCGTCTCCTCATGGATAGGGCATCCTGGTCCCAGGCCGTCTCCTCATGGATAGGGTGTCCTGGTCCCAGGCCGTCTCCTCATGGATAGGGCATCCTGGTCCCAGGCCGTCTCCTCATGGATAGGGCATCCTGGTCCCAGGCCGTCTCCTCATGGAAAGGGCATCCTGGTCCCAGGCCGTCTCCTCATGGATAGGGCATCCTGGTCCCAGGCCGTCTCCTCATGGATAGGGCATCGTGGTCCCAGGCCGTCTCCTCATGGATAGGGCATCGTGGTCCCAGGCCGTCTCTTCATGGATAGGGCATCCTGGTCCCAGGCCGTCTCCTCATGGAAAGGGCATCCTGGTCCCAGGCCGTCTCCTCATGGATAGGGCATCGTGGTCCCAGGCTGTCTCCTCATGGATAGGGCATCCTGGTCCCAGGCCGTCTCCTCATGGATAGGGCATCGTGGTCCCAGGCCGTCTCCTCATGGATAGGGCACCCTGGTCCCAGGCCGTCTCCTCATGGAAAGGGCATCGTGGTCCCAGGCCGTCTCCTCATGGATAGGGCATCCTGGTCCCAGGCCGTCTCCTCATGGATAGGACATCCTGGTCCAGGCTGTCTCCTCAGGCGTGGGGTGTCCTGGGTTACAGGCCATCCCCCCAGGAGCACAGTGACTGTAGGGTCCCTTGTGTCTTCCGTGAGCACTGCTCTTAGGGCCCCTTGTTCCACTGGCTGTGCCTGTGTCCTGTGGTCACTCATGGGACGATCATAAACTGGAAATTGTGGACTTCGGGGTCTGACAAGCTGAGCCTCAGTCCTGGCTTTGGTCCTACCTGGAGGTGCAGTCTTTGGGTTACTCGCTCCAGCCTTAGTTTCTTTGCTCATACAAATATTTTTAGGGGCTTTTTGCAGCTTGATGGTGATAACGTAAGTAAGTGCCTGAATGGAGTGCCTTCGCCGTCTGCCCTTCAGGAGAGTCAGCCATTCACTCACATCCTCAGTACGAGGCCCCTCGTTTCTCTCTTGGTGGACAGAATGAGCTCTGAGTCGTTGGCTGGATCCAATACCTGGTAGCTACCAGAGATCTCCCCTCCCCCTCACTTCTCACGCCCAGCGGGGCCCAGGTTTGGAGGGTTTACCCCCCCGTGGCCGTGAGTCATCCCTCCATCTCTGGCACTGCGGCTGTGGTTTGGATGCAGAACCTTCCCTCCCTTGGTAGGGGTCTGGGCCTTCTGACTGGTCTCTGTCCCTCCTTCTCCACCTGCACCCCACTGCTGGGTTTTTCAAAATAAAAGGGATTGGATCAGGGCCCTCCTTGACTCCACACCCTTTGGGGCCCCTGGCCCTGTGGGTCAGACCCACGCTCCGTGCTCTGCTTCCAGGGCCCTGCACATGTGGCCGGGATCACCGGGAAGTCCTTGCAGGGAACACAGCGCACACTGGCTATTGACTCAGACTGGACTTGGCCAGGGACGTCCACTTTGCTAAGTCCATCTCCTCATTTCTGCCCCCACTAGAAGCACCATTATGATACATTTCCTTACAATAGAAGCTTTTAAAGCCCAATTCATAGGACCTTGTGTCTGAGGCAAACAGAATGCCAGGGCCAGCAGCCTCAGTGGCAGCTATGACCCCCCACCTGTGGGGTTGCCATCTCTCAAAAGTCTCACGCTAGTTCCTAAATGTGTGTGTGCCCAAGTTTACTAAACAATTACAGTATTGACAGCACAAACACTGGAGAAATATAAATGGAAAAATAAAACAATTTTTGTTTAATAACTAATTTATTTATTAAACAAAACTGAATGCTTTGGAAAGAATAAAAGAAAACTGCTAAAAAATGCTTATTGAATAGATATGGGAAAACTTCTGAGATTTTAAAATATTATAAAGCTAACAAAAAATGTTTGTAGGCCGGGCGCGGTGGCTCACGCCTGTAATCCCAGCACTTTGGGAGGCCGAGGCGGGCGGATCACGAGGTCAGGAGATCGAGACCATCCTGGCTAACACGGTGAAACCCCGTCTCTACTAAAAATACAAAAAATTAGCCGGGCGTGGTGGCAGGTGCCTGTAGTCCCAGCTACTCGGGAGGCTGAGGCAGGAGAACGGCGTGAACCCGGGAGGCGGAGCTTGCAGGGAGCCGAGATTGCGCCACTGCACTCCAGCCTGGGCGACAGAGCGAGACTCCGTCTCAAAAAAAAAAAAAAAAAAATGTTTGTAGATGGCTTTACCTCAATGTCCTTAAGTTCTATTTTATTTTTACAAAATGAGTAGTATAAATAAAGCTTTGTGGATGTGATTTATTCCAGAAAATGTGGTGTAGAATTTCAGTCAAAAAAATATTTAAGGAAAAGTTATGGCTTAACATTAAAATATGGGCAAGAGAATGTAGTTTTGTGTCTTGAGTTAAAATAAAATACCTAGGGTGGACCTTTCACATTGGTATGGTTTTTGAGGCTACCTGACTTTCTGATCCAGACCGAGTGGGCGAGGGCTCCTGCGTCAGAACTTGCAGATGCTCGACCCACATCCAATCTGTTCTCACGGCCCCCGAGGACCTCACAGAAGATGGTCATGATATTCACCACGTGCACAAAGAACAACCAAGCTCCTTGCACCAGTAAACCCAAAGAGGCCCGGCCTTGGGAGGGACTGGGCTCCTTCTCTCCTGCTCGGGGCTCACGTTTGAAAAGGAGAAAACATTGAGGAAACCACACCCAGGGCACCGCGTTCAGGGAGCACTTACCAAGGCGAGTCAGGGTAACTGTGATCACAGAAGCCCCTCCTGGGCCACCCCTGACTGCCGAACATTTTCTGAGATGTATTGGGTCACATTTCTGGCTGAAAACATTTGACTCCTCCCATGGCTCAGAAGACGCAGGTGTGTCTCACTGTCGTGGGAGCCTGGTTCCGAACATCAACTCTTTCTGTCCAGTTTCGTCAGAGGGTGGGAGATTAGGTACAATCTGCACTGAACCCCAGAAATCCCCAAGCTCAAAACCATTCTTCTCCATGTCTCTGGCAATTCTCTGCCAGCAATTTATTTCATGTGCTCTGTCTCTTTCTTAAAAATTAAGTAAAGCACCATTTCTTTAAAATGCTGAACAGTTAGACTCTGATAAAAACAGGAACTTCCCTGTATTATTTTATAGCTAAATTTACTAAATATTAGGCCTGACTCTCCTTATATACCCCAAGGGTATTTTCAAAAGTCTTGCCTCAAGAGCTTCCAAACTGCCTTGTGCACGTGCTCACCATACAGGGAACTGACTGCATGGAGAGATGCCCGTGATGGGGCCTCCTGAATGCTTCCTAATCCATCTGTGCAGAAGACTTGACTGTGTTTAATTGCCAAGCCACTACAGGCTAATACTAATAAAATACAACAAAAATAAATTACTAGAAAAATATAATTGTAAGAGATATACAAAAGCAAGCGTAGGTTTTTATTAGAGTTGAAACAAAATTATGTTTCAATAAATACAATCAGAACATAGTATAGAAAAATTATCAAAAATGCACAATTGTTTATTGAAAAGTATACACACCAGTACAGGCATAACTTTTGGTCCTTTTACAATCATAACTAAATAAAAACTTATGAACAAAACAGCAAACTTCCATGTCATGCTTTGAAAGCATATTGCAAACAGCAGTAATGGGTCTTTGATGTGACATATTCCTTCTCTCCTCATTTGTCTAATCCAGGAAGGAGAGCTGGAGAGGCACGTCACCCAGGGAGAAGCTCACCCACCCTGTTTCCCTGTTTCCATGTTTCATCTTTGGAAGCTCAGAGGCCATCCTGACAGAGGAGTGTTGATGACACAGGAGAGGTTGGATAATTTCAGCAGGCTTAAGATTTTATTTTGTCCTGCATGTAGGGCTCACACTGTAATCCTAGCACCCTTTGAGGCCAAGAGAGAATCCCTTGAGCCCAGGAGTTCAAGAGCAGCCTGGGCAACATAGTGAGACTCCCAGCTCTACAAAAAAATTTTTCAATTTGCCTGGCATTGTGGTGTATGCCTATAGTCCCAGTACACAGGAGGTTAAGGTGGGAAGATTACTTGAGCCAGGGAGGTCAAGGCTGCAGTGAGCCCTGATAGTGCCACTGTACTCTAGCCTGGGCAACAGAGCAAGACTCTCAAAAAAAAAAAAAAAAGAAAGAAAGATGTGATGCCTTCAGTCCCTCATCAGCAGTTATACTAACTATGCATTCTGTAAAATTATAATTAATCTTAAATTATTTCTCAAGAAGAGAAATGGATTCTGGTTTTATATATGTTTCTGTTACAGTTGACAAGCTGGTCCTGAAACACCACCAGTGGAGGTGCGGACGGCAGTGGCAGCAGCATCCACTCACCGTGTGAGTCCTGCAGGACCCAGGCGAGGCTCTGCCTGGTCACTGAGGCAGAGCTTGGACCCCGCACTTGGGGGACAGTGGGAGGCTGCTGCCTCTAACGGCTCAGTCGAGGCTTCCGTTCTCTGTCCGTGGCTCTAACCAGGCTCTGAGCAGCCTTGAGTCCTCTTCACTCCTGGAACTCACCTGGAAAGGGTTGGTGGCTCCTTCTCTCCAGCACTTCAGTGGGTTCGGGATGGCATTGGTGGGGGGAATGTCCTGTGTGTGAGATTTCTGCACACACGTGTGAGTGTGTTATGTGTGCACGTGTGTGCATGTGACATGTGCCTCATGTGAAACTGAAGAGAAACACAGTAGATGCTCTATGGCCTCCACTCTGTGGCTCCCTTGGCAGCAGTTTTTACCCACACCCACCGTTTCTTATGCAGCAGATGTGTTTTCACACAAAACTGCCCACAGACACGCACTGTGTGAATCAGACAGAAGCCGAGCCACTTGGTGCACAGGTGTGGAGAGAGGAGAGACCCACGCCTGCTGAGGCAGCCTCTGTCCACCTTCTTAAGTCCCTCACCAAGCAGGGCTTGAACCCCTCTTCCAGTTAGAAGGTGAGGAAAGAAGGGTGGGGAGCGTCCTGCTCTCAGCTATGGCCACCGTCTCCATGCTCAGCCATGCTTGGGAAGAACCCCACACACCAGCTCCCCCAGGCCCGAGGTCCTCCCGGGGGCCCATCCTGAACTTCACCAGGGACAGATTCATTAGCACTTGGGTCTAAATGACAAATAATCAGTGGTTAAAGTCTGTTGACATTTTAGGGGGATCAAAAGTGGTGAAGGAGCTGCCTTCCGGAGGCCTCCAGGCCAGCGGGCCCTCAGCTCTCTCGGTCTCGCTGGGGCCTGCCTCCTTCTCTGGCATAGAAACAGCAGGAGCTCAAAATATTTGAAAAAGGAAGGAAAAGAGGAATAAATAAAGGAAGGAAGGTAAGAAGTAGAGAAGAGAGGTAAGAAGGAGACTGGAACCTTCTGAAATCCCCCCTTGTTGCTGACATTGAGGGGCCCCTCTCCGAGCCACACACACCTTGCAGGTTTGTATTTGTGCCCAATGGACTAGACCCAGTGGCTGAGCCGGGAGGCTGAGGCTGTCTTCCTTCTGTCACACGTGATAACGTGAAAGTGCTGTGCAAATACAGGATGTAAGAACAAGAGAAATTTAGCATTCTCATTCTGCAGTGATATGACTGATAAGTGATATGACTTGCCTTAAAACACAAACTCGAGCTCAGGGCACCCAAAGCCTCTCACTCATCTATCCGTTCACGTATCCCTGGAGCTTCTCCTGCAGGCCAGTGCGAGGAGGCCGTGACCAAAACACGGCTCCTGTCTTCAGGGAGCCTGTGACTTCCCTGGGGAACGAGGTAAACAGGTCATGAAGACGCATAGTAGCTGCTGAGGGAGCTAAATAAAAGCACGTGGGAGGAGCCTCTAACTGGGGAGTTTTTCCTGGGAGGAGTCTGGTGAGCTGAGCCCTAAAGGACCAGAGGGAGGAACCTCTGACTGGGGAGCTTTTCCTGGGAGGAGTCGGGTGAGCTGAGCCCTAAAGGACCAGAGGAAGTCAGCCACGCTAAGGAGCGGGGAAGGCCTGGGGGAGGCTGTTTCTAAGCAGGGAGCAGAATGCACGAAGCCCCCAAGGCCCATGAACTCTGTGGCAAGCCCGGGTGGGCACGACTGGGCTGGCTGCAGTCTCCCTCAGTTCCACCACCCTGTCTGCAAGGAGCAAAGAAACCCCAAAGTACTTTGTTGTCTTAGTAAACACAACAGGTGACTCAGGGTATTACGTCTCTGATTATGATAATTTGTAAAAGTAATAGAAGCACGTTTGAGAAAATGTTGAAAATCAAAGGGGAAAAATATGTACCTTTAATCTTATCACTGAGCATAGTGAACATAGCAATTTAGATATATTTCCTTGTATCCTCTTCTATATACAAAAAGAGTTAATCGTAGTTTATGTACAATTTCATAATTAGATTTTTCACTAACCTTTATAATCACTGGTGTATTTCATACGCGAGGGCCAGCACCATGGCATGCAAACTGGGGCTCAGCCTCCATCTTCCCACATGCAGCGCCGTGAGGGACCCCTGGGATTTGACGTGGAGGCAGGGGTGCCCTTCAGTCTTGCAAACTCACTGAGCACGTGCCAGGCCTGAGCCAGGCGGTGGCAAGAGAGACAGGTGATGCCACAGAGGCACTGACATTCCAGCATGGTGACAGACAAATCAGGTTTTAAAAAGTGACAGAAACTAAGCAAGATGATTACAACATGCAATTTGTGTTGTAATGAAACTATCACAGGATTTTATCAAATGAGATGATAAAGGTTTTATAAATTTGAAAGCCAAATAGAAAATTAATATGATGATGATTTTTATTAGTGACATAGTTCATTTCTAAGATAATTGATAATATGTTTAGACTAAAATTGTCATAAGAAATATTTAATATTAATGGAAACTTATGTTTATTACAGAAGTGGTAAGAAGGAGCAGGCCGGGTGACCTTTCCTGCTGATTTATTACCTTATAAAAGATTCCAGGAAGTATTTTGAAAACACCATTTTCTGGTCTCTTTAAAGCACATATGCTGGGAAAGTGGCCAAGATGCAAACTCTTAAGCTCTTGGAGGATTTCAAATGTATCCCCTCGCTAGGAGGTAGAAAATGGCACATTCTGCCTTTGATCCCCAAAGAGGAGACAAAGTTGTTTTAGAAAAATTGCTTCTCTGGAATTTAACCAGAGTAAAGTGCCCTTGTCAAGGCTGGTTCAGCAAAACGATGGAGCAGGCCACGTTTGTACTCACACAGATGAGCCCTCTTCTTGTGGCTGTTTGTCGCGCTATTTTCTCACTTTCTGATAAGATTTTCTCAGCTCAGCTGCTTCTGGTTTCAACACATGGTCATTTCCTGTTTATTTCTTTTAATTGAAACTTCAGTTTTTTACATACTCTCATCATTGTTCATGCAAAGCCTGCTTTTAAAAATTAATTTAAACAATTCAACAACTACCTACTAAAGTTACCCCAAATGAAAAGTAGGGCATTGGAAACGAACCTACATCTGCCTGAATGCCCCCATCCCTCCCTCTCCCCAGATGGCTGATGTCTGTGTCTGGGCTTCCTGCACATATGTGTCTACCTTGGAAGTATGTCCCTAAAAATCATGTGGCTTCAGTTTTAGTTGGTTGTTTTTTTTTTTTTTAATTTTGGGATTTTCACTTGCCAGGCAAAATTAAATTGTTAAAAAATTTTTTCTTTTTCTTTTTCTTTTTTTTTTTTTTTGAGACAGAGTCTTGCTCTGTCGCCCAGGCTGGAGTGCAGTGGCGCCATCTCAGCTCACTGTAACCTCTGCCTCCCGGGTTCATACAATTCTCCTACCTCAGCCTCCCGAGTAGCTGGGACTACAGGTACCAGCCACCACACCCGCCTAATTTTTTGTATTTTTAGTAGAGACAGGGTTTCACTGTGTTAGCCAGAATGGTCTCTATCTCCTGACCTCGTGATCCACCCACCTTAGCCTCCCAAAATGCTGGGATTACAGGTGTGAGCCACCGCACCCGGTCTGATTGTTAAAATTTATGCATCTGATTGCATGTCGCTATATTCTTCACTTGGAGCACTGTAAAATAACGTATGGTTGGAATGTGCAACAGTTTATCCATTTTCCTGTTAGAAGTGATTTGAATTGTTTCCAGATTTTTGCTTTCCTGTGAATGAAACATTTTTGCTGATGCCTTTGGTGCTCACAGGGAATATGAATGCCGCAGCTCCCAGCATAGGGACAAGCTGCTGTCCACAGCAGCAGCTCCAGCTTTATTCCCACCAGGAATGTGCATGGGGTCCAGGCAATCTGCATCTGCCCCTTTGCTTGGTGCCATCAGATGTCACCACTTTTTCCCACTTAAATGACAGTAAAATGTTATCTCTGTGATTTGGACTTGCATTTTCCTGATCACTAAGGATATTCGGCCTCTGCATATATTTGTTGGTTATATGTTCCATTTTTTTGAACTGTGTGCTGCCTTTTGGACACTTGTAATTGAATTATCAGTCCTTTTCTTATTGATTTATAATAGTTCTTTGAATTATAGACACTAAGCCTTTGTGCATTTTGTGCGGAACATATCTGTTTTTATTTTGTAATGTGTTTCCAATTTCTTTAAGGTAATTTGATTTTCTGTTATTGATAACTCTTGTTGGGCTTATTTAAGAAATCTTTGACTACTTCAAAGTTTGGAAGATTTTCACCTGTATTTCCTGTTTTCATTCTTCCTAATGAAATGGAGCAGTGTCAACACATGCACAATTTCTGCTGCATTCTCAAGTTGCACCGAGCAGCAGTTTGGAATTGGTGTGCTGGCTTTACTGAGGCCATATGCTTTTAAAGCTTTTTACCTAACATGGAATGAAAAATCTGGATCCTTAATTGTGTGATTTAAGGTATCAGCGTAAGTGGAAAACATATCGTAGAGAGCTCCTCCCGACCTCTTTCTGTTTACTTGGTGAAAGTGCCCACTTCCTTAGAATGGGTGCTCCCAAAATGTCCAGGGCCTTCTGGGCTCCTGGCCTTCTGGGCTCCTACAGGATGTCTTGGGAACAGTTGACACAGACTCATTCCTCTTCCGTGAGAAACCTTTTCTTGGAGTGACTAAAACAGGGTAGGACTTGGGATCATCCTGCTCTCACCGCTCTTGCTCCAAAATCAGCAAAATTCCTTCTTGCTGTGAAGAGCTTTTCAAAATATCAGATATGAGGCATTATTTTGATTCATCCTAAAAGCAAAATTACTCTGGAGTAGATGGATGCCCTAACTTTGATAATAAGTACATTGCAACTGCAAAAGGAAAATAAAATCTCAGATCCCAAACTCACTACGCCAAAAGGGAAAGTTGAGCTTGGAAACTGAGCCACAAACAACTCCCTTTCCTTCTGTTAAACAGGGACCTCCCCAGGTGGCCTCTCTCACCCTGACAGTGTAAATTAACACCTTATCTTTGTGAGTGCAGGACAATAAATTGTCCCACCACCCACCCTGAGATGAATGCCTGTTCGACTTCTTCCTCCACTCTGTGTGTACTTCATCTCGTGCAAAGTGCAGATTCACTGAGTGAGAGACAGCCACATACTCCGCTGTTCCTCTCCCCTCCTTTCACCTGCAGCTTGTGGATTCACTGAGCACTAATCAAAGCCTCACAAGAATGCAACTTCTTGTCTGATTTTTTTCTACAGAAAAAAATCTTTTTTTCCTTTCCTCCTTCCCCTCCTGCCTGCTTTTCTCCTTTAGGTATTGAGGCCCTCAAAACCCTCTTTGGAAAAAGTATGGGCCACAGGTCCTACTGCAGTCTGTCTCTTTCTCCTGAGTACATCCTCAACCTCGGCAAAATAAACCTCTAAGCTGATTGAGACCCGTATCAGGCACTCTTTGGTTTACACAACATGCAGGCAACTTGCAACATGATTGGAAAGAAATAATGTTAGTGTCCGTTATGCAAAGCCTTCCATTCTAAAAACAACACACACATTGCTTTAGTCATTTCAAGCAGATAAAAAGAAAGGAGTCCAATTTACTGACTAAAAAAATGAAAGCAGATGGATTGCACCTGGGTAAAGTATTCCTTGACTAACAAACCAGGAAATTCCAGGCTGTGTTAACATCCACAAGAGGTAAGCGAGAGTTCAGACCCAGCCTGCTGCCCAGATCCCAGGAGACACTGTCTTCTTTCGAATGTTTTCACATTTTTTGAAGTTTAACACAAATAAGAAAATACCCAAAGTGTAAACACAAGGCACTCACTCACATGGTCACCACCTTGGTAAAGGCATGTGACGTTTGCCAGGCAGAACCTGTGCCCACCCACCCAACACTCGTGCTGCAGTAGTCTAGCTACGCCTGGCTCTGAACTTCGTGGAAGGGAAGGGAACAGTGTGTGTCTCTGGGGCCTGGCTTGTTAGCCCGTGCTGCAGATCCCGTCATGATCCACTGAGACCTCCCTGGGTTCTTGCAGCTGCTGGAAGCATGGTCGGCAGAGGGCCTGCAACTGCCAGGTCCCCTGGGGGATTGCCTGGCAGGAAGACGCTGCCTTACCCAAGGCCACACCCTTTTTCCTGGGCTCCCTACGTCCACTGACCACTCCAGGTGGGAGCGAAAGGCCCACATTAAGGACCACTTGGGAGGATCATTGCAGCTTCAGAGCTTCTATAGGTCAGCTGAGGCCTCTGTTGAGACTGCATTCCAGGCAGATTCTTCCTTTGCCCAACCCTGCTTCCTTCCCTCCCACAGGTGCACTCCTAAATGAACCTCCAGCATAATCCTTTCCATGTCATTGTCTTCCTGGGAGCCAAGTCTGTGAAGCCCACACCAGCAGTGGTAAAACAGAACAGATACTGGGATGTCATCTTGGAGCTCAGTCACCTGCCACCAGAGACAGGTGCCTACTGCAAGGTGAAGCAGCGACTGGCCCTGGCACAAGGAGCCACACCAGCATCAAAACTTGGACCAGAGGTCAGCGGGGATCACAGACCAGCAGGTGTGATATAAAAGACATTTAAGAAATATCGGGAAATAATAATTAGCAGGGCCCAGAATCTCATGGCTGCTATCAACTTCGATGAACCCTTTGAAGAAGGAAGTGATTACTCAGCAACTAAAAGCTGAGTGTAAACCCTAGAGGGCTCCCAGGAGCATGAAAAGGGCTCTCAATTTAAAAAACAAAAAACAGCTCTCATCTCCTATAGGTGGAAATCATGACCCATCTCAGGACTGGATCTCAAAAGCTGCAGCTCCCAAGAAGGGCAAACCCTCAACCTCACTGGGTTTGTTGTGTCAAAGCCAGGCCCACAGATGAGGAGAATTTGTCAGCTTGGAAGCACTCTCGTGGAATATAGGAGAGGACCCCAGGCAATGGGGAAACCGTACTAGGCTGTCCCCTATGAGTGAAGCGTGAAGCTCTGCAGCAAGTGAGGTGGAAATTGTGCCAGAGCTTCCCTGGAGGGTGCCGACGTTAGGGGGTTCACAGGCTCAGGGAAGTGGGCTGAGGCAGACAAGCAGCTGGAACACTGTGACCCCCAGCATCTCCATCAGCTAAGGCTGCTGTCACAGGCACCATGGACTCGGTGGCCTCAACAACAAACATTTATTTCTCATAGTTCTGGTGGCCAGCAGCTCTGGTGTCTGCTGTGGGTGCCTTCTCCCCGTGGCAGAAGGAGGGAGAGAGAAAGAACACTGGTCTCCTCCTCTTCTTGTAAGTGTGCTAATCTCATCCTGGGGGCCTTACGATTACGGGCTCATCTGAACCTAATTACCTCCGAAAAGCTCCACCCCCAAATATCATTTACACTGGGGATTAGGGCTTCAATCTGTGAATCTGGGGAAGACGCAGACATCCGGGCCATTGCACGTGGGAAGCCCCAGGGGAATGTACGGGTGGCAGGAGAAACAGTGGCTCCCCGTGCACGTGCAGGCTGGGCTGCCAGCAGCAGAGTCCATCACCGAGGGAGGCTTTCTGACAGCTGTGGGGCAAAAGGACCCTGAACAATACAGACTAGATGGCTGCACTTCGCCTTCAGCAGCCTGGTGGATGCAGTTATCTTCATCTGTGACAAGGCTGGAGTGGCCTTGAGGGAACCTGATCCACAGAGGGTTAACAGAACAGTGTCGCTGGATGCAAAACAGACAGGCAGTGAAAAGAGGCACTATGCAGTGTATGCAATGAAAATAAGGACGATAATGAAACAGGTCATGGTCACCCCAGCACAACTCAGGGACTCGCCCAGTTTCCAGACTCACGCCAGTGAGGGGACGATTTGAAGGAGTCGCCAGGTCCACAAGAGGAAGGAGCTTGACCCACGATGGCGAATGCCCATGGCGCTGACTCCCCAGTCCTTCCTGACCCTCGATGGTGAGTCCACATGGCGCTGATGCTCTTCAGTTCTTCCTGACCCACGATGGTGGGTGCACATGGCGCTGACTCCCCCAGTCCTTCCCTTATGCAGGTGACTGCACCAGAGTAAAGGGGCAATATCCGGACTTCTCTTTCTTTCTTTTTTTTTTTTTTTTTTTTTTTGAGACGGAGTCTCGCTCTGTCACCCAGGCTGGAGTGCAGTGGCGCAATCTCAGCTCACTGCAAGCTCTGCCTCCCGGGTTCACACCATTCTCCTGCCTCAGCCTGCTGAGTAGCTGGAACTACAGGCACCTGCCACCAGGCCCAGCTAATTTTCTGTATTTTTAGTAGAGATGGGGTTTCACCGTGTTAGCCGGGATGGTCTCAATCTCCTGACCTTGTAATCCACCTGCCTCAGCCTCCCAAAGTGCTGGGATTACAGGCGTGAGCCACCGTGCACAGCCAATACTTGGACTTTTCAAAGACCCTTTAGCACGACCCCTGAAGTTGACATTTATATGCAATGGTCTGAAATGTCATCGTGGCCCTTCTGTTAAAATGGGAGCACTTTGAGGCTAAGCAGCTAATAGAACTTTGGCTCAGGTCCAGGTCACAGTGAGTCCACTGATGCAGAGGCCATTTGTTCATCACCTCCTAGGTCCCCGAATGTATAACTAGAACATACTTTCTTGGTAGGTAACATAACCTCCAAGTTGCTTCCTTCTCTGCCCAACCCTGCTCCTTCTCCTCTCCTTCCACTTGTGTTGATCTAAAGAGCTCTCCCTAACAACTCCAGCATGTTCACCTCCCGTTTTTAATTACAGATTAAATTTCTTTAGGGACCCTAGGGCTACTCAGGCTTTCTATTTCTCCTTGGGTTGTATTTGCTTAGTTGCACGTTTCCAGTAATGTGTCCATTATACCTAAACTATTATGTTAATCTCTTTTATCATTTCTAGTAGCTTCTTTTATAAATTCCATGGTATTTTCTATCTAGACCATTATGATTACTGGAAGTAGTGCCAGGTTTTTTTCCTGTCCGATCTGTATGTCTTTTATTTATCTTTATTCCTTTTTGCACTTACAGGGACTTCCAGTACAATGTTAAATTGGAAAGTACAAATGGACACATATCATGAGTGCATGTTGATTTTTATCAAAAGCATTTCAGCATCTATTGGTCATATGGTTTTTCTTTTTCATCTGTAATATGGTATGTTACACCATTTGTAGCACTCCTATGTTTGATTATAATACAATATGATACATGACATTGTTTGGTTTTCAACTTGAATAAACCTCATATTCCTGAGATAAAACTAACTTGGCTTCCATGCATCTCCCTTTTAAAATATAGATTCAATTTACTGATATTTTGCTGAGGATATTTGCCCTTCTATTCATGAGGTATATGGTCTATAGTTTTATTTTCTTGTCTTTTTCTGGTTTTGGCATCAAGAGAATGCTGGCCTTACAAAATGAATTTAGAAGGGTTTTCTTTCCTTTTTCTATTTTCAGGAAAAGAATGTGTAGAGTTGGTATTTTTTTCTTTGAATATGTGGTATAATTTCCTAGTATAATCATCTGAGCCTGAGTTTTCTTTGTTGGAAAATTAACTACAGGTTCAATTTCCTTAGTGATATAGAGTTATTCAGATTATCTTTGTTTTCCTGAATGAGATTCAGTAATTTAATCTTAATTATCAAATTCATGGGTATAACTTGTTCATAGTAACCCCTTATTTTACTTTTAACTTATGTAGGGCCTGTAGTGATATTCCTTTATTTAGTTCTGATAATGGTAACTTGTGTCTTCCCTCACTATTTATGGGCCAGTATTGCTAGAGGTTTACTAATTTTAGTGACCTTTTCAAAGTATAAGCTTTTGATTTCATTGATTTTCTTTATTGTTTTCAATATTACTGATTTAGGCTTTTATTTTTATTATTTTTTCTTCATTTTCTTTTGTGTCTTCCTCCTCTCTCTTTAGGTAGAGTTATTCCTCCTTTTCTAATATAAACATTTAATGCTAGAAAATTTCCTTCTAGTCATTGCTTTAGCTAGATCCCATAAGTTTTTACATGTTTCATTTTTATTTTATTTAGTTCAAAATATTTACTAATTTATCTTGATAGTTCTTTATTGGTCCATAGGTAACTCAAAGGTATGTTGTTTAATTTCCAAATATTTGATGATTTTTTCATCAATCTTAATATTATTCATCTCTAGTTAAATTCCCTCATTGTCAAAGCATATACATTTTGTGTGACTTCAATTAAATTCATTTTAAATTCATTAAGGATTGCTTTATGCCCCAGAATGTGGCCTATCTTGATGAATGTCCCATCTGTGCTTGAGAATATGTGCTGGAGATATCTTGAGATATCTATTCTGCTGTTAAGTCATTTTGTTTGATTGTGTTGGTCAGACATGTAGATCATTACTGATTTTTTCTCTCCTTTTTCAATTGATTACTGAGAGAGAACTACTGAAATCTCCAAATACAGTTGTAGATTACATCTCACTTCTATCAGTATTTGCTTCATGTATTTTCAAGCTCTGTTGTTAGGTGCATAAACACTTAGGATTATTATGTTTTCTTGATGAATTGACCTTTTAATCATTAGGTAATGTCCCACTTTTACCTTTTGGTTTACCTTCTTCTGCAGACTACTTTGTCTACAGCTTTCTTTTGATTGATTAGTATCTGCATGGCATATTATGACCCAGCATGTAGTTGGGCAGTATTTATTTATACAAATTAAGAGTCTTTCTCTTTTAATTGGTATATTTAGACCATTTACACTTAATGTAAGCATTAAGATATTTGGATTTATTTCTACTATGTTATTATTTCCTCCTTTGTTCCTCTCTCTTTCCCTTCCTGAATTCTATAGGGACATTTAAATAATATTAGTATTCTACTTCAACTTATCTATCTCTTTTTTTGCTATAACTCTTTATATTATTTTTTACTGGTTGCCCTAGAGATTATTAAATCCCTACACAGTCAACTTAGAGTTAATATTGCACCACTTCAAGTAAAATGTAGAAGTATTGCAGCTATATAGGTCCTTTTACCCTCCCCCATTTATATTACATTTAAAAAATATATTACATCTGCATACACTGACATTCCCTGAAATTTTTAAAATTTTGCTTTCAATAACAGTATATGTTTTAAAGATCTTAAGATAAGAAAAATTGTTTGTTATATTTTCCCATGTTTATTCTTGAAGTTCCAGGTTTTCTTCTTTTTCTTTTCTACAGCCTGAAGAGCTTCTTTTAGCATATATATATTTCATTGAATATAAAATTCTAGGTGGCCAGTCTTTTCCTTTGGCTCTTTAAAGATGTTGTTCTACAGTCTTTGGTTCTGTAGTTTCTGATGAGAAATTCACAATCATTCAAACTGCTCTTCCTCTATATGTAAGTTGTCACTTGTTTCCTCAGCTGCTTTCAAGATTTTTACTTATCAGCTTAAGAAGCTTTTGGGCTGAGGTTATGAAGTTTTCTACATTTATTAATTTGCATATGTTGAACCAACCTTGCATCCCAGAGATAAAGCCTACTTGACTGTGGTGGATAGGCTTTTTGATGTGCTTCTGGATTCAGTTTGCCAGTATTTTGCTGAGGTTTTTTGTATCAATGTTCATTAAGGATATTGGCTTGAAATTTTCTTTTTTGTTGTATCTCTGACATGTTTTTGTGTCAGGATGATACTGGCCTCATAGAATGAGTTAGAAAAGTGTCCCTCCTCCTCAATTTTTTGGAGTAGTTTCAGTAGGAATGGTACCAGCTCTTTTTTGTACATCTGGTGGAATTCAGGTGTGAATCCATCTGGTCCTGGATTTTTTTATTTTTGGTTGGTAGGCTACTTATTATTGCCTCAATTTCAGAGCTTATTATTGGTCTGTTCAGAGATTCAAGTTCTTCCTGGTTCAGCCATGAGATAGTGTATGTGTCCAGGAATTTATCCATTTCTTCTAGATTTTCTAGTTTCTGTGCATAGAGGTGTTCATAATATTCTCTGATGGTTGTTTGTATTTCTGTGGGGTCAGTGGTAATGTCCCCCTTGTCATTTCTGACTGTGTTTATTTGAATCTTCTCTCTTTTTTATTAGTCTAGCTAGTGGTCTGTTGTATTAATTTTTTCAAAAAAAAACAGCTCCTGGATTCATTGATCTTTTGAATGTTTTTCTGTGTCTCAGTCTCCTTCAGTTAAGCTCTGGTTTTGGTCATTTATTGTCTTCTGCTAGTTTTGGGATTTGTTTGCTCTTGGCTCTCTAGTTCTTTCGGTTGTGATGTTAAGCTGTTAACTTGATGTTAGGTTGTTAAGCTTCTTAAGCAGATAAACAGCTTCAGCAAAGTCTCAGGATACAAAATCAATGTGCAAAAATCACTAGCATTCCTGTACACTAACAACAGTCAAGCCAAGAGCCAAATCATGAATAAACTCCCATCCACAACTGCCACAAAAAGAATAAAATACCAAGAAATACAGCTAACTCGGGTGGCAAAAGATCTCTACAGGGAGAACTACAAACCACTGCTCAAAGAAATCAGAGATGACACAAAGAAACATAAAAACATTCCATGCTCATGAATAGGAAGATCATTAACATGGCCATTCTGCCCAAAGCAACTTATAGATTCAATGCTATTCTTGTTAAACTACCACTGAGATTATTCACAGAACTAGAAAAAAAAAACTATTTTAAAATTCAAATGGAACCAAAAAAGAGCCCAAATAGCCAAGGCAATGCTAAGCAGAAAGAACAAAGCTGGAGGCATCATGCTACCCACCTCTGAACTATTAATATTTTACAGGGCTACAGTAACCAACATAGCATGATACTGGTACAAAAACAGACACATAGACCAATGGAACAGAATAGAGAACTCAGAAATAAGACTGCACACCTACAACTATATGATCTTTGACAAACCTAACAAAAACAAGCAATGGAGAAAGAATTCCCCATTCAATAAATGGTGCTGGGATAAATGGCTAGCCATATGCAGAAAATTAAACTGGACCCCTTCCTCACACCATATACAAAAATTGACTCAAAATGGATTAAAGACTTAAATGTAAAATCCAAAACTATAAAAACCCTGGGAGACAACATAGCCAGTACCATTCGGGACACAGGCACAGGAAAAGATTTCATGAGGAAGATGCCAAAAACAATTGCAACAAAAGCAAAAATTGGCAAATGGGTTCTAATTAAACTAAAGAGCTTCTGCACAGCAAAAGAAACTATCAACACAGTAAATAGACAACCTACAGAATGGCAGATAATATTTTCAAACTGCATCTGACAGAGGTCTAATATCCAGCATCTATAAGGAACTTGAACAAATTTACATGAGAAAAACAAACAACCCCATTAGGAAGTGGGCAAAAGATATGAACAGACACTCTTCAAAAGAAGACATACAGATGGCCTTGAAATCATATGAAAAAATCTCAACATTACTGATCATTAGAGAAATGCATAATGAAAACTGCAATGAGACACCATCTAACACCAGTCAGAACTCCTATTACTTAAAAGTCAAAAAATAACAGATGGGTGGGGTGTGGTGGCTCATGCCTGTAATCACAGCACTTTGGGAGGCCAAGGCAGGCAGATCACCTGAGGTCAGGAATTTGAGACCAGCCTGGCCAACATGGTGAAACCCCATCTCTACTAAAAATACAAAAAAAATTAGCCAGGTGTAGTGGCACATGCCTATAACGCCAGCTGCTCGGGAGGATGAGGCAGGAGAATTGCTTGAACCCAGGAGACAGAGGTTGCAGTGAGCTGATATCATGCCACTGCACTCCAGCCTGGGTGGCCAAGTGAGACTCTGTCTCAAAAAAATAAAAAAATAAAAAAAAATAACAGATGCCTTTTCCATCTTACACTGTAATAATAAAACCTGTTGGAAGGATTTTAAAATGCTTAAATCATCACAATTTCCCTCTGCATCAACATTTCTGACTTGGATTTTCAGTCCCCCTAGGGCAATAGGATCCACTAGCTAAGTTTTCCTCAAGGAACTTACAGGAATCTGCCTGCTACATATGATTTATGTCATTCATTTGGCACTTACCAAGTGTTGTCAAGTGTTAGGTAGCCTTTAAATTAATGCATGTGTCATCTTTATAAACAATTTGGGGATATTTTGGCCCCAAGTAACAGAAAAAAGTAGAGGCTTAAACAAGATAGACCTTCATTTCTCTATAATATCCCAACATTGGTATAATGATTCATAGCGTCCGGGAGCCAGGCCCTCACATTTTGTTGTATTGTCATGCAGGGCTTCCATTGCCAAGATCCTCATGGTCCAAGGTGGCTATAAGGAGCTGGAATCCAGCCATCATGTCTCCATTCCAGAAAGAAATATGACAGAAGAAATGAGGAAAGATATGCTCTTCTTTTTAAGGATGCTCCTTGAAATTGCCCGTACATCCCATTGGCCAGACCTTACTTTGCCACACCTAGCTATAAAAGAGGTTGAAAAATAAGGCTATATCTTAGATGACCATATGCCCAGTAAAAAAACAAAACACATTGAAACAAAACCAATTTCTGAAAATGAAGGGAAAAGGAAGGTTGGCCATTTCTGTCACAAAGGGCAAGATCTATTTTCTTTTTTCCCCACTGCAATGTGGTGAGTGCACAATATTTTTATCAAATACAATCAGCATGTAATGCATTTAGAAGCTTCCTGAGTTAAATCTAAAAGTTATTTTGGGGGAATTCCACTTTTGTTAGTGGTAATTAGGTAATTTGTCTCATGAGAACAATTAGAAAATCTGGACAAAGAAAAAAAGGTTTACTTGAAGGTCTCAGAGAGACACCAAGGATATGGAGCCAAGATCCAGGAAAATAAAGAAACCCAGGGATGCTTATCTACAGAGATGCTTTCTGACTCCTGGAAAGGCAAAGACAAATGAGAGATGGGGAAGCTTAGCAGAACCTTTGTTCTGGTGATGAGCCTTTGTTCATCCCTCTGGGATGAAAACTGGAACCTAGGGCCTGCCAAGAAAATAAGTGACTTGCTTAACATAAAGGATGATGCAGAAATAGACCAGCCCTTGCAAAGGCTAAAGCCAGATTAAAATCCTCTCAACCTTCAGGGTTGAATTAAGGTGATCTGGGATTGCTAATCCTATTAACCTAGCTGTCTGTTAAAAATAAACATAAATTATCTCTGAAGAAATATACCATCATCCTAGGCCTTAAACACTCCTGTATGCTTTTCATATAAAATATACATTCCTAAATTTAAAAATCCCTTCTCTCAAGGAGATATGTGATTTGAAAAATTAAATAATAGACAATAGAAACAGATCTACAAGATCAGTGAAAATATCAGAAAATACTTTATAATAAACATTTTTAATACAAAAGGCAATAAAAGACAAGACTGAAAATTTTGACAGATAAATTGAGATAAGATACAAGGAAAAAAAATTCTAGAACTGAAAGGTAAAATAAATGGAACTAGGAACTCAGTGGATAAGGTTAAAAGCAATTTAGACAGAGCTAAAAAGACAATTAGTGGAATTGGAAGATAGTTCAGAAAAAAATGTACAGAACAAAGAATGAACAAAAGGAATAGAGTAAAAAGAGATTAAGAGGCATAGTGGATATAGTGAAAAAGTATGGCATGGCTACAACTGTAATTGCAGGACAGGGAAGAGAGAATAAGGCAGAAAAACTGTTTGAAAAAATAGTGAATTGAAAATGTAAAAGACATTAAATATCAGATTCAAGAGTCACTATGGACCCCAAACAAAATAAATTCAAAGTCACATTAAAACACACCGTAGTATAACTTGCTGAAAGTAATAATAAAGAGAAAATCTCTCAAGTGGGGAAAAGGAAAAGACAATTATTAAATAAAGCCATAATTAGAAGATATTTTACAGGAAAAAAAAACCAGGATATTTTTTAGGAAAAAAAACAGAAGAAAATAGAATGATATCGCTAATTGCTATAAGAAATAAGAACAACATGAAATTTTATATCTAGTGAAAATCTTCATTGATGAGGAAATTCAAACATTAAAACATCTTTGACAAATAAAACTGAGAGAATTTGTCACAAGAAGGGCTACTTTGCTAAAGAAAACACATAAATTCTGCTTAAATACTTTAAGCCAGAGGACAGTGATACTGGATGATAGAATCTTAGAAATCCAGGAAGAAATAAGTAATAATGAAACGAGTGTTTGTGGTAGATCCAAATAATGGTGAACTTTATATAACAACAACAACAACAATGTCTGGAGAGGTTTAAAATAGACGTACATGATAAAAATAGTATCTTAGTCAGTTTGGGCTGCTATAACAACATACCATGGACTGGTTCACTTATCAACGACAGAAATTTATTTCTCACAGTTCTGGAGGCTGAAAGTTCAAGATCTGGGTTCCAGCATTGTTGGGTTCTGATGAGGGTTCTCTTTCGGGTTGCAGACTTGAGATGCTGACTTCTCATTGTATCTTCCACATGATGAAAAGAATGCAAGCTAGCTCTCTGTCTCACTAACTGATAGAACAAGCAATTTAAACATATCAGGATACAGTTAAATAAATTTGAAGTAATTAACATGATGGAAAAATAGTCCCCAAAACATCAAAATATATATTTTTTGAGTACACAAGAAACAGTAACCGAAAAATTATATCTATTGAGTCACAAAGCATGTCAGAACAGACTTTAAGGGCTGAAATTGTATCAAATATTTTTTGATCACAATTCAACTAAATTAGGTAAAATAAAAAAAGACATAATTAGAAAATCCCTTTATAAATTAAGAAATCTACTTCTGCACTAACTGGATACTTTATTTTAATGAATCACTTTAATTTTTAATGTGTAATATGTAATTGTGGTTATGTTTGCAAGAAAGGTGTATGGTGGCTTTCTGTTCTATTTTCTCTCCTTTTGTATATTTCTCAAAATATCTGTGATAACAGGTAAAAACACTTTTAAATAAGTGATGGATCAAAACAAATCAAAAGAGAAATTAGAATACATTAGGAACTGAAAAATAATGAAAATACTATTTATGAAAACATTTCATATGCACACCTAATAAGCATAGCAAAAGCTTTGACAATTGAGCTGATATTGTAATTACCACCTATATAAAGTGAGATTGAATTTTTAGTCTAAACTTAACTAAGTTGATTGCCTGATAAAACAAAATGTCAACATCTGCAGAGGATGTGACAGAACCCATACTCTCAAAACAGAATAGGCTATATGCTAAGGATACCATTCCAAATTACTCAACATAGTAGGAACCAAAAATATGCCAAATTCTCAATGGAATTGATAATCAACATATGCCACCCCTAAGATGACTCAGATGTTGGAATTATAAGAGAGACTCAGAGGCAGCTGTTGTAAACATGCTCTATGCAGTAAAAATGAACACTTTTGAAATGATGAAAGTATGGAAATTCATAGCAGAGAGATAGAAACTATGAGAAAGAACCAACTGGATATTTTAGAACTGAAAACTACAAAATTTGAAATAACAATAATAAAAATAACAATAATCATATTAATAAAAAACCTTATTGGATAGGCTCAATAGGAGAATGGAAATAACAAAGGAAAAGGGCAGTGAACTTGAAGATAGAGCAACAGAATTTATCCACAGACAGAAAAAATATATTTAAAAATTATAAATGCCTGATGTAGCTGTTGGACAATATCAAAAAGTATAATGTCAAAGCGATTGGAGTCTTGAAAGGAGAAAAGAAAGAGATTGGTGAAGAAGAAAAATTATAGAAAATTATGACTGAAACCTTAAAGCTTGTGTTTCAAACTTGGTTAGACACATAAACTTGCACACTGAAGAAGTTCAGTGAACTCCAACTAGGATAAACTAAAAACAAACAAATTGCATCTCGATATATTACAATTAAACTGCTGAAAACCAAAGACAAATACAAATATTTTAAGGGTTTTTCTTTCCTTTTTAAAAACTTTTATTTAAGTTCAGGGGTACATGTGCAGGGTTGTTACATAGGTAAACTTGTGTCATGGGGTTTTACAAATTAGTTCATCACCCAGGTATTAAGCCTAATACCCATGAGTTATTTTTCCTGATTCTCTCCCTCTTTTCACTCTCCACCCTCCGAGAAGCCCCAGTGTGTGTTGTTCTCCTGTACGTGTCCATGTGTTCTCATCATTAAGCTCCCACTTATAAAGGAGAACATGGGATATTTGGTTTTCTGTTTCTGTATTAGTTTGCTCCATCCATGTCCCTGGAGAGAACATCTCATTCTTTTTTATGGCTGCATAGTATTCTATGGTGTATCTGCATGCATGTGTCTTTATAATAGAACAATTTAAATTCCTTTAGGTATATACCCAGTAACGTGATTGCTGGGTCAGATGGTATTTCTGTCTTTAGGTCTTTGAGGAAACACCACGCTGTCTTCCACATTGGTTGAACTAATTTACACTCCCACCAACAATGTATAAGCATTATTTTCTCTCCAGAACCTCATCTGTTTTTTTGTTGTGTGTTTTTTTGTTTTTGTTTTTGTTTTTGTTTTTGAGATGGAGTCTCGCCCTGTTGCCCAGGCTGGAGTGCAGTGGCACGATTTCAGTTCACTGCAACCTCCATCTCCTGGGTTCAAGCAATTCTCCTGCCTCAGCCTCCCGAGTAGCTGGGATTACAGGCATGTGCCACTACACCCAGCTAATTGTTCACTACAGCACAATTCCCAATAGCAAAGACATGGAATCAACCTAAATGTCTATCAAAGATAGACTGAATAAAGAGAGGAAGAATTTGAGTCTCACCTTGAAAGATTGATAGGATATGCATAAGCAAAAAAGGAATGATTGTAGCAATGAGCAGAGGTTTAGAAAACTAAAGGCAAGTTCATGACCAGGTAGCTGACAAAACTGGTGGAACCAATGAAAGGGCTCTGGGGAACAATAATCAGAAATGGGACTACAAGAGCTGGCTGGTGTACGATTGGAGAGGCCCTGAAAATAGGCCAAAATGACTGGATTATATTTGTTGAAAACATATAGACAAGGAGTGAAGCTGATTAATATCTAATTATTCTAAGAACTGAAGTTACCCAAGGACTGATCAAAGCCATGAAATACAGTCCAAGTTACCTTACACTAGTGATTTTGTATTAAAGAATTTTCGGAGAGATGGAGCTGGGACAACTCCAGTTTTCTGGTTCAAGTGACCTCCAGGCTGTGGTGCTGGTAACAAAGGCAGGGAATCCACTTGCACATTGAGTTTTGAATGGGGTAGAACTGGATCATGCTGGCGAATGTACAAATAGCAGCAGTCATAGGTCACATGCGGTCTCTGCCTGGTGTGGTGTGTGCATCACCTTCGTCGTGTCGCAGGTATGTTATCGTCTCTGCTTTGTGGATGGAGAGGCTGATGAGGATGGGCAATGTGTCGGGGCAGAACTGAATGTGAACACACTGCTGAGCTCCAGAGCCTGTGCTCTCAATCACTATTACACACAGTGCCTCTGTCAGACACAGGCGGGAGTTCAGGTGAAAGATATGAGCCCAGCTCAGAGTCCAAAGTCACTGAGTTATAAATGGTCACTGCAGTCACAGGAGTGCATAAAACTTATTCTCAGGCCAACCAGTTCTTAGTGAGCACCTACCTATGTACAGGGAAGGTCCTGAGTTGCCACTGAAGACCCAGAGCCATGACACAACCTTCCTCCAAATAGTTCCCATCAAATGACTCGATTTGGGGGAAAACAGACAGGAAAACAACCATCCTATTATAGCATGATAGTGCCAAAATAAAATGTTTATATGTTTCAAAGAAACACGGGTAAAAGGAATGTATAGTGAACTAGTTTAGAATAAAGAGAAGAGGGAACTCCAGAAACATTGACAGTTTAGGAGATAGAGGGAAAACAGGCCACATAAAATGTGATCAAGTAAACTGGCCCAAGGCAAAGAGGGGGAACCAAGGGTGGCAAAAGAAGCCAACACAGGAGAGCCTCGAGCAGGGCTGGCCCCATAAAACGCCACCGAGAAGCCAGGCTGACCAAGGCTGACCCTCGCAATTGGACAACCCGGAGTCCACAGTGGACCTTGTCCACACGGTTTTCGTGGCATGTCAAAGAGGTCAGCAGAACTGCAGTGGGGGGAGAAGCGGATGTCTGACGAGGAAGAGAAGGCAGTGAGCCTCATTTGCTCTTCAGAAAGCTTTGCTGGGATGCTACAGAGAGAGCTAAGCATTTAGGTTGAGAGTGCATTTGAGAATGTTTTACATTTATGTTTATTTGTTTTTTTCCCTCCTGGAATGTGAAAGATTTGGGCATGGTACCACCCTATGGTAAAGAGCTAACAGAGAAAGAAATGTTGACATCTTAAGAGAAAAGGGTAAATAAATGGAGAAGGCCCTAGAGGAAACGGGGAGGTTATGGGATAAGTCAAGATCTCCTACTGAAGCTGAGGACTCTTAATCTTCTGTAGTTCTTTGGAGGACTCAATGAGCCAGCCACCTATAAGTCCTGTAAACTCTTAACCCTTATGAAAATTCTAAAAATGTGAAAATAACTATAAAAAAGGTACTCTTTCAAGTTTGATATCTGTTGATCTCTTCAATGGTTTCCACTGCCAATAAGTTGGAGTAGGAGTAGGTTAGCACAGGTAGCAAATAGCAGTTTAAGTCTGAATCAGCTATGCTTTTCTTTTTTTTTTTTCAGATGGAGTTTTGCTCTTGTTGCCCAGGCTGGAGTGCAATGGCTCAATCTTGGCTCACTGCAACCTCCGCCTCCCAGGTTTAAGCAATTCTCCTGCCTCAGCCTCCTGAGTAGCTGGGATTACAGGCATGTGCCACCACACCAGGCTAATTTTCTATTTTTTTTTTTTAATAGAGACAGGGTTTCTCCATGTTGGCCAGGCTGGTCTCAAACTCCCGAACTCAGGTGATCTGCCTGCCTTGGCCTCCCAAAGTGCTGGAATTACAGGCGTGAGCCACCACGCCCAGCCCAGCTATGCTTTTAAAAACTCAAAAGCAAAGGAAACCTTTATGAAACTCCTATTTCAAAAATAAATTATTGCTCAATGTGTTCCTCTTGGAACCCCTTTTTAGAGGAGAGCAACTTGGACAACCCCTACGCACAGAATGCAACTTAGGAGGAGAAATGTCAGAAGATGTCGGTGAACCTGGCACTGAAAGGAGAGTCAGAATCTGTGTTACAACTCCAAGTAACCTCCTTCTGAATTAGATCTGCTGAAAAGCACTTGTGTTTCATTCAATTTTCCTAACATCAATCTGTCAGGAGATTTGTTCTCATTTCACTTCAGACCATATGGTTTAAATATAGATAGACTCCTACTTTTCTTCTACCTTTCCAGCTAAATATGACTCTATTTTTACTGAAGGGAAAATTCACTGGTGGTCAGAGCATGTCTGCTTTAAGGATGAGTTCATTGCCAAAGAGATGCCTTGGGTGGTCTCACCCTTCCAGCGACATCTTCATTGCCTGCAGCATGGAAGTGTGGAATTTTTACTGAGCTCTCTGATCTCACCAATGCTAGCTTGAGTCAGACTTTATGAGTTATTTCCTTTAAACAATTAGAGAACAAGAGGTCCTGGGTTAACAAAACAAAATAGTAAGACAACTTGCCTTATTGGATTTATGTTAATATCTTTATTTTCTGGTTCAGCCATACAGTTTTCACATCAGCAAAAGTGTTGTTTTTTTCAACTCAACAGAAATTTCCTGACTTCTCTGCTCTTACATGTTTTCAGAGTAAGCTCAAGGGCAACACAAAAATAAGTTTTAGCTTCGTATTTTTCATTATCAAATCTAAATTTTGAACTCAATTTCATCAAAGTGAGATGTAGAATATTTTGATATGGCAATTTCTTTAGCTACGAAACAAGACTTCATGATCTTTATTATGATTAAACTTTATAGCCTCATTAATTTTCCTTCTCTTCAGGTGAACACCCATTTGCTTAGCAATCCAATAATGAGTGCCTTAGGAAGTGTTTAGGGTTAGCCAGTCTTAAGGAAAAGCAACTGAAATTTTTACCCCAAATTGGCAGGAAATAAGTTACTTAAAATATTAAATATGCCTTTTGGGCCCATTTTTCCTGCAGTATAGATTTGTATTTTACAAACTTCATAAAATGATCTAGAGGTGAAGGCTGCTGTCACTAGCTGAAATGGGCTGACACATGATGACACAAAGCAGTGTGGTGTGACATGTGCCCCACTAGGTTACTTAAGTGTGTATGTCACTGAAAGCTGAAGGTCCAGCAGCCGGCCAAGTCCATGGCACCCAGCTGAGAAGCAGGTGTCCCTGAGAACCCCAACATCCTGGGCTGTGTGTGGGGACATAAAGCAAGGAAAACAGCCCCATTGCACACACACTGCAGGCAGAGACCCAGCAAATTAGCTTAAAAGCAGCTTGGAATTGGGAGGTAGGGTGACCTCTAGAGCTGTCCTGCAACCATCCAGGAGTGCCCTGTGTGTGAGTC
This sequence comes from Homo sapiens, assembly GCF_000001405.40. NCBI lineage: Eukaryota > Metazoa > Chordata > Mammalia > Primates > Hominidae > Homo > Homo sapiens. The sequence continues at coordinate 159,176,479 of NC_000007.14, read as the reverse complement.
CCAGTAAACTCACCTACTCGTCAGGCTGGACTCATCCGAGCCATTCTTGTCATTCTTTGATCTCTCGGCTCATTCCCAGTTGGGGGGTGAGTTACAGTCCCAAGTTTTTTCTCCTAACAGACAGTTATCTTCACCCAGTTATATTCTCATTTCCCTTCAAATCCCTGCTACTTCTTACCCCCAAGGAAACATAAACAGTGTTTCATAGTCATATATGCTGAAAATATGTCTCCTCTCCAGTGGGCCACGTGAGACATTTAAGTATCAAAAAAATGTACCGAGACCCAAAAAACCTCAGTATTATTGAAATAATTTTTTGGTTAATTAAACAGAGACTAACGAAAACACACATTTATTCAACTTGCTATATGCCAGAAAAGCTAAAGTCCCTTCAGAAGTATTAACTTACTGATTCTGAAGCGTGGCAAGTCCTGGGTCTGGCAGAGCCCTCAGTGCGTTGATGCAGGCGGCAGACACGCAGGTGGAGGCATGAGCAGAGCTGAGATGTTCTGCTAAGAAATTGGAGACATTCAGCAGGGCGTGGAGGAGTTGGAGCTGGATGCAGGTGAGATTTGGAAGCTAAATGGATGACGTGCAGGGAGATGAAGGACACCAGGAATCCTGCTGTGTCAGAAGGAGAACCCACAGGAAATTCGGCAGCCCAGAAGGAGAACCCACAGGAAATTCAGCAGCCCAGGAGAACCCACAGGAAATCCGGCAGCCCAGAAGGAGAACCCACAGGAAATTCGGCAGCCCAGGAGAACCCACAGGAAATCTGGCAGCCCAGGAGAACCCATAGGAAATCCGGCAGCCCAGAAGGAGAACCCACAGGAAATTCAGCAGCCCAGGAGAACCCACAGGAAATCCGGCAGCCCAGAAGGAGAACCCACAGGAAATTCGGCAGCCCAGGAGAACCCACAGGAAATCTGGCAGCCCAGGAGAACCCATAGGAAATCCGGCAGCCCAGAAGGAGAACCCACAGGAAATTCAGCAGCCCAGGAGAACCCACAGGAAATTCGGCAGCCCAGAAGAACCCACAGGAGATTTGGCAGCCCAGAAGGAGAACCCACAGGAAATCCGGCAGCCCAGAAGGAGAACCCACAGGAAATTCGGCAGCCCAGGAGAACCCACAGGAAATCCGGCAGCCCAGGAGAACCCACAGGAAATTCGGCAGCCCAGAAGGAGAACCCACAGGCCTCGTTTTACTGCACTTCCCTTTATTGTGTTTCACAGGTGCTGCTTTTCTCACAAACTGAAGGTTTGTAGCAACCCTGAATTGAGTGAGGCTATAGGTGCCATTTTTCCAACAGCATGTGCTCACTTCATGTTTCTGTGTCACATTTTGATAATTACCATAATATTCCAAACTTTTTCATTATTACAAATGTTATGGTAATCTGTGACTGTTGATCTTTAATGTTACTATTGTAATGGTTTGGGGACCCATATAAGGTGGCCAACTTAATACATGTTGTAAGTTCCAATGGCCCCACCAACCAACCTTCCCCCCATCTCTCTCCCACTCCTTGGGCCTCCCTATTTCCTGAGACTCAAGAATATTTAAATTTGGCAAGTGCCTCTAAGTGCTCACATGAAAGAAAAAGCCACACCTCTCTCACCTTAAATCAAAAGCTAGAAATGGTTAAGCTTAGTGAGGAACCCATGTTGAAAGGCATGAAAGACCGAAATCGAGGCCTGTTGTGAAAAATGGTTAGCCAAGCTGAGAATGCAAAGGAAAAGTTCATGAAGGAAAGTAAAAGTGCTGCCCCAGTGAACAAATAAATGATGAGAAAGCAAAACAGCCTAATCCAGAGGTGACAGGCTGAACTCTCTTCAATTCTGTGAAATCCAAGAGAGGAGAGGAAGCTGCAGAAGAAAAGTTGGAAGCTCACAGGGGTTGGTTCATGAGGTATAAGGAAAGAAGCCATCTCCATAACATAAAGTGCAAGGTGAAGCTGCAGTAAGTTATCTAGAAGATCTAGCTAAGATCAGTGATGAAGGAGGCTACACTAGACAACAGATTTTCAGTGTAGGTGAAGCAGCCAGCTTTTGGAAGAAGATGCCACCTAAGACCTTCATAGCTAGAGAGGAGAAGCCAATGCCTGGCTTCAAAGCTTCGAAGGACAGGCTGAGTCTCTTGTGAGGGGCTAATGCCACTGGTGACTTGAAGTTGAAGTTAATGCTCATTTACTATTCCAAAAATACTAGGGCCTTTAAGAATTATACTAAATCTACTCTACCTGTGCTCTATAAACGGAACAACAAAGCCTGGATGACAACACATCTGTTTACAGCATGGTTTACTGAATATTTTAAGCCCACTGTTGAGACCTACTGCCCAAAAAATATTCCTTTCAAAATATTACTGCTCATCGACAATGCACCTGGTCACCCAAGAGCTCTGATGGAGAATGAATGTTGTTCTCATGCCGGCTGAAACAACAACCATTCTTCAGCCCATGGAGTCATCTAAACTTTTGAGTCTCATTTAAGAAATATATTTCATACATCCGTAACTGCCATAGATAGTAATTCCTCAGATAGATCTGGGCAAAGTAAATTGAAAACCTTTCAGAAAAAAATTCACCACTCTAGATGTCATTAAGAACATTTGGGATTCACGAGAGGGGGTCAAAATATCAACATTCACAGGAGTTTGGAAGAAGTTGATTCCAGCTCATGGATGACCATGAGGGGTTCAAGACTTTGGTGGAGGAAGGAACCAGAGATGTGGTGGAAAGAGCAAGAGAACCAGAGTTAGAAGTGGAGCCTGAAGATGGGACTGAACTGCTGCAATCTCATCATCAAACTTACATGGATAAAAAGATGCTTCTTATGAGTAAGTAAAGAAAATGACTTAAGATGGAATCTACTCCTGGTGAAAATGCTGTGAATATTGTTGAAATGACAACAGAAGATTTAGAATATTAAATAAACCTAGTTGATAAAGCAGCAGCAGAGTTTAGGAGGTTGATTCCAATTTTGAAAGAAGTTCTACTGGGGATAAAATGTTGTCAAACAGCATCATGATAGAGAAAGGTTTTGTGAAAGGAAGAGTCAGTCAATGCAGCCAACTTCATCATTGTTTTAAGAAATTGCCACAGCCATCCCAGCTTTCAGCAGCGCCCACTCTGATCAGTCAGCAGCCATCAACATCAAGGAAAGACCCCATCATCAGCAAGGATTTCCACCTGCTGACAGCTCAGATCTCATTAGCATTTTTAGCAATAGTCTTTCAATTAACGTATATACAATGTTTCTTAGACATAATGCTATTGCACACTGGAAAGACTACAATATAGCATAAAAATAACTTTTATATGCATTGAAAAACCAAAAAATTTGTGTGACTTGCTTTATTGTGATATTCATTTGATTATGGTAGTCTGAACTAGATCCACAATATCGCTAAGGTATGCCTGCATGAAAAAAGTTCAAATACCTAACAGGACTTCTCACCAGCTGTCTATAAAATCAGGATTGCTATTTTTTCAATTACCCAGCTATGGGTGAATTTTATAGCCAACAGAAGAGGCTGTAATATATTCCTACAAAGAAAACTGAAAACAAAGCCATTGAGGGAGGCAGACACGTTTAAATCATTACAACCTGTGCCAACTGAGGAGCAATCAGTATTTCTGATAGTTTGTCATTATCAGATGTTTGTACCTCAGTCATGGCTGTTTTGACGGGACTACACAGACGGACAGGAAAGATGCCAAGTGCAGGCGGGCGTTCCCCCAGGGACACGATCGTAGTGCGGGTCGGGGGCAGCTGAGTGTTCACAGGAGGGACCTGGACAGCTCAAAAAGGAAGAAGCTAAAAGTCACATGACCTACTTCAAAATTGTACCCACGAGTAACTCTGAAATACATTATAATTCCCCCACATTCTTGGACTAAGAGTTTGCAAATGTTAAGAAACAGAATTTCTTCTGTCTGGAAAACAAAATAATAAATCCTGTTCCTACAGGTCAATCCACCCACAGGAAATTTGGAAGCATGTTCTTCTGGCTTGGTGTGTAGGAGCTTCTGGTTTAGCTGAGGATTCCAGGAAAATATTGCTTTTCAGGGACTCCTAATTATTCAAGAAGAAGGAAAAACCAAGTGCCCACGGTACAAATGCAGCCTGCCAGACCCACCTGAGGCGTGGGGGCCAGTTCCGGATGCCCGCCCAATGCCCTTTCCGTCTCAAACGGCATCGTGACAGATGACCTGAGGCATGCGGGCCAGTTCCAGACACCGGCCCAGTGCCCTTTCCGTCTCAAACGGCATCGTGACAGATGACCTGAGGCATTCGGGCCATTTCCACACACCGGCCCAGTGCCCTTTCCGTCTCAAACGGCATCGTGACAGATGACCTGAGGCGTGGGGGCCAGTTCCAGACGCCGGCCCAGTGCCCTTTCCGTCTCAAACGGCATCGTGACAGATGACCTGAGGCGTGGGGGCCAGTTCCAGACACTGGCCCAGTGCCCTTTCCGTCTCAAATGGCATCGTGACAGATGACCTGAGGCGTGCGGGCCAGTTCCAGACGCCGGCCCAGTGCCCTTTCCGTCTCAAACGGCATCGTGACAGATGACCTGAGGCGTGGGGGCCAGTTCCAGACACTGGCCCAGTGCCCTTTCCGTCTCAAATGGCATCGTGACAGATGACCTGAGGCGTGGGGGCCAGTTCCAGACACTGGCCCAGTGCCCTTTCCGTCTCAAACGGCATCGTGACAGATGACCTGAGGCGTGGGGGCCAGTTCCAGACGCCGGCCCAGTGCCCTTTCCCTCTCAAACGGAATCGTGACAGATGACCTGAGGCGTGGGGGCCAGTTCCAGACGCCGGCCCAGTGCCCTTTCCGTCTCAAACGGCATCGTGACAGATGACCTGAGGCGTGGGGGCCAGTTCCAGACACTGGCCCAGTGCCCTTTCCGTCTCAAATGGCATCGTGACAGATGACCTGAGGCGTGCGGGCCAGTTCCAGACGCCGGCCCAGTGCCCTTTCCGTCTCAAACGGCATCGTGACAGATGACCTGAGGCGTGGGGGCCAGTTCCAGACACTGGCCCAGTGCCCTTTCCGTCTCAAATGGCATCGTGACAGATGACCTGAGGCGTGGGGGCCAGTTCCAGACACTGGCCCAGTGCCCTTTCCGTCTCAAACGGCATCGTGACAGATGACCTGAGGCGTGGGGGCCAGTTCCAGACGCCGGCCCAGTGCCCTTTCCCTCTCAAACGGCATCGTGACAGATGACCTGAGGCGTGCGGGCCAGTTCCAGACACTGGCCCAGTGCCCTTTCCGTCTCAAATGGCATCGTGACAGATGTCCAGTCCCGTAGTCCGTTACACGAGGGGTAGGGAGGAGGCTGCCCCTGGCCAGAAGCGGGTCAGTGGCCACGAAGCCTGAAAGTTGAAGTGTTTGCTTTTCAGGAGAAGCTGCATTGCCCACGGGGCCGGCTGATTAGTGAGGGAGGTTTCCTAAGACGTGAAATCACCAAGATCAAGGAAAAGCTTTAAAGCATAACACACCAGTGTCCTGCTCACAGGATCCTCAGAGCCGTCTCGATAGTGATGCTGTGATCGTCCGTGTTTCTGCTCACGGGATCCTCCCAGCAGCCCCGTTGGTCAGGCCTTGGTTATCTGTGTGTTTCTGCTCACGCGATCCTCACAGTGGCCCCGTCAGTGATTCTGTGATTATTTGTGTGTTTCTGCTCACGTGATCCTCAGAGTTGCCCCGTCAGTGAGCCATGATCATCCGTGTTTCTGCTCACGCGATTCTCGCAGCGGCCCCATTAGTGAGCCGTGATCATCTGTGTGTTTCTGCTCATGCGATCCTCACAGTGGCCCCCTCAGTGATTCTGTGATTATCTGTGTTTCTGCTCACGCAATCCTCAGACCTCCCTGTCAGTGAGCCATGATCATCCATGTTTCTGCTCACGCGATCCTCAGAGCTGCCCATTCAGTGAGCCATGATCATCGTGTTTCTGCTCACGCAATAGTCACAGCAGCCCCGTCAGTGAGCCATGATCTTCCACGTGTTTCTGGTCATATGATCCTCACAGCAGCCCCGCCAGTCAGGCCGCGATCATCCATGTTTCTGCTCACGGGATCCTCACAGAGGCCTCGTCAGTGATTCTGTGATTATCTGTGTGTTTCTGCTCACGTGATCCTCAGAGCTGCCCCGTCAGTGAGCCGTGATCATCCATGTTTCTGCTCACGGGATCCTCACAGCGGCCCCGTCAGTGATTCTGTGATTATCTGTGTGTTTCTGCTCACGCGATCCTCAGAGCTGCCCCGTCAGTGAGCCGTGATCATCCATGTTTCTGCTCACGGGATCCTCACAGCAGCCCCGTCAGTGATTCTGTGATTATCTGTGTGTTTCTGCTCACGTGATCCTCAGAGCTGCCCCGTCAGTGATTCTGTGATTATCTGTGTGTTTCTGCTCACGCGATCCTCAGAGCTGCCCCATCAGTGAGCCATGATCATCGTGTTTCTGCTCACGCGATCCTCATGGCGGCCTTGTCAGTGATGCCGTGATTTTCTTCACCCTCAGGCGAGGTCCGGGGCCCTCTGAAGCCTGCGTCACCTGTGCGGGGTGACTGCAGGGATGAGGCAGCATTGGGATGGAGCCCGGTTATGCCCTCGATCACTGCACCCACTGACAAAGCCCAGGTGTGTGGAGAGAGAAGCCTGGGAATGGCCGTGGCCTTGCGGGCTGGGTGTTTAAACTCCCATCTCCCAGGACAACCTTGATAAAGGACTCAGAGTCCCCCAGGTTAAGCCAGTGCTGTGGGAAGGGCGCGGCGGAGGAGCACGTGGTGTGGTGAGTCATCTCTACCACTGGAGATGTGGACCCCACCCCAGGCATGGCATCAGGCCTGCCTTTCACTTGGTAGGTGGCATGGAGTCGCTCGTGTTCCCTCAAAGTTCACCCCAGGATGCAACAACGCCATTTGGGAACAGGCAATGACACATCTCCCAGGTCCAGCAAGCACGCCCAGGCCCTGCGCCGTCTCCAGCCGCACGCTCACCTTTTGGATGTCGCTGTGGATTTCGGTGCTCACTCGTGTTCCCTGGCCTTCTGGCCTACCCACGGCATGCATGTGGGGTCTGAACTGAGTTTGGGCCGTAGAAACAAGCAGAGAAAATCTGAAATCATTCAAAATATCTCCCTGTACTGGAAACACATGACCCTGAGCTTGTGAGAGGAGCAGAAGCTTAAGTGAGAGAAAGACCCCGAGGGAGGGTGAAGGCAGCGACCACAAATGAGCCCTTCAGGAGAGGATCCTTTCTTCGCTACTGTTAGAATACTTGTAATTGACAAATCGTAATTGTGTTACATTTCTGAGGTAGGATTTGATGTTACGATATATATACAATGCGGAATGATTGAATCAAGCTAGTTAACATCACCTCAAATACTTGATCCTTATTTTGTGGTGGGAGCATTTGAAGTTAAGAGAATTGCTCTTATCGATTTTGAAACATATACAGGCATCCGTTGGTATCCACGGGGGATGGGTTCCAGGATCCACAAGACACCAAAATCTTATACTCCAGTCCCACAGTCGGCCCTGCAGAACCCACAAATACAAAAAGTCAGCCCTCCGCATACACGGGATTCTCATCCCTCAGTGTTTGGCTGTGGACGAGGAATCTGCTGTGCAGACCTGACTGTGTGGACCTGTGCAGCTCAGGCCCTCATTGTTCCCAGGTCAGCTGGCATTAGCTGTAGTCACCCTGCTGTGCAATAGATCATTAGACGTATTCCTCCTAACTAAAGCTTTGCAGCCTTTGACTGACATCTCCCCATCTCCTCCTTCCTCCTTCCCCAGCCCCTGGTAACAACCATCCCGCCTCTGCTTCCATGAGTTCAGCCCTTGTAGTGAGGTCGTTCAGTATCTGCCTTTCTGTGCCTGACTTATTTCACTTAACATGACGTCCTCCAGGTTTGTCCATGTTGTCATAAGTGACAGAATTTTCTCCTTTTCTAAGGCTGACTAGTATTCCATTGTGTAATACCACATTTACTTCAGCCATTCATCCTCTGATGGACACAGGTTTCTTCCACATCGTGACTGTGGTGAGTAGTCCTGTGGTAAACATGGGGGTGCAGGTGCCTGTGCGACATACTGATTCCATTTCATTTGGCTGTAAGCCCGGTAGTGGGATCGCCGGAAACTATGGTAGTTGTAGTTTTAGTGTTTTGAGGAACCTCCATACTGTTTTCCACAATGGCTGAACTAATTCATGTTTTCTCCAACAGGGTACAAGGATTCCCTTTTCGCCACATCCCCATGAACGCTTACATTTCGTCTTTTTTGAGAATATCCATTCCAACAGGTGTGATGTGATAGCTCATGATTTTCATTTGCGTTTCTCTAATGATTAGTAATGTTGAGCATTTTTTCATGAACCTGTTCGCTATTTGTATGTCTTCTTTTGAGAAATGTCTGTTCAGGTCTTTTGCCCATTTTAAAAATCAGGTTTTCTTGCTATTGGGTTGAGTTCCTTACATATTTTGGGTATTAACCCTTTATCAGATGTACAGTTTGTAACCATCCATGCTGTGGGTTGTCTCTCTAATTAGGAGAAAATAATTTTAGCTGGACCAACATCTCTTACTATGTTGCATCAAGAGGAAGGAGGTTTTGTCTGAAATAGTTCACTTTCTTAACTTCATTTTAGTTTTAAACACCAAATTTGTGACTGAAGAAAAGGTGTTGAAGGAAGGGGGTGTGTATTTCGACTTTCACCTGTGACTTGGAAACAATGCTGACACTCTGAGCACTTGGTGGGTGGGAAGTGCCATCCTGCCCACAGCCCCTCAGCATTCCCCTCTCAGGACGCACCTTGCTCAGACAACCCGCACTTTCCACCTGGGTCTCTGGTGGGGCCTTGTTGCCCAGGAGCAGCCAGGGGAAGGAGGGAGAGGGTGGTGAGTGCCTTGGCATTCATGGCCCTCGGAGGGACAGCTCTGGGGCACGTTTTACATCATTTCGCAGAGAGGCTGGCAGAAGAGGGCACAGCTGCCACAGCAATCAGCAGCTTATTGAGGCACCCTTCCCAAGCCCCTTGCTCAGAGGCAGCGGCAGCAGCCAGCCTAGGTCGCAGGGTCCCAGCAGTGGCCTGGGTGTCCACGCGCACACCGGTGATTCACTCTTCAAATGCTTGGCCAATGACCTCGTGGCGCCAAGAGCTCAGGAGGGCGGTGCCTCGAGAAGCTGGTGTCTTGCAGCTGTTGTTGACTGGGTGACCCCAGGAGCCACCATCGTTTGTGACATAGAAAGAAAGCTGCCGTTTCCTGCTGACAGAACCAAAAACAGTGTTTTTAGAAAACAGCGTCTGCAACTTCTTCAAGGCATATTTCTGTTTGGCTTTCAGTTTTGTAACATTTTGCTGTCCCTTGAAGCCACATAAAATGTGTAAAGTTTAAAAGAAAATCCACCAACTGGCTGAGAAGAATCCAGGAAGTTAAACGTTAGTGTTCTCAGTCTTTCTCCAAATGGACTCAAGCGTCCACCATTATGTGCTTCTCTGTGAAGAAGGCATTTTCCTGTGTGCACCTGAGAATACTGAGAAAATGGACGCACATAACCTGAATGGATCTTATGTAACATAATGGATCTTACATGCACACCACACACACTACACCACACACACACCACACACACCACACACACACATACATACACACGACACACACACTACACCACACAAAGACACATACCACACACACCACACACACACCACACACACAACACACACACAACACACATACACACAACACACATATACACACCACACACACCACACACATATACGTGCACAACACACATACAACACACACACTACATTACACACAAAACACACACCACATACACCAAACACACACACCACACACACACACCATACACACACATACACATACAACACACACACCAGAGACACACACCACACACATACACACACGACATACACACCACACATACACACACCACACATTAGACCACACACTAGACACACAACACACATACACACAACACACATACAACACACACACCACACAACACACATATACACATACATGCACGACACACACATTACATTACACACAAAACACACCACACACACCAATATACACACACCACATACACACACCACACATACACACACACCACATGGCAAACACACCAGACATACCACACGTTACACAACACACGTCACAACCCACACACACCACATGCACCACACATACACACAACGTACACACAACACACAGTACACACAGCACACATACACACACCATATACACACACACCACACATATATACACACTACATACACCACACACATACACATACTCCATGTAGCGTACACACCACAGACATGCCACATGGTACTCACACACACACATGCCACACCCTCACGATCAACATATACAACATTCCGGACACCCAGGAGGAGTCCCCAGTGCCTCTTCCCAGTCATCACCCCAGCCCCAGAGGGTCACTGTTCTGACTTCTATCAGCACAGAAAAGTGTGTCTGCCGTCAAACTCTAGGGTTGGGCTCCTGCTTTGAGGACTCCTGTGTCTGGCTCCCCCCCACTTCATCACATCTGTGACGTGTTGTTGTTCTGTGTGCACCTGTCCTCTCCTGCCACAGAGGGAGCCAAGGTGTGACCACAGCACAGGCCACTGCCCACTGTTCCGTCAGTGCATGTCTGGGTTGTCTGTACTTATTGGCTACGACGCTCTTGGATGTGTATGCTGGTGGACACACACACACATTTGTCTTGGGTTTGTACCTAGCAGAGGAATCGTTAGGTCATCAGTGGACATATGTCTAGTTCGTAGTACCTACTGCCAAACAGTTTTCCAAAGGGATTGCACATATGTATGCCCTGATCAACAATGTGAGTGCTATTACTCCATATCATTGCCAAGACTTGGTATGATCAGCCTTTTTAATTTTAGCCTCTGCACTGAGTGTCTAATGCACTTCCCTAACAAATAATGAGAAATAATTACATGGAAAACGTGTATATTCTTAAAGGCCACGTTGGTATCCTCTTTTGATATTACCTGAAAAACAGATGTTTTTAATTCAAAATAAAATAGTATTTTATAATATTATACCATAAACAAAGATAGTCTTTAGAAAACAACCTTTTAAGTTAAATGCATGAAGCACATGTAATATTGTTAGACTGGCTATTTTAAAGTAAATTTAAAAGGAAACAGATATCAAGAAGCTCTGGGCAGACACAACCAGTCAGGTCTCATAAATTACCTCAACCTTGATTGATTTGCAGACATAAGCAACACTTAACTTGAGCCATTTCTTGTAAATTCCCATTTTAAAAAAGAATAGAACTTAAGTTATCAGAACAATCAGAAGTAGCCAACAAACTTTTAGTAATCATACCAGAATATCATATCAATTATATCAATCTACCAATAATTGATATCAATAATATCAATTATTATCATATCAAGGATCATATCAGAATAAATAATCAGAAGTAGCCAACAAACTTTAATAATCGTATCAACGAGGGACTTTCCAATGGGATAGAACAAATAAGGCAGCTGTGCAAGTGTAACCAAGCCAACATTCTTTGCTTTACTTCTGTGTCGTCTATAAAAGCCTCCCCCTCACATTCCTTCAGGGGAGTTCCTGAACCACCTCTGGTTTGGAGCTGCCTGGTTCATGAATTGTTGCTTGCTCAAATGAACTCTTTAAACACAGCACTGTGCCTCAGTTTACCTTTTTGACAGTCTCGTCAGAAGTGAGATCCCCAGGAGCAGCGAGTAACCAGGCGCGGGCAGCCCCCGGGCCACTGCACCCACTGCTGTCTTGCTGCATTTGGTGGCCACAGGGGAAGCCCCTCTAGGAGGTCGAGCTCCACAACTTGCACCCTGAGCTCTCCGACTCCATGGGAGCAGTTTTTATTCCAGAGCTCAGCCTGGGTCTGACAGGGACTGCACTGGAACCTGGACTGGGATCCAGAGTGAAACTGGGTGTTCTACAGGAACTGGCCTGGATCCAGTCGGAGGCCTCAGGTAAGAAAAATGTGAGAAAAACAGGGAATTATGGGTTCATCAGAATCCATGGAGTCTGGGACACCCATCTGGAACTCCAGCTAATTACATGTTCAGAAACTACAGACCCAGAGCCCGTGCCTTTCTGGAGAAATGGGTGCAGCTCAGGGGGATGACTCCGAGTCACAGTGGCCACAGTGGGAAGTTTATTCCACATGAAATCATCACGGACGGGCACATTCAAGAACAAGGAATCGTGAGTATCTGCAAACCACGCAATATATTTTTTGATTGGCATACAGACTGATTTCAGACAGAATGATTGGCATACAGACTGATTTCAGACAGAATGATTGGCATACCGATTGATTTCAGACAGAATGATTGGCATACCGATTGATTTCAGACAGAATGATTGGCATACCGATTGATTTTAGACAGAATGATTGGCATACAGATTGATTTCAGACACAATGATTGGCATACCGATTGATTTTAGACAGAATGATTGGCATACAGATGATTGATTTTAGACAGAAGGACTCCAAAATGCAGCCTCCCTAAAGGAATCTCTACAGCACTCGAACAACACATTATTTTGAGTATACTAACATTTGATTTCTTGCCTTTTCCATAAGAAGATTGTGAAAACCAACTTCCTTACAAATTAAATCCTCCACTGAGCGTGGGGCATCTGCAACAACTAACTTCAGATTTGTGGCCTCTTGCACACAACCCTGAGCTATACAACAGCAGCCACCTGAGGCTGAAGAGGAGAAGGACTCGTCAACACACCAGTGTCTCCTGGCCACCCCCTAAACACGGCCCACGGTCCCAATAAAGCTGACCCCAGACAACAGGCAACTATGCCCACAGCTCCTTTCTGGAGAAAACTTAATGTCCTTTCTCCCTGCCTTAGAGATACCGAAATCTTTAAAATGCAGGCATCTGGGAAATGACGCATCAGAAGGGAGAAAAAATGGGAACACTGTAGAAAAAAACTGGCAAATGGAAAATCGTAAAGTCCTTTCCATATGTATTAACAAAAGACTTTGGCCATCCGAACAGGTAACTTTATCTGCCAAGAACACAATTTGGACCGACCAGTGAGTTTTATATTATCGTTCCTGGCACAGGGCTACAATTTGAGAACAGAAGCCAGGAACCTCTGCATCTGTTTGGTTATGTACGTCTATATGTATGTATGTTATTTATATGTTATATCAGTCTACCTCTGGATGGTATTATTAGAAATAATATTAAAAGAGCTCTATTTTACTGGCCTAAAGAAAAGTAAGTGCTTATACAAATTTTCTCAGAAAACAAATGAACCCAAATCATTTTCAAGGTCACATAACTTGAGTAATCTTTTTGTTTTGTTTCTTTTTTAAGAGAGTCTTGCTCTGTTGCCAGGCTGAAGTGCAGTGACGTGATCATAGCTTACTGCAATCTCAATCTTCTGGGCTCAAACAGTCTTCCCACTTCAGCCTCCCAAGTAGCCAGGACTGCAGGCATGCACCACCACACCCAGCTAATTTTTTAATTTTTTGTAGAGACAGGGGTCTCACTACGTTGGCCAGGCTGATCTGAAATTCCTGGCCCCAAGCAATCCTTTGGCCTTCCAAAGTGCTGGGATTACAGGCGTGAGCCACCATGCCCAGTGAGTCATTTTTAATAAATGAGAATATTGATGATTTAGTAGAAACGGATATTCTACCTAGCTGTAATAGTCAAATAAGCTTACAAAATTTCTGTTACAAAATTTGTCAACAAGAAAAATATCCTGAGATGACAAGGAGTTATGTCTGCCTACAAACAGTTTCCAAAATACTTTTGAAAACTTGAAACTCTAAAATTGTACTAACTTAAACAATAGTTATTAAATATCTAGATCATGCCTGGATACGATAAACTACTAAAACATTAAGTTCAATGTTTCATAAAATAAATTAAAGCTGAATTATTTTTGGCTGCTTATAGAGGAACTGGAGCTACCTGGGTCTGCCGGTAGGCGTGTCCTGTGCTGAGGGAGCACACGCCAGCTAAGAACGACGACATCGTGTGCCTCCTAATTCAGTGAGCACACGCCAGCTAAGAACGACGACATCGTGTGCCTCCTAATTCAGTGAGCACACGCCAGCTAAGAACGACGACATCGTGTGCCTCCTAATTCAGTGAGCACACGCCAGCTAAGAACGACATCGTGTGCCTCCTAATTCAGTGAGCACACGCCAGCTAAGAACGACGACATCATGTGCTTCCTAATTCACAGTGAATATTAATGCCACTAAGAATTAAGAATTTGAATTAACATGTGTCATTAAAACCACTAGAAAAATAAAGACTGAAGCAAACAATGGAGTATGAAAAATGTACAAAGAAAGTAGAATGTGCTTTTAATGAGAAAAAATATACGAGATCTGTGTTTAAGGAAAAAAAGAGATTTTGTCCTAAAGCAAGATAACTGATTGTTCCAGAATAAAGAAGAAAATGAGTAAGACAAAAATTTAATGCATATAGAAAATTGTAGAAAGTCTGAGAAAAAAAATTTATATGTGGTCAAACTAAGATTAGAATAATTTTACTTATAAGGTTTAAAAAACAGTTTAAGAAGTGCTGACGCTGCGTTGGAATTTTGCTTTCTCTTTGTTAAAAGGACAAAGTTTTCTTGGAGTTGGTCTGCTCTTGATTATGAAAGGTTTTTTTGCCTTTTAAGCAATTGGCCTAAAAAACAATGATTTTGTGTTTTATCAGATTAATTTCTTATGCTTCATGTTGTCTTTTATCAGGTCTTTGATTACTTAAGAAAATAGTCTTTTCAATACTAAAAAAGCTAAGATTTTTTTTTTTTTGGCAACTAAGCTGCTTTCTGTATTTGCCTTTAAAATCTTCTGTCACTTTGGCCTTGTTCCGCAGCGGCCTGTGGTCTTAAGTGTTTTAAGCCATTTGACATTTTTAACGGCATCCCAAAATCAAATTCTATATTAAGTCTTTTTCACCTCAAATTAACTTTGGTAGTTTTCAGGAGGGACCCTGGGGAATACATCAAAAGAACATTTTCTCTCCTTATAAAAAGAGAGATGCTAAACTAATGAGCTTATTGAATATGTTAAATTGCATGAGAAGCACTGTCAAATACAGAATCTTAGGTTACACATACATGGATATGTATTAGTCATAGAAGTGCTTAAAAATTACATGAAATTTCTAAAAATCTGATATGTTCTGGTATAACATCATCAGTCATACTCTAACTATGTTCTTAAAATGTGGCATGTCACCAAATCAACCAAATTTCTTGTCAGTTGCTTGATACAAAATTGCAAGAGATTCATGAGAAAAACTGTAACAAGTACTTGTGTCTGATAACTTTAAGATCATACTATTAAGGATTTCCAGAACTGTAACGAAAAACTGATGGATTCATAAAACCGCTAAGCAAAGACTGAACAAAACAAAATTCAGTACCATTAATTATATGGTACTGAATTAACTATTAGAATAATTGTAACTTTTATGACTTTTTGTTTGAAACATTACTGGCTCCTTAATATCTTATTTTTCAGATTTAAAGAACCCTTTTTTTTTCTATTAAGCTGTCTATAACTTGCAGCCATTTGATAAAATAAGCTTTTGCAAAAAAAAAAAAAAAAAAAAGAAAGAAAAAAAAGTGGAATACTTATCTTTTTCTCCCAAGCCCTGCAAACTGAATCTGGATGACTTTAAACTTAGAAGAATCCCTGCGGCAGACCACGGATGGACAGTGTTCATGGCCGCTGCCACGCGGTCACTCAGGGTTCACCAGAACAGCCGATGACATCACCAGGGACATGACGGCTGCAAACCAGAGAGGTCCATTGGATCTCACCTGCTGTCCACATTCCACCATCTCAAGAAGCTTCAAACTCATATCTGGAAATCTTCTTGACAGCTGCCCTCTGGACTCAGCCACTAAGATCATAATTTGCTCCAAATGTTAACCTTCACTTTTCTTGTTTTCATAAAACAATACCTTGAATTCCCTTCAAGCAATACAATCTGAAATGAACAATTTAGCCTCAATGGTACTCCAAAGTACACATTCTTGACACCTCAACAGGTTAGTAAGGAGGAGTTTGTGCTCTTATTGATCTAAAAAAACATTGTTTTTATGTTAATAAATTAGAAATCATTACCCAAAATCTAAAGGCACTTAGGAAACAAATACAAGTCTCCCATCTACAGGTGCTGCCTCCTCCACTGATGGATTTAACTGGTTAAGTCTCGGCTCCTCGGGGTCTCTGCTCCAGGGAGCTTTTCGGTCCTTGGCTATTACTTTTTCACCTTCATGGCCATTGTCTCCCCAGTGTGTTGTATCTGCTTAGGGAATTCCAGTGCTTTCCAGCAGCCACTCACACATCAAATGCTTGCCCTCAGGATCAGACAACGTGGAGAAACCACATCCTGCTCCCCAGGCCTTCAATGCCCAGGCAACCTTGGACAACAATGGCTTTGAGACCTCACCTTGCAGTGCAACCGTGGACAATGCGTCCTCCACAGGACCCTCCCTCCCAGCGACTGTGTGGGTCGTGGCAGCTGAGAGCAGCGCTGCACTGTTGGGTCACCCTCTCAGCTTGCTGAGACCTGTTAAAGTAAAAATTTGGGCCTTGGTTTACATTTTTAACAGCTAAAAGTTTTAAAAATGAATTTCCTTACTCAATGTCATCCTGGAAAGAAGCTGACACCATAATGGTCCTAATCGGATCGCTGAGTTCCAATGGGTGAGGGTTTGGTAAAAATGGCACAGGATGGGCTGGGCTGGTTGAGAATGTACCATGTTGGCCTCTCTCTTGCTCTGCTGCTTGCTAGCTATGCAGCTTGGTGAGGTCCTGGAACTTTCTGCATGCAGTGTCTCCAATTTTCAAAAGTCCACAGCTCATGTTTATAGTGCTGTCTTTCCAGATGGAACTGGGTCTCCAGGGGCAAAAGGGCAGTGTGTCATCTTCTGTTCTCATGCTGCCCAATGGCTTTTCAGAAAACAACATCAATGGACATTTCCACAGCACTCTGCTCTCCAACCCAGCACCAAGCACATTTGGTTTTAGAGTCAGGCATAACAGACGTTATCTCCATTGAAAAGGAAGGAGAAGTGAGAACAGGTTCCTGGCCAGGTGGAGCTGAAGGGTCTTCCTCCCAGAGTGGGGGTGAAACCTCCCAGGAAACGGAGCTGCCACATCCTCTCTTTCTCTCGCCCGCCCACCCCGCCTGCTGTGGCAGATGGCATTTTCCAGCATCTCCCACCCCACATTCTCCTCTGCAGTCTTCTCTGGCCACTCCCTCCGGAGAGGCTCTTGTTTCTTCACCCCTTAACCTGGGCAGGACTTGCGGTTCAGACTGAGGGTCGGAGGCTTGAAGCTGCTGGCTACAGGCATAGCCCTGACCTGGCCTGCGGCCGATGTCACCTGCCTTCAGGAAGCCACTCCATGTGAGAAGCACCACGCTGACTCCACACACGTGGCAGCCCCAGCCACACAGAGAGCCCACGTGGAGAGACAGAGAGAGGCCAGGCACGCTCAGAAAAGCCAAATGAGAGGTGGGTCCTTCAGCCTCAGCTGTGCCAGCACCCGGTAAGAGGGGTCCCTCGGCCTCAGCCGCACCAGCACCCGGTGGGAGGTGGTCCTTCAGCCTCAGCAGTGCCAGAACCCGGAGGATCAGAGGATCCCTTGTCCATGGAATCGTGTGCAAAATCAAACAGGTGTTTGAAGCCACTAACGTTTGTGAGAGTTTGTTATACAGCAGTAGACAATCAACACGCGCACCACGGAGCAGGGAGGGCGCCCACTCTGTGCTTTTCTAGGCTAAGAAAGCAGCATCGAGAACGCCCCATCACAACGCCATCAAGCTTCACCCTAGAAAAGTCGCTAAGATTTCCCGTCTAAGGGTCCAGCTGAGAGTGCGGCTGCTGGACCAGACGGGCTGGGGCAAGTCCTGCCCCACGGAGCCGCACAGCTTTGCTTCACCTCATTCCTGCACTCGTGACTCTGCATCTCGAAGTGAAGAAAAAGTGGCATTCGCCTCCCGTGGGGGCTAAAAGCATTCACACCCAGACACAGTGGCACACCTAGAACAGGTGCACCCACACTTACTGTTCCCAGGCTGCATCTGGAAACAGGCTAACATGAAACCTGCAAGGAAGGTGTTAGACTTTGTGACCCGAGTTCACCTAGAGGCTCTCAGCATTTGTGACTGTGGCCAGGGCTGGCGTCACCTTAGGACCCCATTTCATCGGGACGCTTTCCGGCCTGAGAGTCAGCTGAGAAAGGTGCAGGATGGATGGTGCCCTCTGCACAGCTGCAAGATGTTTGACATCATCCGGGACCTGCTTCAGCTGCTGCTGCTGTGGAACAAACACTCCAGGATTTAGCGGCTTCAAACATGAATTTTATTTTGCCTATACACAAAATGTTGTGTGTCAGAAACTTGGGAAGGGTTCAGCTGGGCAGTTCCCACGTGGGGCCATTCATGTCGCCGTGGCCAGCCCCAGGCTGGACGCCACACGGCTCAGGCACACACACGCCTGGCCAGGGGTTCACGTCTCTGCTCAGCCCCTCAGCATGGCAGGCTCAGGCCAGGCTTCTCACTCGCCTCCCCAGTGAGGGTCCCAAGTGAATTGGGTGGAGGGCCCACGACAGCCTCACTTTTAATAAGTGAAAAACTTACGGAATTGATTTTTAAGGATGAATTAGCAGACAATTTAAAAATAAAGCTAATAAAATAATTTAAAAATAAAAATCAGTTCATGAACTTCAACTTCAAAAATAAATAACAGGCTGGGCACGGTGGCTCACGCCTGTAATCCCAGCACTTTGGGAGGCCGAGGCAGGTGGATCACCTGAGGTCAGGAGTTCGATAACAGCCTGGCCAACATGGTGAGACCCATCTCTACTAAAAATACAAAAATTAGCCGAGCGTGGTGGCGCATGCCTGTAATCCCAGCTACTCGGGAGGCTGAGGCAGGAGAATCACTTGAACTTGGGAGGCAGAGGTTGCAGTGAGCCGAGATCGTGCCATTGCACTTCAGCCTGGGCAACAGAGTGAGGCTTTGTTTCAAAAAATAAATAAATAAAATAAATGAAATAACAATTTCACTGGTTTTGTGAAATTTCCCACGACATTTCTTCTTCCACTGAAACCCCCGTTACATGGGTCACTTCACTGTTACAATGTTACAAGTGTTCAGCGGGTGGGGAAGGGAACAGAAGCGATTCATTTGGGTGGGTTTGGTCGTGGAAGGGGTGATTTGTGGTATCGCTAAGGAGAGACGGGCCTGCCAAGAAAGATGGGGAAGAATCCCACGGTGGGAAACGCCTCCCGAGGAGTCACTGTGGGGAGTGAGCCGTTCTTACTTGGTGTGAGCAGTGTCTAGGTTGGATGTTGACAAAAATGAGCAATTTAGTGGAGACGTCAGGAAGAGTCTATGTCACCGGCAAGAGGCCTGTTCCTGCACCAAGAGGTGCGGCTCTGGGAAGCCTCTTAGAGGGACACCAAGCATAGCTTCCCGAGGGTCCCCAAGCCACCACCCACAGCAACGCCCCGGAGCACAGCACTGTGATCTCTGGCTGGTGACTCAGAGCACTTCATTTTTCCATTTTCTTAGGAATTAAATTCCTAGATTGCATTAAACTAGTATTTTCAAAGGAGCATTTCATAAACAGAACTGAAGGGAAATTGGTATATTAAAAGGAATGTTCTCTTATTCAAAGCAACATGTGAGGCTGTGAAGCCGCAGAACCGCCAGTCATGTTTCAACGGGCGCCGCCAGTCTCCAGTCTGGAATCCTGCTCAGCAGCTGCGACGCCCCATTGGGAAACCAGGGGTTTGCTCCACACCGGCTTGTCCTTTTGGGTTTCTGTACACTTCAGTAATAAAATCAATGATTTTTTTTTAAATAGTCCTTTTCTTCCATTAAAAAAAAAATGGGTCCATAGTATCTGCAGCAGTGGCTGGGCTGAACTTTGTCTCCAAGTGAGTAAATGACATTTTGTTACAAGTATAACAGTTGTCTCCGGTAACTGATGTTTTCTTCTAGGGATAAGAAGGGTCTCGGAGTCACAGAGTCTGGGGGACCTACTCCTCCACAGCAGGCGGGAGCACCAGGCCTGTTGGGTGCAGGTGCCAGGCTGGGCACCATCAGCCGCTCCTTCCCTGCTCATTCACAAGCGTTTACCCGAAGCTGCTGCGACGGTCGGCTCCTCTCTGGGATCCAGAGCTTCATGCCGGCCAGTGAGAGGGCAGAGACACACCGACGCAACTTGAAATCACAGGACCTGCCTCTGTGCAGACCAGAAAGGCAAGTGCCTTAGAGTGAGAAGGAGGGAGCCTCAGAAGACGTTAAGGTTATGGGCCCTAAAATGAGACCACCAGGACTCCCTACCAGGCTTTACCACCACAATCTCAGTTTCCTTGTCACTAAAACAGGAATACAAATAACATTTACTCCATAGCAATGAGCGGGATTGAATCAAATATTCATGTGAAGTGCCTGCCGTAAAGTAAGCCACAGCCTTCTCAGGATGAAGGAAGGCAGGGCCTGCTCTGATGGAGGTGGTGGACAGGCAGCTTCTCTCCACAGGGACTAGCCCCTGGCTACCCTGTGCCAGCTGGAATAGAAGGCCTGGACTCAAGGCTACAGCAATGAAAATTCAGCACACATAACAGAAATTGGTAATTCAGTGTTGTCCTGGATGTGGCCTACAGATCTATCCAACAAAGCATTCCAAGCCCTGGGCTGGCTGCTGAGGCACTGAGAGAGGCCTGACCGTTGTCATGGCACCTCACACTGGGACAGAGGAGCAGAAGCATCCTGCATAGACACAGCAGCCGGCCCTGGCTTCTCCAGTTGACTGCGTGGCCTTCAGCAGGCGTGTTGTCACCTGCACACGGGGGCGTCATGGTCCCCAGGGTCCATGGACTCTGAACTCCACGCAACTGTCAACATGCCGGTGGTGCTTATGAAAACACTGCTGCCACCAGGTTCCAGGGAACAAGTCACGACATGGACCAACCTCACATAACCCGCACACACCACCCGGGCAACAAACAAAGCACCTTTCCCAGCACACTCGGCTCCATACGATGGAGTAGGGAAATCAACACAGGGTAAATCTAATCGTCGTTTCTGCATCTTGCTTTTGAGTATCCTCTTCATTTTCCTCACATTCTTTGTCACTTCCTTACCACAACATCTTTTACGGTCTGGAGGGAGAGTATACTGCAAGAAGGAAATTAAAGTAGAATATGACCGCTGGAGGAGCGAAACACTTTAACACAGCTCAAGTGCCCTAATTATAAGAACATTCTTCAGGAGAAATGTGGGTTGATTTGTGGGCTTAACAGATCTTCATTTTCTGCCGTTACAATGTGTCCAAGTTGATGTGTTTAGCTGTTTTGTTGACTCACAAAGGAATTTTAGTTAAAGCTCAATACTTATTTATTTTCTGTCTATCTAAATTCCATCTGTGTGGTCAGTTGAGTTGATTAGAACAAAGTACTAAAGAGGACATGGTCCGTGGTCTCACTGCTGTTTCTCCTCAGATGCCAAGCAAAGCACCTTGCACATCCTGGGTCCTAAGTAAATTGTCGATAATTGATTAACCAGTTGGGAGTTTGTTTTCTGTCTTGTGAGACCATCTGAAGACGACTGGGGCGTGGATGGAATGTTGCAAGTTCTATGCTGGCAAACAGCATTGTGTGGAAAGCACCTCCTTAGGCACCACTGGGGACAAGAGACGCAGGTCCGAGGCCCTGCACTCCGCAAGTCTGCAACCTAGCTGAGACGTGGAAACACAAAACAGTCAGAGGTCACACAAATCAGCGTGTGGTTACCCATCAGAATGAGCAGCAGCAGCACCAGTCATAGTCCTGGGCCGGGTCACCCATTGCCGACGTTCCGACACCGTCGCCCACATTCCGACACCATCGCCCATGTTCTGACACTGCCTTGGTTGCAGTTTTGAAATGAAAGGCACGGCTGAGCCAGGCAGCGGAGGTGGCATCGTGGCCAGGAGGTGGAGCAAGGGAGCCCCTGTGTCCTCCGATGTTCCGATCTTCATTCGAGGAGTGGTTCCACAAGTGTAGGCCACTGAAAAACTTGCTGGTCGCCCACTTAGGAACTTTGCCCTTTACTGTGTGTAACTTATGCCTCAACTTAAAAAGCAAAGAGGAAAATGATTTTAACTACAGCCAGGCACACATTTAGTTGAGTCTGGAAACTTTTGAATTTTTGGCACACCAAGCGTCATCTGGCACGTAGAATGATTGTGGACTGGAGAAGACAGCGAAAGAAAGAAGATTCTTGAAAGTGCATCACCATGTGCTTCTTGATGGAAAAGATGGAACAGCATATACAGTGGACCTTGAACGAAGAGGGGGTTTGGGGCCCAAAGCCTCCCACCCCCTGCACAGCTGAAAATCCACAAAGAACTTTTCACTCCCCAAAACACTTAGCTTCTCATAGCCTTCTGTTGACAGGAGCCTTACCGCTGACATGAATAGGTAAATAACACGTATTTTGTATGCTGCATGTATTACATACTGTATTTTTACAATAAAATCAGATAAAGAAAATGGTATTAAGAAAACCATAAGAGAGACTAACTTTACTGTTCACAAAGTGGAAGTGTGCCTCGTGAAAGCCTTGCCTCCTGGTGTGACGGGGAGCGGTGACTAGGACGGCAGCACTGCAAACCGCCTCCAAGCTTGCCTTCTGTTCTCCAGAGCTACAGGCCTTCATCCTCCTCGTCCCCACCTGGAGGGGCTGAGGAGGAGGGGAAAGGGGAGGGCTTGGTCCTGCTGTCTCAGGGTGGCAGAGGCCAGAGAGGCGCAGCACAGGGGAAGGAGGGGGCAGAGGCAGGCTCACCCAGGACGGTGTTTCTTGAAAACAACCCACACTTGCCATGAAGTTCGATCGCACGCATTTGTTTTCTCCTATCCATTTATTTGTGTAGAAAATTTTTCACCTGATATTTTAAAATCCAAAACTTGTCACGAATGGAGTAGTTAATATTTGGAAAATGAGTTTTGCCCTCCAGGCTCTAATGCACAGTTTAGTGAGTTTTGCCCTCCAGGCTGTAATGCACAGTTTCTAACCCGCTTCCGGGAAAAGCAGCAAGTCCCTGGTGTCTCACACAGTTCGAGGCTCTAAGAGGAGCGTTGTGCCCGTGGGAAATGTCATATCCTAGAGTCCTCCACAAATCTCAGCAAAATACGGGGGATAGAATCTTTCCTCAAGGAGGCGCGGTACACATGTGCGTGTCTGATGGTTAATTTTAGGCATCTACTTGGCTGGATTCGGGACATCTGTAAAGCTGGTGAAGCATGATTTCTGGGTGTCTCTGGGGAGATCAGCGCATGGGTCGGAGGACGGAGTGGGACAGATCTGCTCTCACTGTGGGCTGGCACTGCCCAATCGGCTGGGGCCCAGAGGAAACAAAAAGGTAGAGGGAAGGAGAATTCTCTCCCTTCCAGAGCCGGGACACTGCTTCTCCTGCCTGTGGACTTTGGAGCTCCAGGCTCCTCGGCTTTTGGACCCCAGGACTTGGGGATTTACCTTGGCAGACCCCGGACTCGCAAGCCCTCAGCCCAGGACTGAGAATTACACCATGGGACCCCTGGACGGAGAATTACACCATGGGACCCCTGGACGGAGAATTACACCATGGGACCCCTGGACGGAGAATTTCACCATGGGACCCCTGGACGGAGAATTACACCATGGGACCCCTGGACGGAGAATTACACCATGGGACCGCTCGATGGAGAATTACACCATGGGACCCCTGGACGGAGAATTACACCATGGGACCCCTGGACGGAGAATTACACCATGGGACCCCTGGACGGAGAATTACACCATGGGACCCCTGGACGGAGAATTACACCATGGGACCCCTGGACGGAGAATTACACCATGGGACCCCTGGACGGAGAATTACACCATGGGACCCCTGGACGGAGAATTTCACCATGGGACCCCTGGACGGAGAATTACACCATGGGACCCCTGGACGGAGAATTTCACCATGGGACCCCTGGACGGAGAATTACACCATGGGACCGCTCGATGGAGAATTATACCATGGGACCCCTGGACGGAGAATTACACCATGGGACCCCTGGACGGAGAATTTCACCATGGGACCCCTGGACGGAGAATTACACCATGGGACCGCTGGATGGAGAATTACACCATGGGACCCCAGGACGGAGAATTACACCATGGGACCCCTGGACGGAGAATTACACCATGGGACCCCTGGCTCTCGGGCCTTTGGACTGAATTGCACCACCAGCCTCCCTGGTGCTCCAGCTTGCAGAGGGCACATCACCGGACATCACAGTCTCCGTAATTCTGTGAGCCGGTTTAGGCCCCCAATAATCCCCCTCTCACATACCCATATCTACATCATGTCCTGTTGGTTCTGTCTCTCTGGAGAACTCTGACTAATATAGGGTGTGTGGCTTTTCCTAAAAGGTTCTGCTAGTCCCCAAGTGTCAGTCCCTACGAGACAGGAAGTTATTCAGAGTTCCTAGTACCTGGCTTGGGGCTTGGCACATTGCACATGCTCTAAAATAGGTAGCTATTTAACACATTTACTATAAATAGAGATTATAGAAAAAGTGGAAAGAAAATGTATTTCCACAGGTATGCATCGTTCTGTTAAAGACTTCAGAAGTAACATCAGCTTTCACAAAATTGAGCTTCATTGAAAGTAAAGTCACAGAAAAATTCTGAGGTTGACAAATTTACCCTGAGAATCTCTATCCCCGGCCCCCCTTTTTTGTGGCTCATTCACCCCTCATTTCCTCACACTCCTGTCCTCTGCTCTCCAATGTAAAGAGTTCCCCTCCGCAGTGGCATCTGTGCTTAAACGCTGACCGCAGCCCTAGGCTAGAAGCTCCAACTGTGATTATGGAATTCCAGACACATCCCTGGAGTCTGAAAGGACTGAGGGTTGGGGGTGAGCAGGGCCAGCCATGAGGTCAGCTGGGCCCACAGCCTTTGGAAGAGACAGGGTCCCCACTGCCAGAGGTGGCTGGGCTCAGGGTCTAAGCCAGACCTCAGCTCTGCGTGGCGGAGCATTCACGGCCTCCCTGTCAGAGAGCAGTTTCCTCCTGGCTTTCCTAGAACCGGGCTATTACAAATGTCCCTGGTCTTGGCAATTTTCAGACAGCGACTTTCCTGGAAAAGTCATCTTTTGATGAGTGAGCTGTCACTGTAATACCTTTTTCCTTCAGATGAGGAGCTGATCCTTGGAGTAAGGACAGAATCCCACGGCACAGCCGAGACACAGCTGTGGCCACAGGAGTGCTCCTGATCCCAGGTGTGCCAACATTCCAGGGCTTCTGTCTTCCAAAGATGAAAAAGAAGAAACTATAAGGGGTTTTATTTCCGGTTTTGAGAGCATAGGAGGCAAAACGCCTCATAATGTCAGTTTATTTTGTTAAAGACTCCAAGTGAATATGAAAATGAAGCTAAATTCAGTTTTTAAATGTCACCCTAGTTTGCCTTTGCGGGTTCTGGGGGTCACTGAAATAGTCTACCAGCCCTTCAACTGGTTCCCCTTACAAATGAGGAGATTTGTGTCCGGAGAGATCAGAAAATGCTTCCAGGTAGAGCCGGCACACCTGGGCCTCTGGGTGCCCAGGGCTCTTGATTGCCACAGGGTTGAAAATAAAAGAGAAGACCCTGCTCCTCAGGACGCCAGCAAGGGAGACGTTAATCAGCCACTGTCAGCGTTATGCCTTGGGAAAGCATGGCTTAGTAATTGGCAGCAAATAACACTTTGAAAACTCTTATATTGAGGGAATATCTCCATCCCGTCACCCTCATCTGTCTGTCCCCATCCTCTTCCAAAGGG
This sequence comes from Homo sapiens, assembly GCF_000001405.40. Taxonomy (NCBI): domain Eukaryota; kingdom Metazoa; phylum Chordata; class Mammalia; order Primates; family Hominidae; genus Homo; species Homo sapiens. The sequence goes on along the minus strand of NC_000007.14, from coordinate 159,150,555 downwards.
CATTCAGAACTGGGGAGAGGACCTAGCAAAATAGGTTAGAAAATGGGAAAAAAGATTAAGAACAAAAAATCAGTATTTTAATGAAAATACGAGGACAAAGTTCTTGATATTGTAAAAACTCTGGTTTTGTGTGTAAAAATAGTAACTGAGAACAATTAGGCATAGAAAATGCCTCACTTTCATGTGATGCTTTAATTACTCCCAGGAGAACATTATTAATTATTTAAAGGACCACTTGAGTCATTAATTATCCTTCCCTATTCATTTCTAAGCAAATTTTTAAATTTAGTCTCATTCACCAATTTACTCCCCAATGAGATTTCTATTTCTGCTTCACACGCAGCTAAAAATAGTTCCCTCTTTTGTTCCTTTAATGTTGTTTGTTTTCTTCTCTTCTCCCTAAAAAGCCACTTGGAAAGGTGGCATGGCCGTCAAACCAGACCCTGCTTCTCTCTGAACTCCAGGACCCTCTGGCCTGGAATCGCTGGCCTCCCGGCCTGCAGGGTCCCCCGTCACTCCCAGGACCCTCCTTTCACCCCCTCTCCCCTTCTCCATGCTCCCTGGATCCCCCACACCCTCGGAATTTTGGACAAGTGATAAATGCATGACCGATGCCTACCGATGATGACCAGGGAGGCTCAGCTGACAGCTTTCTCCCTCCTCCCACCAGGCCCCACCCGGGCCTCATCTCTCAAAAAGGAAAGTCCTGGTTTACCAATTCACCCACAAATGTTAGCGATTTAGCACCTCTTGCTTCTCCTTTGAAAGGGAATCAGAGAGGAGAGCATAACCCAGAAAGTGAGGACGCCCTGGCGAGGGGAAGGGTCTGGAGGGCAGCCCCACTGACCTGCTCCCTGCCTGTGGAGCCGAAGCGTGGGCTCTGGGCTGGGCTTGAGGGCGAGTGCTCAGGGTGGGGCCCTGCTGTCCTGGCAGCCGCTGGCTGAACCCTCCAGACTGGAGTGAGTGGAACCAGGAGTAACTCATACATCTGCCCACTTGCTCATCAACAAACAGGGAACACCTGCTGTACAAACCCACAATGCTGGGCATTCACTGGAGGGGCAGACATCAAATAATCTCTCTAAATATTGTATCCTATCGCATCATATTATATTAAGCTAAGAATAGTTCTCCAAGAAAGTGGCAACACCTCCTTGTAAAGGGAAGTTTAAAGAACTCTGAGCCTGGTTGGTCTGAGAAATTGGAGGATGGCAACAGTCAGGGCCCCAGGAGAGGAGAAAGAGACACCTCCTGGAAGAACTGGTCAGAAGCAGAAGGGAGAGGCTGGTGGCCTGTCTCTGTGAGCCCCACCTGCCTGGGGTGGGAGGGGGCCCGGGCAGGGCTATGGCATGCGCTGGTGTGTGCCTGCCTGGGGTGGGAGGGGGACCCGGGCAGGCTGCGGCACGCACTGGTGTGTGCCCGTCTCTTGGACAAACCATCTGAGATGTTCTTCCAGCTGCTCTGCCTCCATCGCTGAGCCTCCTGCTGAGCTGAGTAGGGTCCCCGGCTGGCCTGGCACTAAACTCTGCTTAGATATGTCCAAGGGTCTCTGCTTTTGCCCCAGCGAGGAAAGGCAGGATGCTTCTCCAGACTGGGAGGGCTTTCCTAAGGCAGACACCTGAGCCAAGACAGGTGGAAGCTGGGAGGCATGTGCCTGGGGTGGAGGGTGCCTGGGGCGGAGCGTGCCTGGGGCTTCCAGAGATCAGCAAGGCTGAGGCATGAGAGGCAGAGTGGAGGCTGCGAGACGGGTCCAGGAGGAGACTCAGGCCCAGATCAGGTGTGGCCTCGCATGTAGGGTGACCATGTGCTTCACATAATATGTCCAAACCAGGACATTTCCAAGAATAGGGGGACACGAGTAACGGTTACGCTGGGGCAATGGGCAAAGCCAGGCCAGGCCCAGCATGGCAGGTGGTTGCCTGTTCAAAGGTGTAAACCAAAATGTATTTGAGGCAGGTCTCAATCAACTTAGAGGTTGATTTTTGCCAAGGTTAAGGACATGGCCCAGGGCACAGCCTCAGGAGGTCCCAAGAACACACACCCAAGGTGACAGGGTATAGCTTGGTTTTATACATTTTAGGGAGACTGAAGTTACAAGAAAAGACATAAAGCAATATCTGGAAGGTATACATTGATTTGGCCCAGAAAGGTGGGACATCTTGAAGCGGGGTGTGGGGCCTTCCAGGTCACAGGTGGATTACAGGATTTCCTGATTGGCCGTTGGGTAAAACAGAGTTAAGATCTGCCTGAAGACTTGATATCAGCTTGAGTGAAAATAAAGGGGGTTGTGGAAGCCAAGGTTCTTGTGGATGAAGCCTCCGGCTAGCAGGCTTCAGAGAGAGTGAATGTGAATGTCTACTATCAGGGCCTTGAAAGGTGTCAGACTCTCCAGAAAGACCTAGTGACGGACAGGGATTCTCCACAGAGTGCAAGATTCCCCAACAGACAGCTTTGCTGGGCCATTTCAAAATCTGTCAAAGAAATATATTTCTTCAGGGCCTGCTGGCCGTCATGTGATGCTCTACTAGAGTCTGGTGGGAATTTGCTATCTTATTGCTATGAACAGTCTGTTTGGTCAGCCTTAGGAGCTCTGTTTTTATGTTAATGTTGGTCATGAACTCCAGGAAAGGAGGGTGTAGTGAGGCCTGCCCAACCCCCTCTCCCTGTCATGGCCTGAACTCGTTTTTCAGGTTTCTTTGGGATCCCTTTGGCCAAGAGGGGAGTCCATTAAGTTGGTTGGGGGGCTTAGAATTTTATCTTTTGTTTACAAAGGCATATTGAGAACTTTGGTCATTTTTCTAAGAGCATCAGGTAACCGCAGGGTTTGGGGTGTTCAGCAAAGCCCGTGATTACACACACACTGGACCTTCAGAGAAGTGTGCCATCTAGCTACGACCACAGCCATTTCTCCTGGTCTACCCCGTCCATCGGGACGCACTGCTGCAGGGGAAGACTCACCCATCATGCAACCCCTCACTGCACCCTGGACAGTCACTTCTAAAATGCAGGCCCTCAACAAGGTATTGACGTGTGCATTAATCACCTTGATTATTACAGAGCCCCTCTGCGGTGGAAGGGCAGGTGCTGTCATTCCTACAAATGCATAGAGCTCAAAGTTCATCGCTCACCCAGGTGGAACCGGGAGAAAAAGATGCGTTTGTCGAAGGCACCCAGCGCCACGAGCTTTCTTCACAAGCCAAGCAGCCCGCCTAAGGCCCAGGTCTCCCTCTCCTCGTCTCCCACTAGATACACATGGATGAAGCCAGATAGATAACAGGTAGAGGATAGATGACAGGCAGATGACAGATAGGCAGATGATAGATGATCGATAGATGACAGGCAGATGATGGATGACAGGCAGATCACAGATATGATAGATCACAGATAGATGACAAATAGGCAGATGATAGATGACAGGCAGATGACAGATAGGCAGATGATAGATGACTGATAGATGACAGGCAGATCACAGATATGATAGATCACAGATAGATGACAAATAGGCAGATGATAGATGACAGGCAGATGACAGATAGGCAGATGATAGATGACTGATAGATGACAGGCAGATCACAGATATGATAGATCACAGATAGATGACAAATAGGCAGATGATAGATGACTGATAGATGACAGGCAGATCACAGATATGATAGATCACAGATAGATGATAAATAGGCAGATGATAGATGACAGGCAGATGACAGATAGGCAGATGATAGACTGATAGATGACAGGCAGATGACAGATAGGCAGATGATAGATTGATAGATGACAGGCAGATGACAGATAGGCAGATGATAGGTGATTGATAGATGCCAGCCAGATGACAGATAGGCAGATGATAGGTGATTGATAGATGACAGCCAGGTAGATCACAGATATGCCGGATCACAGATGATGGATAGGCAGATGATAGATGACAGATAATAGATGATAGATTACAGATAGACGATCGATAGGAAGATAATAGATGATAGGTACATGACAGATCATAGATAAATGACAGAGAGGTAGATGATAGATGATAAATAGGTAGATGGTAGGTAATAGATAGGTAATAGATCGCAGAGAGATGATAGGTAGATGATAGCTGATTGATACATGATACAGAGATGATAGGTACATGATAGATGGATAGATCATAAATGACAGCAGATGATAGATGATAAATAGGTAGATGACAGGTTATAGATAGGTAAATTACAGATGAAAGATAGGCAAATGATAGATGATAGGTACATAATAGATGGATAGATCATAGATAATAGATGACAGGTAGGTGATAGAGGAAAGGTGGATGATAGATGATAGGCGCATGATGATAGATACCTGACAGATGGATAGATGAAAGGTAGATGATGGACAGGTAGATGATAGATGACAGATAATAGATGACAGATTACAGATAGATGATCGATAGGAAGATGATAGATGATAGGTACATGACAGATCGATAGATGATACGTAGATGATGGATAGGTAGATGATAGATAATGTGGATGATAAACATCAGATGATAGAAAAATCGATATCTGTGAATACGGGGGGTGGGGGATCAGAGAGAAGCAAATGATAAGCCCAATGAGGTAAATGTTAATGACCGAATCCACAAAAAGGATAAAAAGGAGTTATTTGTAATATTCTTATTCTTCTAATTTTTGTGTAAGTTTGAAATTATTTCCAAATAAAAAATTAAAACAACACGAACTTAACTTGTATCTCTCATTCCAGTGCTTTCCACTTGCTGGGGAACGCCGAGCTCTCCTGGGTTGGTCACGCGGGCGCCTTGGGAGGCCGCGCAGTCCCGCGTGGGGCGCGGCGGGGCGGCCCCAGTGGCACCGCGTGAGTCCCCGCCCAGCGTTCCCCACCCGCCGCCGCGTTTGCGGGGAGAGAATGACCCCCGTTTTGCAAACGCAGGACACAAAACCCGCCACCCAGCTGAGGCTGGGACCCACCTATACCCCCGTCTGCGTTTTTCTCCAGCTTTCTGTTCGACCTGATGTCCTCTTTGAGGCTGCGGGGATCCCCACCAAAAAGCACTCTGATTTTCTCCATTTTCAGATGCCCCAACCTAGCCCCACTGGCTACAAAGACGGCGCGCCCACCCCGGACGGGTCTCTGGCCGCTTTCTTGGGCTTCCGCAGTTGTTTAGAAAGGCAGGTACAGGCGGCCGCAAAGGCATCCGCCCCTTCCGAGCGCACACCTGGCCCGGTCCTCCTCTCCCGGCCCCGCGCCGGCCGCTCTCCCCCAGTTCTCTCTACTCGGAGCCGGGCGCGCACTGAGCACCCCGCTTCCCAGCCCCTCCGCCCACAGATCGGGGAGGCGCGGCCGGGAGGGGGGCGTGGGCCAGGGAAGAGGGGAGGAGAACGGAGAGAGAGGCTGGGGGGGTCGAGGAGACCAGAGGGAGCGCGCGCGGCGGGGACAGAGAGCCCAGGGGCGAGGAGAGGGCGCGGGGCGCAGCGGAAGGGGAAGTGGGGGGCGGTGAGGAGGGGCGCGGAGCGGGGGTTCTCGGGGGAGGAGGGAGACGAGGATTGGGGCAGCGCGGGGCGGGGACAGGGGCGGGGGGCGGAGCGGCGGGGCGCGTGGGGGACGGGCGTGCATTGAGCGCGCTCCAGCTGCCGGGACGGAGGGGGCGGCCCCCGCGCTCGGGCGCTCGGCTACAGCTGCGGGGCCCGAGGTCTCCGCGCACTCGCTCCCGGCCCATGCTGGAGGCGGCGGAACCGCGGGGACCTAGGACGGAGGCGGCGGGCGCTGGGCGGCCCCCGGCACGCTGAGCTCGGGATGCGGACGCTGCTGCCTCCCGCGCTGCTGACCTGCTGGCTGCTCGCCCCCGTGAGTGCGCCCGCGACCCCCGCCCCACGGCGCCTCGGACCCGGTTCTCCCCTTCCGAGAAGAGCGCTCCTCCCGCCGGTCTTCGCCTTCCTCCCGGGTGCTGGAGCGCGGGCGGGGTCCGGGAGAGGGAGCGGGGTCGCCCGGGGTCCGGAGCTTCCTCCCGGAGAGCGTGAAGCGCTGAGCTCCGGTCCCGCCGGGTTGCGGGACTCGGGTTGGGAGGCTGCCTGCGCCCTTCCCCGCGCCCCACCGTCCGGGGTTTGCTGGAAACGGGATCGTTTCTTCCTGGACGCGTCAACGATGAGCTCGTTCGGGGCCGTCCCGGGAGCTGGGAGCTGCGGGCGCCTGCGCGGGCTGCGCGTTTCACGGGGAGATCGGGGTTGGCGTTGGCCGCAGATGCCTCTCGGTCCCTCCCTGTACTTACTGGTTAGTTTTAGTGTCGGGGGGACGTGGCGTCGGTTAAATAAAGTTTCCTTTTGGAAATAGTTGCTTTTTCCCAAGGGCACTGGAGGAACTAACTGCTCATAAGTTTGTTGATTAAGTGCCTTCGCACATGGAGTTCTGAATTATTCCCTCTGTGAACCTTAAAAAAAAAGGAAAGAAAAAAGAAAGAAAAAAACCCGAGCCTTGTTTCTTGCTTTCCTCTTGGAGACTGAAGCGGGTTTGCGGTGCGCGCGGTTTTCGTGCGCGTCGCAGCCGAGGCAGGTCTGGATCGATCCGCGGCCCCTCCGCAGCTGGGAGGCTGCGCTGCTGACCCGACAGTGTCATTGATTAACCGGCGACGCCCGGTCTGCAGCGGGGCTCGAGCCACACTCCCTGGCCTTGCGCGGAGGCGCAGCTCGGCTTTCCTCCCTCGAGGGTGGGCGCTTTGCGGAGCGGGTCCTTGGAAAGTAACGGGTTTTATCACGGTTAATGCTGCTTTCATTGCTAAAATGTCCTAAAAGAAGTCATTGCTGTGCATATTCCAGGAACGTCAGGTATTATTAATGTCTTTTACACTTTAACAAAGTTTTTCTTTTTACATCAATATAATTTCCTTAATTCTGAAATTTAAGCCACTTACTTGTCCTGCATGAAAACAGAGGACTTGGAGCCCAAAGTCAGTGCCTGGTGCTGGTTCAGTCACGAGCAAGAAGCAAGCTCGGGGCTCTTTTAAATGGGGCTGAAGGTGGCAGAAGTTCCAGCATTGTTTTCCCCTTAATTCTGTTAGGATATTGTGTTCCTGGTTGGAACTCTCATTGACCATTTCAATAGTAAGATAACTAAACATAGATGGCCATAGTACGCCCAACAGTATGATTCTCTTTAGTTACTACTTTAGTACAAGTAGAATTTTGGTCGGTGGTGGGGGAGGGGGAAGATCAAGACCAAAAGGATGGGTGGGGGGAGCCCTCCTTAAGCCCCCAAGGGCCGCTTGGCAGGCCTGTGCTGACTTCGCGGAGGGCGTGAAGAACAAGGTAGAAACGGTGCCTTCTGAGAGGAAGCATTGTGTAGTTCTGCCTTCTTCTCACATTAGTAGACTGTTAATTACTATCTTTGTGGCACCTTTCGCTCCCCTGATGGATCCTGACTGGAAATCGCCCCCTCTTCTCTGTGGGGCCACAATGGTGTGATTCCCCCACCTCTGCCTCCCTCCTCATCTTGCTGATTTCTTTGAATATCTCTTCCACCCCAAATTCTAGTCAAAACGATTGCAGTTTTATCTGTAGTTAGAGGGTTAAGCTTTGAACATGTACCAACACCTTTAAAAATAAAGCCCTTCTATCACGGCTCTTTCCCGGGTGGAGGCCGTCCTCGGAGGAAGCGGCACAGTCCACAGGCATCCGCTTAAACCAAACCAAAGGGTGTGAAACGGAGGAGCCGGGTATGGAGAGATGAATGGAGTAAAGAGCTCTGTTGCCTCCAAATTAGTACCGATGTATTCTGTTAGTAAGTTCATTTTCCTGCTCAGAAAAAAAATTCTATTAGATTTTGTGTTTGTTTTATAATACCTTTACAAAGTAAATAGTGAAGTTTTTAAAAAATGCCAGAAAAATCAAGGTGATTGGTTTTAAATGCATTTTGGTTTGGAAGCAGTTTAAAGCTGTGAGGTTTGGGGTTGTTTTTGTAGAATTTTTGCTTGCTTTTCTTCTTCTTGTGGAATTTTTAGTTATTAATATTTCTTTTAACCGTGAACAGGTGAACAGCATTCACCCAGAATGCCGATTTCATCTGGAAATACAGGAGGAAGAAACAAAATGTGCAGAGCTTCTGAGGTCTCAAACAGAAAAACACAAAGGTAAGGCAGAGGCTTGGTGAGTAAGAACTCCCGTGACATTCTCACCCGGGAATGCGCCTCACTCAGCTGTGGTTCAGGGTCACCACCTGCATCTTAAAAAAAAAAAAAGAAAAAGAAAGGCCACTTCCCATTGTTTGTTAATGAACTACTGGTAAAACTCAGAGAGAGTTGGATAGGTAGGGTCTTCACACACACCTTTAAAAAGATAACCTTAATCCTTAGCAGTAACAGTTTCCATGGTTTGAGATGATAGCAACAGTTACTAAAACAATTTCATGGGCTTTGTTATGCTTTGCAAAAGCAGCTTCAGTTTTCCAGGGGATAAGCATTTATCTGAATTCTTGCATTTTAAATTCTTAGCTATAGGACAGATGATTTTGATCTGGTTAAGGATGGTGGGTACTTGGCAGAAAGCAAACAGGAAAATGGGACTTTGGTTGTGCTGAAGACGGGCCTGCGGTGAACACTGTGAACGTGCAGATCGCCTTCTCCGGTTTGACAGAGGCATGCTGGGCCATCATGCTCCAACAGGGCCTGCTATCAACCTGTTTATAGACTCTGCCCTGGGATAGCACCCGGCCTATAAATAGTAGCAAGGCCTTTGTCCCTCAGCTTTCTCTGCTCTTTGTCATGATTTTCTCCTCTTCAAGAAAGAAATTAAATCTGTGTTAAAACAGTCTGTTGTCCTGTAGAGGGCCTCAGATGGTGGGCTTTATTCAAGAATAGCCCTGCCCAGCAGCAACAGAATGCAAGCCACATTACAATGAGTAAAAAGAAGCATGAGAGATTAATTTTAATAGTATCCTTTATTTACCTGAATAAATCTGAATCGTTAACATTTCAACGTATAATCAACCTGAAGTTATTAATTTTGCATTCTTATTTGATGCTAAGTTGTAGAAGTCCAGTGTGTTTTTTGTGCTTACAGCACGACACAGTTTGGGCCCCATTTCAAGGTCCAGTAGCCACAGGCGGCCAGCGGTCTCCACGCTGGACAATGGGCTGTAGATTGTCACTAAAACAGGTGTCCCTGCCCGTTCCCATCCCCCTCTGAGCCACCGTTTCTTGGTCTGAAACGTGCAGGCTCTGCCTCCGAGGCTTCTTCCGGCTGTAAAGATCTGCGATTCCGCGGTGCACGCATGGTTCTGGCCCATCTTCCAGATTGTCTGGTTGAACTCTGTCCAGAGAAAGGCAAATAAAGTAACTTGGCTGAAGCCATGCTGAGAGTCTGTCCTGGGAAATGCTGATGCGGCCCAGGAGATGTGGATGGAGGAGGCAGCCAGTCTGCCACGGCAGAAGCAGCAGCGTGGCCATGGGAGGTCCTTCTTCCAGTGAAAGTTCTGAGTTAGGAAAGGTAGTCCTGAGGAGAGACAGGCTTTTAGGGTTGCCCTCCTCACCTCCAAGTTCCAAATTGTCCAGCTTCCTGTTTTCATGGGATATTAGAAATGCAGATTTATATAAAATATTCCACTTTCTTAAAAGTTTGCAAACAATACATTAAAAAAAAAAGATTTTGAGGGAGCCTGGAGCCATCTGATGGCTCTCTGCACGGTAGCTGGACCCTAGCTTAACCTGAGATTGGCGACGCCTCCTGGAACACCCTCACCCAAAGGCAGGTCAGCACATTTACACTATTCACAGGGGCTCCCCCTCAGTGGGCAGTCCGTGTGTGAGTCATATCGGGCGCTAGGGGCCGCAGGTCCCAGGCAGTCACTCAGCCCCACGCCAGCTTGAGCGGGTTCATATGCAGGCCCGAGAGCCCCTCGCAGGCAGCGTTGGTTGGGAAACTTGTCACTCGGCTTTCTTGCAGCGACAAGGTGTCTACCTGGACATCTCATATTGAAGGCTCTTATTTCCAGTGTCAGCTCTGTAGGAAAAATATCTGTATCTGATCTGTTTTACCTTTTTGACTTGCACGAAGTACTTGGTAACAAGACACTGCCCTTCAGGAGAGAAGCAGCAGCATGCCGGGGCCTCAGCCTGGCCACTCTTTTGTTTTTCTGTACTCTTTGAAATATGCGTGGCTCAAATGCCAGGGATGTAAATAGAAGTAAGTTACCAGAATAAAGATGCTATCAGCGATGTGAACCGGAATCTACAGGCTGAGGCTGAGGCAGGCGTCTGATTAGATGGGCTGAGTGACTCCACGAGACAACAGTGTGCATTTGCACCTGACGCCAGGTGAGATGAGATACTGAGGGTCTGTTACAGCCACTTTTAAATCCATACGATTAAGAAATTTGTGTGAAAGAGTGCCAGAAATGAGGTGAAAAAAATCTAGCTTCCAATTCCAATGAGGTAATTTGTGTAAGTCTGATTTGGAAATGTTTCTCTTTATTACATGTTGAATCTAAAAAAAAAACAAAAACAAAAAAACACGTAAATCCAGACAGAAACCAATTTCAATTCTAAGCTCTCTTACGGGATTCTCTTTGTAAGCTTAGGAGTTATTTGGAGCTGTATGACTTAACATCGATGCATCACTAAGACAAGCTTTCTCTTGCCGATATGTGTATGAGGCACTCCCGGCCTCAGAGCCGAGATCCAGCCCTGTTTCCATGGCCCATGCCAACTCGCAGGTGGAAGGCACAGGTCCCTGAGGGGGCTTTGTCCAGGCTTCCTGCCTAGGCACAGGCTGGATAGGAACTTTCGTGTGACTTTATATCATTCTTACACCCGCGTCTGGAGGGGTGTGACCTCCTCTGGGGAGAAGCAGAGGTGGTCTCTATGTGTTCTGGGAGCTCACTGTTCTGAGACATCCTTCAGAGGCGCATGGCTGAAATGGATCTGACTGTGAATGTCAGCTTAGACCAGGCCATGGAAAGTGCTAGGCTTAAAAACTAACTTTTCTTTGATTTTTTTTAAAACAATGGATGCTGAACTAATTTCGATCTACATGTCAGGAACTATGGAGGGTTTGAGGTCATTCCCCACTTGCAGGCTAACAACGTCGCCTGCCACAGTTTTGCAGATGCTGCAGAAGACGTGAGATGCTGGGCCAGAGACAAGAGACTTGCTGTTCACAGCACAGCAGGCATCATGAGCTGCGTGTGCGCACGGGTTCCCTCTGCTTCTCAAGCCCCCCAGGAGCAGTGGGAGCGGCCCCCTCCGATGCAGTGCATTTGTGTTGTAGCTGAGGAGAACTGGCTTAGGAAACCCCCAGTGTCAAAAGGAGGCTGCTGGCAAATCCCCAGCCTTTGTTACAGAGAGAGATGGTATTGTAATTATCTTAATTATCGAACTCTCCTAGGTTGTTTGCTATACAAACATCCTCAGAAAGAAGGATGACTTATGTCAGAGAAACATATTCTCTATCATACTTGGGGGAATGAACTCCTAAAGCAAGGACTGGTGGCTGCTGAGTAGGATGGAAATGTGCTTCCTTTCCTGTCCCACAGCATCCTGTGACTTTCGTGATCATAACTCACTGTGTGATTTCTTGGTCCTTCTCCTCCAGTGCCCAGAGGAGATGGCATCATGTTTCTGCTGCTTCTCCCAAGTCTCACACAGAACTTAGCATCTAGAGAGATATTTTAAAAGCTTTTGCTGAACAAATTAATGAAAATTCTCACAGTAGAAATTAAGTGATATACATATATATATCTAATATGCACATAGAAAAATTCTGTTCAAAAATGTATATAATGGGAAATGTCTCTACAGACTTCACTGCTGCCAGCCCCAAGTTGCCCCTGGAGAGTTGGGGTGCGCACACGTCCACACGTGGGTAGACCCCGCTTTTCCTTCCAGACACGTGGAAGCTGGCATACTCTTCACACATGTGCTCGGCATCTTGCTTTTCTTTTCTGTTTTGTATTTCAGTGTAACAATGTATTTGGCAACTGTTTTGCATTTGTTCTTATATTCTCTTTAAGAGCTGCTATAGTATTCTAATGTGTTTCTTTAGTCTCTCCCAGGTCCATGGACTTTTAGGTAGCCGACAGTATTTTGCTACTACAAACAATGTTCTAGTGACCGTTTTGTTGGTGGGAATAAAATATTTCACCAGCATTTGAGGGTTAACTTCAAGCCACTCATATAAAATGGGAATCACCATCTCCTATGACCAAATGACACTATTTTAGCCCACTTTCTCATTCCTGTGTCGGTTGTGTCATGTGGGATATGGTTAATCACAACCCATTTTACACCTAACCCCTTCTTGCTTGTTTCTCTTTGTCAGAGGAAACCAGACAGTGTCCACAAATGGGTTCTTGCTCACAGCGTCATGTGGGCACTGACCCTCCTCGGAGGGTCCAAGGCCCTGTGTGGCTGCAGCATTCCACCTCGCTCTGTGGTCTCGGCTCAGCTGCCCTGCGATGCTGCCCTCTGCTGCGGGAGCTGGAGCTCTGGTGGGAGCTCGCTGTTCGTGGTCCTCAGCAGATATTCAAGGCAGACCTGTTCTAAGAAACTAAATGAATAATCACTGTGTTATGCTCCAGAAGGTCTGAACCGAGCAGTTTTGGCATCCACGGCAGAGAGCAGAGAAGTAGGTTCCTCTGATGTCAATATTGATGGTGTAGACGTCAGTTGTATCTTAAAAGGTGCCTATATCTTTCCTTTTCATTTTCTTTCTGATATAAGTAGGTCCTTGTTCTAGTCCAAATAACTTTTTGGACTGATGAGATAAACAGCCTGGTCACTTTTTTCTTTTGGATCTTTTTGACTAGATTTCTTCCATTTTCTAAACTCTTTAAGGTCATTTCCTCGTCTTGGATATTTAAATAATTAATAACTGTTTATTGGTTGGGACAGTCTTAAAGTAATGTCTTTATGCCTGGTGCAATGGGCTCATGCCTGTAACCCCAGCACTTTGGGAGATCGAGGCAGGAGGGTAACTTGAAGGCAGGAGTTCAAGACAAGCCTGATTAACATAGCAAGACACCAAAAAAACTTTTTAACTTAACCTGGTGTGGTGACACACACCTATAGTCCCAGCTTCTCAGGAGGCTGAGGCAGGAGGATTGCTTGAGCCCAGTTCAAGGCTGCAGTGAGCCATGATGGCACCACTGCACTCCAGCCTGGACAACACAGACAACAGAGCAAGAAGCTGTCTCTATTTTTTTTTAAAGTAATGTCTTTATATTTACTTTTTATAGGAAACAAATCTCACTGAATTAATTTTTACCCTGAATAAAATGCTTAAGAATCATAAAGGGAATTATGGTTGAGAAGTCAGTTTCTGGCAGGTGAAGGAGTGGGCCACTCAGAAGTGCACTAATGGCTTCTCCTGTCTGGGAAGAACGGAGCTGTTGCCTGGGTGACCACAGTGGGTCACAGGAAGCCATTCAGGGTGGGCGGCCGGCCCCTTGAGGTGAGCTGCTGCTGATGGGGTCAGAGTCAGCTTCCTCCCCACCCCTCCTGCTGAGGTCAGGGCTCAGTCTGGTGCTGGTGACCCCAGACACAGCAAGCTCCCACCAGTCGATGGCCTCTCCTGGTGCATACCTCTCTGCCTTCTCCACTCCCCTCCCTTGATCTCTGTCTCCTCCATCCTTGGGCTCTCACACCTGCCTCCTCCTCCCCAGGTATGCCTGGGTGTCCTCAGAACCTGGCTGCTTCCTGTCCTGCTGGTGGGGGTTGGTGACGAGTGGCGGCTGCTTCTCCACATGGCCACAGCAGTAACAATTCCTGCTGGCCTCATTTTTTATGATTTTATATTTATATACCCATTTCACATTCTTTACTTATGAGCCATGGTTTTTACAGCATGTTGTCTGTCGGGGCCTCCTCCTTTTCCTGGGCTCAGCCTGTTCTTCCACAAGGACTGTGTTGACGCGGGGGTTCTTGAGAGGCTCAGAGACCTGGGTCAGTGGAAACGAAACCCACAGCCAGCATGCAGCTCACCACACACACAGCTCCTCAGTGTGTGGCCAGTGACCTCTCAGCTTCTTCCGGGGCAGCAGTGGTTGTCTTGGGTACATGGCCACTGTGGATGGACACTAATGTGCGCTTTCATGCAACCTGTCAGATTCTTGGTGGCTTCGACTCTCACATGTTTTTGATTTGCTATGGTTTGAATATTTATCCCCTTCAATACTTAGGTTAAAACAATCCTCAATGTAGTAGTATTGAGAGACGGGCCTTGAAGAGGTGATTGGGTCATGAAAGCTCTGCCCTCGTAAGTGGGTTAATCCGTTAATAGATTAGTGGGTTTTCAAGGGATAGGTTTTATAAGAAGAAGAGAGACCTGGGCCAACACGCTCAGCCCCCTCACTACACGATGGCCTGTGCCACCTGGGAACCCTGAAAAGTCCCCGCCAGCAAGAAAGCCATTGTGGCCACTCGACCCTGGATTTATCCAGCCTCATAACTGTGAGAAATAAATGCCTTTCCTTTATAATTTACCCAGTTTCCGGTATGTTGTTATAAGCAACAGAGGCAAACTTAGACACATGAGCAGACTGCAGCTCTTCCTGAAGGGGACTTGGGACTCGAACCTCTTTGGTCACAAAGCTTTGTAGAGTTTTCTGGGTCAGCACCCAGTCCTGTGATTCCCTGAAGGCTTCATGGCCAGGACCTGTGTGTTTGAGGGTTGCCTCGTGTCGTGGGATGAGTGGAAATTAAACCGTCCGGCTGACATTTGCTGATGCGTTGGCTGATCCTCTCATTTATTTATTTTTTCTGAGATGGAGTTTCACTCTGTCGCCCAGGCTGGAGTGCAATAGCATGATCTCAACTCACTGCAACCTCCGCCTCCTGGGTTCAAGCAGTTCTCTTGCCTCAGCCTCCTGAGTAGCTGGGATTACAGGCGCCTGTCACCACGCCCAGCTAATTTTTGTATTTTTAGTAGAGATGGGGTTTCACCATGTTGGCCAGGCTGGTCTCGAACTCCTGACCTCAGGTGATCCACCCGTCTTGGCCTCCCAAAGTGCTGGGATTACAGGCGTGAGCCACTGTGCCCGGCCTCCTCCCATTTATTAACATTTTTCAGCAGGTTTTTATGGAACAGATACCAGATTGTAATAAAGAACTTTCCTTTTTAAATATTATTTTTATTTTATTTATTTTTTGAAACGGAGCCTCACGCACTCTGTCACCCAGATTGGAGTGCAGGGGTGCGATCTGGGCTCACTGCAACCTTTGCCTCCTGGGTTGAAGCAATTCTCCTGCCTCAGCCTCCCGAGTAGCTGGGATTACTGGCATGTGCCACCATGCCCAACTAATTTTTTGGATTTTTGGTAGAGACAGGGTTTCACTATGTTGGCCAGGCTGGTCTTGAACTCCTCAAGTGATCCGCCTGCCTTGGCCTCCCACAGTGCTGAGATTACAGGCGCGAGCCCCTGTAGCCGGCCCTTTTTTAATGTTAAAGACTCACTTTTCTTAACTAATCAAAGACTAGAGACAGCATGAAGCTTAATAAGTTATCCTGATAAAACACAAAATCATTGTTTTCTAGGCCAATTACTTAAAATGTTAAAAAAAAAAAAAAAAAAAAAAAAAACTTTTGTAATTAAGAGAAGACCAATATTCAAGAAAATATTGTCCTATTGGCCAGGCGCGGTGACTCATTCCTGTAATCCCAGCACTTTGGGAGGCTGAGGCAGGCAGATCATGAGGTCAGGAGATCAAGACCATCCTGGCTAACACGGTGAGACCCCGTCTCTACTAAATATACAAAAAATTAGCCGGGCGTGGTGGCGGGCGCCTCTAGTCCCAGCTACTCAGGAGGCTGAGGCGGGAGAATGGCGTGAACCCAGGAGGCAGAGCTTGCAGTGAGCCGAGATGGCCCCACTGTACTCCAGCCTGGGTGACAGAGCAAGACTCCGTCTCAAAAAAAAAAAAGAAAGAAAATATTGCACTATTAATAGAAAACAAACTCACTTTGTGTCAGTACTTGAAGCTTTTTTTAACAAAAACTTATAAATAAAATCATTCTAATGTTAGTAGTTTGACCACACATAAAATTTCTTTTGTCAGACTTTCTACAACTGTGTATACCCACTCAGTTTTTTTCTTACTCATTTTCTTCTTTTTTATTCTGGAACAATCAGTCATCTTGCTTTAAGTTAAAAGTACTCTCTTTTTCCTTAAACACAGACCTCATATACTTTTCCTTATTAAAAACACATCATACTTTCTCTGTTTTTTTCATATACAGTTGTTTGCTTTCATCTTTATTTCCAGTGATTTTAATTACACATGTTAATTCAAATTCTTAATCCTTAGTGACACTGATATGCACTGTGAATTAGGAAGTACATGATATCATAGTTATTAAATGGCATGTACTTTCTCAGCACAGGACACACTTACTGGCAGACCTAGGTAGCTCCAGTTCCTCTAGAATAAGCCAAAAATACTTGAGCTTAAACTTCTTTTTAGGAATTAGTGTTTTAGTAGTTTATCTTATTTGGGCATGATCTAGATATGTAGTAAATATCATTTAATTTAACTTAGTATAATTTCAGAGTTTCAAGTTTTCAAAAATATTTTGGAAACTGTTTTTAAACAGACGGATAATATCAAACTACCTGTCATCTCAGGTTATTTTTCTTGTTGACAAATTTTTTAACAGGAATAATGAGCTTATTTGACTAGCTCAGCTAGGTAGAATGTCCATTTCTACTACATCATCGACATTCTTATTTATTAAAGATTACTCAAGTTAGATGAACTTGAAAACCATTGGGTTAGTTCCTTTTTTCTCACAAAATATTTAATTTTTACAAGCACCTAATTTTCTTTAGGCAAATAAAATAGATCTCGTTTATATGTTATCTCTAATAATAACATCAGAAGGTAGGGTAATATGAGATATAAATAACATACATACATATAGACGTACATAACCAAACAGACAGAAGCAGAGATTCCTGGCCTCTGTTCTCAAATTGTAGCCCTGTGCCAGGAACGATAATATAAAACTCACTGGTCGGTCCAAATTGTGTTCTTGGCAGATAAAGTTACCTGTTCGGATGGCCAAAGTCTTTTGTTAATACATATGGAAAGGACTTTACGATTTTCCATTTGCCAGTTTTTTTCTACAGTGTTCCCATTTTTTCTCCCTTCTGATGCGTCATTTCCCAGATGCCTGCATTTTAAAGATTTCGGTATCTCTAAGGCAGGGAGAAAGGACATTAAGTTTTCTCCAGAAAGGAGCTGTGGGCATAGTTGCCTGTTGTCCGGGGTCAGCTTTATTGGGACCGTGGGCCGTGTTTAGGGGGTGGCCAGGAGACACTGGTGTGTTGACGAGTCCTTCTCCTCTTCAGCCTCAGGTGGCTGCTTTTGTAATAGCTCAGGGTTGTGTGCAAGAGGCCAAAATCTGAGTTAGTTGTTGCAGATGCCCCAGGCTCAGTGGAGGATTTAATTTGTAAGGAAGTTGGTTTTCAGAATCTTCTTATGGAAAAGGCAAGAAATCAAAATAGCGTTTTGTTTGAGTGTTGTAGAGATTCCTTTAGGGAGGCTGCATTTTTGGAATCATTCTGTCTGAAATCAATCTGTATGCCAATCATTCTGTCTAAAATCAATCGGTATGCCAATCATTCTGTCTGAAATCAATCTGTATGCCAATCATTCTGTCTGAAATCAATCTGTATGCCAATCATTCTGTCTGAAATCAATCTGTATGCCAATCATTCTGTCTAAAATCAATCGGTATGCCAATCATTCTGTCTCAAATCAATCGGTATGCCAATCATTCTGTCTGAAATCAGTCTGTATGCCAATCATTCTGTCTGAAATCAGTCTGTATGCCAATCAAAAAATATATTGCGTGGTTTGCAGATACTCACGATTCCTTGTTCTTGAATGAGCCCGTCCGTGAATGATTTCATGTGGAATAAACTTCCCACTGTGGCCACTGTGACTCGGAGTCATCCCCCTGAGCTGCACCCATTTCTCCAGAAAGGCACGGGCTCTGGGTCTGTAGTTTCTGAACATATAATTAGCTGGAGTTCCAGATGGGGTGTCCCAGACTCCATGGATTCTGATGAACCCATAATTCCCTGTTTTTCTCACATTTTTCTTACCTGAGGCCTCCGACTGGATCCAGGCCAGTTCCTGTAGAACACCCAGTTTCACTCTGGATCCCAGTCCAGGTTCCAGTGCAGTCCCTGTCAGACCCAGGCTGAGCTCTGGAATAAAAACTGCTCCCATGGAGTCGGAGAGCTCAGGGTGCAAGTTGTGGAGCTCGACCTCCTAGAGGGGCTTCCCCTGTGGCCACCAAATGCAGCAAGACAGCAGTGGGTGCAGTGGCCCGGGGGCTGCCCGCGCCTGGTTACTCGCTGCTCCTGGGGATCTCACTTCTGACGAGACTGTCAAAAAGGTAAACTGAGGCACAGTGCTGTGTTTAAAGAGTTCATTTGAGCAAGCAACAATTCATGAACCAGGCAGCTCCAAACCAGAGGTGGTTCAGGAACTCCCCTGAAGGAATGTGAGGGGGAGGCTTTTATAGACGACACAGAAGTAAAGCAAAGAATGTTGGCTTGGTTACACTTGCACAGCTGCCTTATTTGTTCTGTCCCATTGGAAAGTCCCTCGTTGATACGATTATTAAAGTTTGTTGGCTACATCTGGTTGTTGAGCTTAAATCCTACTCTTCTTTAAAATGGGAATTTACAAGAAATGGCTCAGGTTAAGTGTCGCTTATGTCTGCAAATCAGTCAAGGTTGAGGTAATTTGAGACCTGACTGGTTGTGTCTGCTCAGGAATTTTTCAGGTGTTGTCTCCATTTTAACTTTGAGAAGCTTAAGCCACCTCTGGTGATAACCAAAATCAGTGACTTAGGCATGGATTTCAATGAAGGTTTCAAGAGGTTTATTAAGCCAGTCTTACAGCAGATTCAGAAAAAATGTGAGTCACAGACACACCTGTGACTATCTTTTCTGAAGAGGTCTTCAGGAGGGTTAGTGTTTATACTTGCCCTTAAAGCAGCAAAGTCCTGTGGGGAGAGGGGCGAGGAGGTAGTAAGGCAAATGGCCACATGCTGAGACTTTAGTTGGTACCCAGTAAATCTGCGTTTTACATCAGACCAGATGAACTTTTGAAGAAAGAAAGGGGATAAAGGAAGCATCAGTTTTGCAGGTATTTCTGGGTAGGTAGAGGAAATGGCTGATCTCATCTTGTCATTCTGCACCTGGGAAGACAAGCTTGTAATTGACATGATCAGTGTGAAATGAACTGGGCCTCCATCCTTAACTTTTCCTTTGGCATAAAGAGTTTGGGGGTCCTGAGAGTTTTCTGTTTGCCTTTACACAGGAGATAAGGTTTTCCATTTGTTCACCATCCACTTTGTGAAATCAGCATTTTCTCTTCTCTGGTCTGTCGATTCTTTGAAGTTTGACAGCAGGGCCCCGTGTTCTTCTTTCTAAGATTTGATGACCCCTCCTCGTTCCACTGGCTAGAGTCTCCCCTATCACACCCCTGGCACAGACCACCCCATTATCTACGTTTCTGCATGTAGATGAACTGGGCGGAGGCAGCGCATTCTGTCTGGAAGAGGAGACTGCCATGCTGGGCCTTGGATGCCATGTCCAGAGCACGCTCAGATGTCTGCAGCTGCTTGAGTATCCTGCCGTTTGTAGTGCTTCTGTGGCTCAGAATTAACAGTTAATTTCAAGGCAACCTTCCTCCCATCCCAGGAGATTATTAACAGAGCTTTTCAAAGGATCTGTAACTTACCTGTAACTCTTTCCTTGCCAGTGAAGAATGTAACCACCTGATGGGTTCTTCCTGCCCATGGCACAAACGAAATCAATACACAGCATTTCAGTAAAGAAAGAATTTAATTGACGTGATGCCGGCCACGCCATGTGGGAGACCGAGTTGTTACTCAAATCACCTCATCAAAGGCTCAGAGGCTAGGGTTTTTCAAAGGTAGTTTGGGGATTGGGGGGTGCTAGGCAGTAGTGCTTGCTGCTGATTGGCTGGGGTGCCGTCACAGGGGTGTGGGAAATGGTCCTCAGTGGGCTGAATCACTTCTGGGTGGGGCTACAGGAGTGGTTGGCCGGTCCAGGTGGAGCCATGGTGTCAGACATGCAGAACCCTGAAAAGATATCTCAAAAGGCCAATCTTAGGTTCCATAATAGTGATGTCATCTGCAGGGGTAACTGGGGAAGTTGCATATCTTGTGACTTCCAGAATAATGGCTGCCAATCATTTATATCTGTGCCTTAGCAGAATTCAGCCTCCTCTCCTCTCCCTAGCCCGGTGGTCTCTCATTAGCTTTACAAAGATGGCTGAGTTTGGGGGAAGGGCTCTTATCACTTAAACCATAACCTAAAAGTCTCTCGAAGTTAGCTTGACCTAAGCCCAGGAATAATTGAGGGCATCTAAAGTCAAGATGGGGTATGGTTAAATCAGGTCTCTTTCACAGCCATCATTTTCTCACTGTTATAATTTTTGTGAAGGTAGTTTCAAGAGGGGAGGACAGAGGCCAATTTGAGGGGACAGAGTGTGAAGCTGGTCACCTGGCCCTGTCCCCCCCAGAGGCCAGTTTGAGGGAACAGAGTGTGAAACTGGTCACCTGGCCCTGTCCCCGCCAGAGGCCAGTTTGAGGGAACAGAGTGTGAAGCTGGTCACCTGGCCCTGTCCCCCCAGCCCTGTCCCCCCCAGAGGCCAGTTTGAGGGAACAGAGTGTGAAGCTGGTCACCTGACCCTGTCCCCCTCAGAGGCCAGTTTGAGGGAACAGAGTGTGAAGCTGGTCACCTGGCCCTGTCCCCCCCAGAGGCCAGTTTGAGGGAACAGAGTGTGAAGCTGGTCACCTGGCCCTGTCCCCGCCAGAGGCCAGTTTGAGGGAACAGAGTGTGAAGCTGGTCACCTGACCCTGTCCCCCCCAGAGGCCAGTTTGAGGGAACAGAGTGTGAAGCTGGTCACCTGGCCCTGTCCCCCCCAGAGGCCAGTTTGAGAGAACAGAGTGTGAAGCTGGTCACCTGACCCTGTCCCCCCCAGAGGCCAGTTTGAGGGAACAGAGTGTGAAGCTGGTCACCTGGCCCTGTCCCCGCCAGAGTCCAGTTTGAGGGAACAGAGTGTGAAGCTGGTCACCTGGCCCTGTCCCCGCCAGAGGCCAGTTTGAGGGAACAGAGTGTGAAGCTGGTCACCTGGCCCTGTCCCCGCCAGAGGCCAGTTTGAGGGAGCAGAGTGTGAAGCTGGTCACCTGGCCCTGTCCCCACCAGAGTCCAGTTTGAGGGAACAGAGTGTGAAGCTGGTCACCTGGCCCTGTCCCCCCAGCCCTGTCCCCCCCAGAGGCCAGTTTGAGGGAACAGAGTGTGAAGCTGGTCACCTGGCCCTGTCCCCACCAGAGTCCAGTTTGAGGGAACAGAGTGTGAAGCTGGTCACCTGGCCCTGTCCCCCCAGCCCTGTCCCCCCCAGAGGCCAGTTTGAGGGAACAGAGTGTGAAGCTGCTCACCTGGCCCTGACCCCCCAGGCGGGTGGTGACGGGTTCTTCTTACAGCTGCAGACGTGCGTGCCATTGCCCCCAAGACCACGTCTCCTGGCACCAAAATGTGCTGTGGGAGCTCACAGGAGGGAGGGGGTGCATTTACACTGGCGCTCGGGCTGGCTTTGCCCTGGAGCTTGAAGGGTGGTGGGCTTTGGTGTGCAGCAGATGGAAGAAGCCTGTGTCAGGACTGAGCTCAGCCGCAGGGAGGGAAGGAGGGAGCAGTTGAGGGAGAAGAGCAGTTAGCGTGCCCAACCTGCAGAGCTGAGACCACTGAAGGCTCCTGAGAAGTGGGGTTCGCATGTGAGCTGTGTTTCAGGAAGGTCCATGGAGCCGTCATTTCTGGAAGGAATTAGGGCATTCCTGGAAATGAGGAAACTCATTGATCGAGTTCCTCCAGGTGGGAGATGGAGATGCCCTCGTGGTAAGTGTGGGAAGGGCAGGACCCAGGCTTCAGGATGGCAGTGGATGCTCCTCCTGAAATTTCATGGAGAGCAAAGAAGGCAGGGTCAGAGGCGAGGAAAGTGCCTCTGGTAGGGACTGCCAAAGCTGCTGGAGGGAGGGTGAAGGGGTCCCAGCACACAGGTGGGAGGCCCAAGGCAGGAGGGGAGTGGCCAGGGGGGCCCAGAGGTTTTTACACACAGTTGTTAGGACCTCAGTCATCTGAGGGGCATAAGGTGTGTCCTGGTGCCAGCAGGCACCTGGGGGCACAAGGAGACCACTGCAGGCTCAGAACTGCTCCAGGGTGGTCAGGGGTTGGAGGAGGATGGGGCTGTGAGATCATGAGAGCTGGGTCCCAAGGTATGGATGGGGCAGACATCCCAGGGCCCAGCAGCTGTTCCACACCATGGCCGGCCGTTCTGTGGACCCTGGGCACAGCTGCTGGCCCTGACTAAGCTGGGGTGGTGTCCCCCCACCCCCGTCACATCCCTCAGGGGCAGAGGCAGCAGGAGCCTGAAGGAGAGACCACTACCAGGTGTCCTCACCTGGCTCCATTCCTGCCGAGACCCACGGTCAGGCCCTGCTGCAAGGTGGGGGGAGCGGTGGTTTGTCCTGGCGCTGTGGATGTATGTTCTGGGATGATCCAGGAAGAGACACAAGTCCCAATCATAAATCTATGGAAGATTGTCCTTGGAATAGCACGGCAGGACTCCCCGTGCCTTGAGGCCTTGAATGTTCACCCTCTCCAAGGCCTCGCGTGGCCCCAGCCCTAAGCCCCTGCGGCCCCAGCAGCATCCGAGCCGTGGCAGGAGTTTGGGAAAAGGGTTTGAGAATATTTGACGTGGAAGGAAGCACTGGCTGTCCATGAAGGTAATAACAGCAAACATCTGGAAGAGGAAGAGTCAGGTATTTTGCAGATGAATTAGCACACATCCATTTTCCTGATGCCCACATGCGTTTACATGCCAAAGCTGAGGGCCCCGAGGACCCTGCAGGTGTGGAAGAGACTCCCACCTCTGAGGCATTTGCAATGATGCCTTCTCTTTAGGCAGAGATGGCTGGTCAGGGATCCCAACCACATGTATTGGACTGACTCAGGCTCAATTTGGAGCATACTTGGATGTTTGGGTTGTTTTGGATTCAGCACATTCTTAAAAATTCATAGGTTCTATCTGGACCTATAAACGTTACTTTGAAAAATCCTCTTGTTCATTTAATAGTTTTGGTTATTTCTGGATTTGGAGTTGTGGGTTTAATGTTTGTTCAGGTACCAGAATGTGGCCCCCGCCTGTGGAATCCACCTGAACCCCAACCCAGAATCAAACCGCTGTTTCTGAAATTCAGAATTCTGCTGTGATCCAGTTTCCAGGTGCCTCCTAAGGGCGGTGTCCCAGGAGATGGCGTTTCCCAACAGTCCGTAGTTCACCATCAGGCTGTTGAGGGTGGGATGCATGCAGCGCACTAATTAGACAGAATGTCAGCGTATCTGAGTCATCTGAAGAAAATCCGGCTTGCTGTAAAGTATCCTCTGCAGCATTCTAAACACGTTTGGAGACCGCGCTCTGCTGTGGGGCATTGTCTCCTCCTGTCTTAGCTGTTTCTCTTAGGGACCAGGAGGGGACTCTTGCCAGCCAGGGGGATGTTAGGAGCCAATCTCCACCTCAAGGCTGTGTTTGCAGGGTTAAGCTTTGCTGTCCTTTCTGGCAAGAAAAGCCCTGGTCAGGTAGCCCTGGACAGTGGCAGGTGATCCTGCCCATAGTACAGTGCGTGGCAGTGCAGGAGATGCTCAGTAAACGTTTGCTGGAGAAACGAATGCTCATTACTGCCAAGTAGAAGAAACTTGTCTGAAAACCATGCTGAATCATCAAGAGCAGCCTGATGGTTGGACGGTGTCTTGCCTGGTTTCTGCCTCTGTGGACAGTAGGGTCACTGTGGCGCCCAGAGCCCCTTCTCTGATTATCTCTGCAGTTAGTCCCTCAGCTCTCGGCTGCAGCTAAGGCCCTTCCCAGCATGTGGCCGTCTCACACCTCCGCCTGTTGTCTCCTGAGAAGAGCACATTCTCATTTCTGTACTCCGTGCATTCCAGGGCATGCTCCTTCTATTAGTTTTGACAGGTAATTGCTTTGTGTATTTCCCTCCGAAGGCTCTTTCCTCTCTGTTTCTGCCAAAAGCAATTATTGTCATCGTTCTTAATTGCAGCATTTCTAAAATGGCATTTGGCATATCATACCCAGCTTGGCGAATGCATAGATGTAGCTCTCCTCATATCACTTGCAAATATTTTAAGAACAAATGATGTAAACATGCATCCTCAGAACAAAAAGAAGACAGAAGCCTTCATTTGGTAGATTTGTATAATCACTGTTTGTGTTAGAATTACTGAGATTCTGTAGGAGTGAGAGTAACAAGATATTTTGTAATTGGCCACCTGAAAAGGCAGCATTCAAAAATGTCACTGACAGGGAGATTTCAGGAGTCTGGCAGTGTGGGCCACCGTTTCAGCATCTCCAGATGCAGGGAAGGTTTGTTTACGAGAGCCCCCAAGTTCACATTCCACAGGGTTGTGAAATCTGGACCTGGATGGTGTCGCATCCAGCTTCCTGCATTGTTTCATCAGCTTCATTCTGGAGCTTTGTTTAACCATAAACACTAAGACAAGAAGGTCCTGGAATGCAGCTACTAGAACACCGAGGGTCTCTGTACGACTGCTCCCTGAAGGGGTAGGCAGGGACGCTGGCAGTGGCTTCGAGGAAATGTCCACCCACCTCTCAACTATGAGCCCCTGAGCTCTGGAGATGGACACCGTGGGGCCCTTGCTCTGCATGGTCAGCTGGGTGGCTGGGAAATGATGGCCCTGAGTGTCCAGGCTGACACCAGGTGTCCAGGAATGGTGTTATTTTGAAGGGTCTCTGAGCAGAAAGTCAAAGTAAGGCAGGGATGGAAATCATGCTAAACTGCTGCCAATCATAACTGCAGCAGCCCCTTGAAGGCTCCAGAAAGCAGAACTAGGGCTGGGGGTAGAAATCACAAGTAGCCAGATTCTGGCCCTAGGACATACCGGAGAATTTTCTGGTGAACTAAGGTGGACAGCTGCTGCAGGAGGTGCTGACTTCCCAGACTCTGAGAGTAACCAGAGGGTTGGGCTGCCCTGGACCAGCTCTGTGGCCTTTCCAGTCCTGGGCACCCACTGGTCCAGTCTAAAGTGAGGAAGGAACCACAGTTCCTTGTGTCCTCCTCACCCAGGGACCCTGTGGACTGGCCAAGAACATCTTACACTGCAGGAAAGACTGTGTCTTCCCTATAGGCATGGACGCCAACTGGATTTGCAAGGTCAGCAAGTAGGGGTCACTTTGTCTGGTCTGGGATGATTCAGGTCAGAGAAAATGTCCGTGGTTCACTGAGAACAAAGCAGTTTTAAAAAATGATTTTAGATGCCCTCTCTCACCACTCCTATTCAACATGCTATTGGAAGTCCTAGCCAGGGCAGTCAGGCAAGAGAAAAAAATAAAGCGCATCCAAATAGGAAGAGAGGAAGTCAACTTACCCCTTTTGCAGATGACATGATTCTATATCTAGAAAACCCTATAGTCTCAGCCGAAAAGCTCCTTCAGCTGATAAACAACTTCAGCAAAGTTTTAGGATACAAAATCCACGAACAGAAAACACTAGCATTTCTATATACCAACAACAGCCAAACTAGGAGCCAAATCAGGAAGGCAGCCCCATTCACAATTGCCACAAAAAGAATAAAATACTTTGAAATACAGCTAACCAGGGAGGTGAAAGATCTCTACAGTGAGAATTATAAAACACTGCTCAAAGAAATCAGAGGTGACACAAACAAATGGAAAAACATCCCCTGCTCATGGATAGGAAGAATCAATATCATTAAAATGGCCATACTGCCATATAGATTCAATGCTATTCCTATCAAACTACTAACAGTATTCTTCACAGAACTAGAAAAAAACTATTTTAAAATTCATATGGAACCAAGAAAGAGCCCACATAGCTAAGACAATCCTAAGCAAAAAGAAGAAAGCTGGAGGCATCGCATTACCGTACCTGAAACAATACTACGGGGCTACCATAACCAGAACAGCATGGTAGTGGTACAAAAACAGGCACATAGACCAATGGAGAATAGAGAACCCAGAAATAAGGCTGCACACCTATTATCATCTGATCTTCAACAAAGCTGACAAAAATAAGCAATAGGGAAAAGACTCCCTATTCAATTAAATGGTGCTGGGATAACTGGCTAGTCATATGTGGGAGATCGAAGCTGGACTCTTTCCTTACACATAAACAAAAATCAACTCAAGATGGTTAAAGACTTAAATGTAAAACCCCAAACTATAAAAGCCCTGGAAGACAACCTAGGCAATAGCATCCTGAACACAGGAATGGAAAAAGATTTCATAACAAAGACACCAAAAGCAATTGCAACAAAAGCAAAAATTGACAAATGGAGTCTAATTAAACTAAAGAGCTTCTGCACAGCAAAAGAAACTATCAACAGAGTAAACAGACAACCTACATAATGGGAGAAAACATTTGCAACTATGCACCTGACAAAGGTCTAATATCCAGCATCTATAAGGAACTCAAACGAATTTACAAGAGAAAAACAACCTATTAAAGAGTAGGCAGAGGACATGAACAGACATTTTTCAAAAGAAAACATACATGCAACCAACAAGCATATGGAAAAAAGGTCAACATCACTGAACATTAGAGAAATGCAAATCCATACCATTATGAGATACCATCTCACACCAGTCAGAATGGCTCTTGTTAAAAAGTAAAAAAATAACAGATGCTGGCAAGATTACAGAGAAAAGGGAATACATATACACTGTTGGAGGGAGTGTAAATTAGTTCAACCATTGTGGAAGACTGGCAATTCCTCAAAGACATAAAAACAGAACTACCATTTGACCCAGCAATCCCATTACTGGATATATACCAAGAGGAATATAAATCATTCTACCATAAAGACACATGCACATGAATGTTCATTGCAGCTCCATTCACAATAGCAAAGACATAGAATCAACCTTAATGCCTATCAGTAACAGACTGGATAAAGAAAATGTGGTACATATACACCATGGAATACTATGCAGCCATAAAAAAGAACCAGGTCATGTCTTTGGTGGGAATGTGGATGGAGCTAGAGACAGTTTCCTTAACAAACTAATGCAGGAACAGAAAACCAAATACTACACATTCTCACTTGTAAGTGGGAGCTAAATTATGAGAACTTATGAACACAAAGAAGGAAACAGACACTGAGGTTTTTTTTTCTTTCTTTTTTTTTTTTTTTTTTTTTTTTTTTACAGAGTCTTGCTCTGTCACCAGGCTGGAGTGCAGTGGGGCGACCTTGGCTCACTGCAACCTCTGCCTCCTGGGTTGAAGCGATTCTCCTGCCTCAGCCTCCCTAGTAGCTGGGACCACAGGTGCACGCCACCACGCCCAGCTAATTTTTGTATGTTTAGCAGAGACAGAGTTTCACCATGTTAGCCAGGATGGTCTCAATCTCTTGACCTCGTGATCTGCCCGCCTCGGCCTCCCAAAGTACTGGGATTGCAAGCGTGAGCTACTGCGCCCGGCCGACACTGGGTCTTCCCCCAGTTGGAGGGAGAGGAGCAGAAAAGATAACTACTGAATACTGGGTTTAATACCTGGGCAATGAAATAGTCTGCACAACAAGCTCCCATGACATGAGTTTACCTATATAACAAATCTGCACATGTACCCCAGAACCTAAAATAAAAGTTAAAAAAAAGATTTTCCCACCTCAACTGGTGAATCATTCCATCAAGCTGTTAGTCCTTTAAATTGATAATAGGCATAGAGGATCAATGGCTTTGATGGCCAAAATGAAGATAATTAGTTTTTCTACAAACTCTGTTACATCTGCATTTTAGAGCTCAGATGGAAACCTCCTTGCTCAGCAGCTGTCTTTCCAGAGAAGACACAAAGACTCACAGGTGTGCCCTGCACCTGTATGTGACCTGTGCTTTCACATTAGAGGCAGGGACTCAGAAACACAGTCAGCCAGCACCCTCCGGACCCACCCAGTGGCAGAAAGTGAGGTGAGAGCGTTCACTCTCCTTTGTTGCCAGGCCTGTTTTTATCCAGTTCAGTCTCTTCCTGGGAGACCAGGTGAGCTCCGCAGAAGCAAGAGAGCAGTGGCTCAGGAGATGACGTCCAGACCCCAAAGAGAGATTCCGATGGGAGCACACTTGCCCCTGGAGCCTCGTCTCTGCCACCAGCCAGGCACCACCTCAGTTCTGTTTGTGTAGCCTTTGGTGCATGACCTCGGGGTTCCTTTGAACTAGAATTTGATGCTAAAGGCTTGATTAGATTCGGGTCCAAGGCTTTTGGGAGGAAGACGTCTGGGGACACTGTGAGCCTGCTGGTGCATTTCCCAGTGCATGATCCTGCCACCCGTCATGTCCCTTGACCTCCTATTATGCTTTTTGTCACCTGGTTAGGAAGTGACCTCTAGAACTCCACGCATAAAAGCGTCTCTTTCCCTTCCCAGGGAGTTAAAGCGGGGCTGGAGAATCACCTGTGCGGTTGCTAGCACAGTGGTGTAAGCTCTGGTTCAACAACTTTTCACGTCTTGGCTTTTGTATCTGTCAATGATTCGTACCAATCAGTTGTCTTTGAAGGTTAAACCATGTTGACTTCTCCAATTCTAATCATTCTCCACACATTATTAATGAGCATTTGCAGTAAAGAAGGGCTTTTCTTCATTGACTGGGAAAGAACCACAATTCCTTTTAAAAGGACAGGATAAAAGTCCAAGCATTTTCGGCCTCTATTAAATACTGAATAACCAGATTTCCTATCAGACAATTATTTCATTGCCATTTGTTTATATCATAAATACTGTGGATATTGAAGATTACAAATGGGGCATTTAACTGTGTTATGATTGTACTGTGGAATATTATACAGCCATTAAAAATGATGGTGTTCTACATGAATAACATGAAAAATATGCATGATATATTAAGTGGGAAAGCAAGGAAGATTTCCATATGTATAATATCATATTTTTGTAAAAAGAAATCATACGTAACTTCTGTGTATCCCACGCACGGGTACCTAAGCATGTGTAACAGTGTGTCAAAATGAACTCCTGGGGTCTCAGATTCATTATGGCCCTAAGCAGGGAGGTCCTCTTCCCAAGCAAGTCCCTGACGTTGCTGGACTCAGAAGTGGTGTCCTGATAGTTACCTCTGCCCTTGGAATGTCATGTCTCTCCCCCATCCCCTGTGAAGGGAGAGGACTGGAAGGAAAACCTCGCCTAGTAAATGGAGCCCTGGGAGCCGACTCGTGCAGAGGGAGCTGGCCTGGGGCTGTGTTAGAGTCTGCCCCGCACGACGAGGAAGGAGGAATCAGAACAGCAGCATGGAGGGAGGGAGGGAGGGAGGGAGGTGACCACCCAGGTCTCCTGAGCAGGTCAGGAGCAGTCTCCCACCCTCCCCTCCAGCTCCTCACGCCCTGGGCATGGGAGGGAGACGCCTCCCCTCTTCCCATGCAGGTTTCTGCCCCAAAGGTTATTTAATATGTTTAGCTCCAAACTTTAATGTTTAAGTCCAAGCTTAAAAAGCAGGCAAGGGTGCTTTTTGCAGAGGGTCAGCCAGGAGGCGGCAAAGTAGGGCTGGACGGCCCCTGTTTAAGTCCAAGCTTAAATGTTAAAGTTTGGAGCCAAACATATTAAATAAGGAAACCAAATCATACCTTAGACTAGGATGGTTAGAAAATGCATTTTCAAAGAGTGGACAGAAATACTAGGGACAGAGGCACCTGCTCACAGAGGTGAGAAGCGACAAGGCCCAGCCTCTTACCCGTCATAAATAGGGTGCGGTGGGACACAGAGATGGAGCCCGCACAGCTGCACCTGCCACCCAGGCTGCACACTAGCCTGTTACTATGCAGTGGTGCCAACGTGAGGCCTTCACTCTTCTGCCTGTGCTGTGTTGTGTCGGAACATGTTCCCAGCGGGCAGAGATTACTTTCCTAATTTGAAAATTTACACCTGGAAAAATGCTTGGAATCTTGAAGACATACTGAAGTGAGGCATGTGTATTGTCACCTTAGATATGAAAAGTTCTAGGCTGTTTCCCATAAAAGAATCCTGGTGGCCCAGGGCAGCCTGGTGTGATGAGACTTGGTGGTGCCCCCTCTGTCCCTGCCTTCATGACCTGGGAGGGGTCCAGGTGTGGTGGGCAGCCCCTCCTTGGTGAGCACTCCAAGGGGGACCATCCGGCCCTGCTTTGCTGCCTCCTGGACGACCCTCTGCACCAGGCATCCTTGCCTGCTCTTCTCCCTGGTAGAAGGCTGCTCCTTATTTAAGAGACAGGTGAGGAGAATGACAAATACAGTGAGAAAAACACGAAATTTTTTTCCCATTCAGAGATGTTTAGTATGAGTCTGAACTGAACCAAAATACAGAACACAGGCACGGCTGTGTGGGCCGCGAGGACCCTCAGCAGGTGCAGAAAGCTCAGGAGGTGCCCCTGCAGAGGTGAGGGGCCCACGTTGGGAGATGCCACCAGGGACAAGCTCAGAGCTGAGGGTGGCCCCAGCACACTGTCCCCTCCCCAAGGGGGACAAGCATTTCTTCCGACCCCACCTACCAGGCTTTGTGCATCAAGGGGACAAGCATTTCTTCCGACCCCACCTACCAGGCTTTGTGCATCAAGGGGACAGGCGTTTCTTCCAACCCCACCTACCAGGCTTCGTGCATCAAGGGGGACAGGTGTTTCTTCCGACCCCACCTACCAGGCTTTGTGCATCCCTGGACAGCTCTGGGTAGGAAGGCCTTGCAAGGCTGCACTTCCCAGGCTGGGCCCTCTTGGCCTTCAGCCCACCTGACCCCACCCTGGAGGATGCTGTGTGGAGGCTGGGGAGCAGAGGTTAGGGCATGGCTGGGCACCCACTGGCTGCTTCACCTCGGGCACTACACACATGGGAGATGGGACTGGTGGTGCCTGCCCTTGGGCTTCTGGTGATGAATGAGCTCCCATGTCAGAGCGTTGGGGTTGTGCCCTAGGAGGGGTTTGCCTCGGCCTCTGCCTCGCACCGCTGCCTCCACTCCCCCGTGCAGCAGGCTGGTCTGGGCATCTGCGTCTGGGCTCCTACAGGTGCAGGGGGAACAGCAAGCATGAGTCCGAGTCTGGAGACGCAGGCCACGTGTTGTCCTGCAGGAGCTCTGAGTGCCGCCACCCTGCAGTCGAGGCCCCGTGCACCCAGCTCTACCTTGCGGTGCTTGTGATCACTTCCTACCTGGTGTCATCTCTGTTCTGCAGAGGAGCAAACTGAGGCCTAGGGTTAGCAACATGCTCAGGGGCAGCCAGGAGCTGTGGGGCGGGACCCCTGCATGCCTGGGCCCCATCCTTCCTATCTCCTGTGTCCACCCGGGGAGCTGCGGCCCATTGTCAGAATCGCCAGGGCCTGTTTAAATGGATGGCTAGGGACCACCCTACATGGTGACCCCATTCCAGCCTCTGCATTCCAAGGCTGGGCCTCAGCCCTGGGTACACTTGGAACCACGAAGAATCCTGAAACAATAAAAACATCCTCCAGGCAAATTAAACCAGAACCCCTGGGGTGTGGGTGTTTATAGCAGTTTCCTCTGAAGGAAATTATAGCGAATTTTCCTCTGAAGGTGTGGTCTGTATGGAGGTGTGGTCTGTAGGAGTGCACAAAGCGCTGTGCCGCACACCCAGGCCTCGGTTCTGTGCACTCGGAACAGCAGAGCCCATGCTGGTGACAGCATCCAGGAGCAGCTCTGTGCACCCGCGCCAAGTGACCGTGGGAGCCACGTTGTTCTGGTCACAGCAGATTTTATACAAAGAATCACCACGGTACAAGAAGTGCAGTTTTTCTGGTTTCTCTTAAGGTAAGAGAAAAAGTCACTTTCTATAATGAAAGAACTTGGACCTGATCATGCATCTCTGTCTGGGCTGGAAGAGAGGGGCTAGTGGAGCTGGGCTCATGCCTGCCATTGAATGGCGGCTACGTTTCCATTTCTCTCTTCCTTCCCCTCCGTCTCATTCACCGTAAACACCCACTGAACCTGGAAGCACTGCACAGGAAGAGGCAGGATCAGGAGGCAGGGGAGGTGGGATGCTGAGCACGCTGTTCTCCCGCCTTGGTCTTGCTCATCAGGACCTGTGTTTTAAGCTCGTTCCCTGAGATGGACCAGGCTGACTGCTTTCACATGCAGCTCCTTGAGACACAGAAAATGGTCTCCAGCAGCACACTCCATCACAACCAGGCAATCGGAATTCCTCCTGCAGGTCTTTTCCTCGTGGCTATCTCCAGGAAGAATCCTGTTACCGTTTGGGGCAGAAGCGGCGAGGATTGCAGAGAACTCAACCACTCAGACATGCGGCTGGGAAGGTATTTAAACACCCACCTTCGGAAGGAGTGGTCACAGGGGCTTCAGCAGCCCCCCAGCAGGAAGAGAGTGGCTCATCCTTCAGCCCGTTATTTGCTGTGCAAGGGGAGTATTCGATGACTGGGACGCCCCCGGCCTCTCTGAGCTCCCCGTGAGAACCAGCTGGGACTTCCTGCTCTGCCCAGATTCTGGAGGAAGCTTTGTTGTTGTCACTTGAGACATAAGTCAAGCTTTCTTGAGTGGAGGATGCGATTGGAAATATTTGCTTCTAAATGCGTTGGAGGCAAGCTGTCATCCGAGCCGATGGCCAGTCTCAGGAGGCTTTGCTTCTCAGCTTTCCTTTTCCCACTCGCTGGTTCCTAGAGCTGTTCCCCAGCCCTGTCTGGATGAAGCAGCTTCAGCCCTCATGCCCCTCCTCCAAGTCCTGCTGACACTTGGTCACTGATGACAGCAGCAGGGTGGCTTCCCATGACTCGGGCCTCCTGGGCCACCCACCCTCAGCTGCCACTCTCTGTGGAGTTGCATGTGGGGTAGGGGCAGGTGACTCTGAAGATGGAAGGAGGGTGTGGGGGAACCATGGGAAGATCTAGGGCACCACCTCCCAGAGCTGCCCATTGTCCAAAGAGAGCATGAGCTGCGTGGCAAGCATGGTGCAGGTGACAACTGGAGTTGCACCCATCTGTGTCCATGACTCAGGTCAGCAGGTGCAGCCCCACCTCTGAGATGACGTCCTGCATTGCCTTTGTGTGGTGCGGCACTATGTTTCATGTGCTCACTGTTATCCTGTCTGTTCACAGGCCATACAAAGGGATTCATCCTCATTCACGCCGGAGGTTTAAAGAGGATCCTGGACCCACATACCTACCCATTGGCTCCATGACCAGTGCTTTTATAATTACAAAATCATTGAGAAATTAAGTCACAGGAAGCCTCGTGTGTGGTATACACTGGTGATAAAGCAAGTCCCATGCAGTCTGAGATGGCAAGGGACCTTCTAGGGAAAGGGCAGTGACCCAGAAGCCCGACTGCTCGGCTGGCTCCCGCACTCCGTCCTGTGGTCAGAGTGTGTTTCCTCCCCTCTGTGAACCTGGTCTCCTCCCCAGTGTGAGGACAGGGGCTCTCGCCTTCTTCAGGGAGTTGCTGGGAGGACAAAATGGAGTATATGTAAAAGTCATTTCCTAGATAAGGGGGAGCATGTCGTAAGAGTCTCTTGAAATTTAATTGATGTTTATGTCATTGACATTGAAATAATGAGAAAATAAATCCAAATCCAGAGCTCAAAGTAACACCTATAACGTCATCTGTAAGAGCCAGGACTTCCTAGGGAGTCTCTGGACAGAAGGCAGCGTCTTTTATACGGTAGGATTGCAGGTTCCTGTAGGTTCCTCCCCACTCTGTGCGCACTCCCCTTTGGCTGGAAGGTGTCACATAATTGAGTTACTGCTGTGTTCCTCAGAATTCCACCTGGAGGAATTCCCAGCATACCGGTAAGAACTTGTTCAAGCAGCAGCCTTTCCCAAACCCTGTGTATTCCGTTGAAAATGCTGTGAAGCCTCAGAAATGTCGGAAGGCTGCACCATCACAGGGTCCGTTTTTCTGAACGACTTAGTCTACAGTGTCTTTTTCAGGAGACTAAGCTGATTTTCAAGCAAAAATTAGGAAGCCACCACTGCCAGTCTACATTGAAAAGTCACTCATTGCCTGGAAGCTTCCAGCCCCCTGACCAGCCCCTGTGACTGACCACCGGTCACTGCCCACTCTGCCCACTTGCTTTCCCAAATGCACTGACCATGCGGGCACTGACCATGCCGGTGCCAACCCACTGCAGTGCCCTCTGGAGGGCCCATGTGACTCTGCTCTGCCAGCTGTTTGCTTCCCAGGAAGATTTGCTCCTGGTTATGTGTGGCTATGGCACAAATCTCCTGAAACTTGGCTTCAAAATTAGTAGTTGGCTCCTCCCAAGGCTCTGAGGTTGGCCCAAAAGGTTCTGCCCACGTCACCCAAGCTGTTCCTTTCCTACATTCAGCAGGTGCCTAAGCCTTCTCCCTGCAGCCTTTCCGACCAGGGCTCCCACCAACTGCTCCAGCCCTTCCGTGATGACCACCTTCCAGAAGGAAGAGCCTGTCAGTCCGAGGGGTCAGCACAGGTCACGGGGCCACATAGCAGGGTGGGGACAAGACCCCATGTCCAATGGGTGGAGCTCACAGCAGCCCTGGGAGACCTTGCTGTTCACAAACAAATCGATGCCTCACACCTGCTGCCTGACTACTTAGCTAAACGCAGCCTAAGCTGGTATATGAAAGGAAGCACGTGGCCCCAGGAAGCTGACTTGAGTGCTTAGGAAAGACTAGAAGCAGCAACGGAATCGGAGGTGAGAAGGGCAGCTAGAGGGCGTGGGGCAGCTCGGACACCAGCTTTGCCAGCCTGAGTTCCTCCATTCCCAGCACCCTGACCTTGGAGGCTGCAGGCAGCACGTCAGGGGCGTGATCTGAAAAGGCCAAGGGACGACCCAGCCAGCAAGCCTGAGCTCAGGGGCTTTGGTGACACATTCTAAGCACTAGTGGTGACACACCTTGCTGTGTTCTAATTAAGGTGAGACGTCCAAAGCAGACAGATTGAAGTCCTGTTTCAGCCAGGCTTGCCTGCCAAGCCCTGACCATGACTTTGGGTGAGAGGCTGCTGAGATCAGAGGAGGCTCCTTCTCTACCCCTCTGCCAAGTTTTGAAAGAGGAAGATTGGGGTGATAAGTGAAACAACTTTATCATTTATATTGATTCAAAGGTATTTTGGATTATTTACATGGGACATTTTAGCCGAAGAACAATGACCCAGAGAAGCGGCTCCTCTGAGCTTCTGCCTCGGTGTGCGAGCCAAAGGGTTTCATTGCTCTTTTCTCTCTCTTTTTGCTTCTTGATTTGTGAGACAGGTTTGCTGGGTTTATGTTGCATTTGTCTAACTCTGACCCTAGACAGTGCTGTCGAGTAGAATTTCCCATGGTAGTGGAAATGCTGGTGTGATGGCTACCAGCCAAGTTCCACTGCGGAGCATTCAAATGCGGCGGCTGCAACTGAGGAACCAAACCTTTAACTGCATCTCCTTTTAATTAGCTTTCATTTAAATGGCCATGTGAGGCTAGTGGTTGCCATATAGAAAGTACAGTTCTAGGGTTTTTTCTCTACTTTTTACCAATTTATACCTCTTAGTTCTTCTTTCATCTGCTGTTTTAGCTGCAACTTATGACACATTGTTGAATAATAATGAATTGCA
Organism: Homo sapiens; assembly: GCF_000001405.40. Classification (NCBI taxonomy): domain Eukaryota; kingdom Metazoa; phylum Chordata; class Mammalia; order Primates; family Hominidae; genus Homo; species Homo sapiens. Next base: position 159,114,936 of record NC_000007.14, on the reverse strand, counting down.
GGTACCCAACCTGGCTCCTCAGTTGTACAATTCTGTTTAAACATGTCTAATACTTGCTCTTTCTCTTTTTCTTCCCTCCCCGCTCCCTCCCTCCCTCCCTTCTTCCTTCCTTTCTCTCTCCCTCTCTCTCTTTCTATTCTTTCTTTCCTCTTTTTTTTCTTTGAGACAGGGCCTCACTCAGTCACCCGGGCTTGACTCAAGCTCCTGGGCTCAAGCAATCCTCCTACCTCAGCCTCCTGGGTGGCTGGGACTGCAGGTACTTACCACAGTGCCTGGCTTAATGCTTGCTATTTTTAACAAATATTCTCTGTGATGTTAAGGGAGTCTCATTATTTTACTATTTTATTTAGGGTTTTAAAAAATTAGAAATGGCCACTGAATTTTACCAAGTAACTTTTCAGAGTCTATTGATACATTTTCCACTTTTCAGAGCGACCTTTGATTTTATGATCACCATCTGGAAAACCTAGGTTGCCACCAGAGCTTAACAAGTCCCATTTCCCTGACTGCCTTATCCGAGCACTTTTGTTTGTTTCTCACTCCATCTGCAAATCCTTTGTTTCATGAAATCTCAGCTGCCCACTGCTTTCCAAACAGACAGGCGTCTCCAAGTGGCTGTGCTTCTCTCGGGGGTGGCCCTGCCTGCCTCCCCTTCTCCTCCCATGCCGTCCTGTGCCTCGGCGCACACTCCTACAGAAGGACTTGCTGCCTCTCCCAAATTCGCTGCCTCTCCCAAAGGGTTCACTGTGCCAAATTTGAATCACTTATGTCCAACACTGAACTGATGACCTATTCATGCACTATTTTGCTTTGGCCTGCACAATGTTCCTTAAAAATGTAAACATTTAAAAATGGGTATCTTAATATAATGATACACTTTAAATGCTAGTTTTCAACAGAGTGCATTTATAAAATTGTAAAAGGCAAATGATACTACAAGGCTGTATGAAGATAATAGTCTCCGGCCCCTCGTCATCCCCAGTTCTCAGCCCTATGGCAGCATCTCTTTCATCTCTTCTCTGGTATTTATTTTATTTCTAAACAGCATACTTATGCTCCTGTTTCTTTTCTTTCTTCCTCCCAATTTACATCCCAGTGTCCATTAGATTTCTAACAAGAATAAAGATCTATCTCTCCTGTGCCATTCCCACCACCCAAGTATAATTTATCATCCTGCCAGCCTCCTGATAGACTCACTTCACATTGCTGGTGTACATCATTGCCATCACAGTTGAGCCACATAATATCCAGCATTTCCTTTCTTCATAACTTTATGCTTTTCCTCGTTTTTCTGTTGCTGGGTTTTTCACCTACCTCTCAATAATTAGGCATCAAACCTCAGGCCAGAACACTCTCAAGACACTGCACTGAGGTGGTCTCAGGGTTCCATTTTTTCTCTTGTAGCAGGACGAGCTGCAGACAAAACCCCTCAGACACCGAGATGGTGAAGGGAGTGGCTTTAATCAGCTGGAAGCATTGGCAGACTAGCGTCTTAAAATCCGAGCTTGTCAGGTGCACAATTTTTGTCCCTTTTAAGGGCTCACAACGCTAAGGGTTTCACATGAAAGGGTCATGATTGATTGAGCAAGCCAGGGGGTATGTGACAGGGGCTGCATGCACGGGTGGTCAGAGTGAAACAGAACAGACCGGGAAGTTTCACAGTGTCTTTCTATACAATGTCTGCAATCTATAGATAACATCAGTTGCTAGGTCAGGGGTCAAATTTTAACTACCAGGCTTAGGTCAGGCAGGTCCAGGCCTGGTGTCGGGTCTGGTTCCTAGGCGCTGGGCTACCTGCCTTTAGTTTCGCTTCTGTTTCCTTTTCTGAGTATAAAACAATCTAAAACAATGTGAGAGGGTCTGTCTCTCTTCTCTCACTCCTAGAGCCACTCCTTCTGGATTCCCCCTCCTTGCCAAGTCGGGATCCTTGAGCTGGGGTCTGGCCCCAGGCAGGCATTGTGAGCCTCCTGCTCACACAGTCGGGGTCCTCGGTTGGGGATCTGGCCCCAGGAAGGCGCCATGAGCCTCCTCCTCACGGTCAGGATCCGGTCCCAAGTAGGTCCCGTGAGTCTCCTCCTCACAGTCAGGGTCGGTCCCAGGTAGGCGCCGTGAGCCTCCTCTTCACAGTCGGGGCTCTCAGCCGGGTCCCGTCCCAGGCAGGCGCCATGAGCCTCCTTCTCACAGTCAGGGTCGGTCCCAGGTAGGCGCCGTGAGTCTCCTCCTCACAGTCAGGGTCGGTCCCAGGTAGGCGCCGTGAGCCGCCTCCTCACAGTCGGGGCTCTCGGCCGGGTCCCGTCGGTTCCCTGCAGCGTCCTCCACCCTTGCCGGTGCCGGGGGTACCGATGGCCTGTCTCTCGCTTCTCCCCCTCCTCTGCCTGCCTATTTAACACAGTTGCTTCTGTCTGCAAGGCTGTAGTGACATCTCTTGGTGCTGCCCTTTCAAATTTTTGGCTGTCCTTTGCGTGAGGTTGAGAAGCTGAGAGAGAAACTCCTGTGTTCCCGCCTGGCAGCTGTTGCCAGGAGGTTGCAGCCAGTGCCACGTGTGCGACCGGCACTGTGGCAGCGCTTCCGGCTGCGCCTTCGGCTGCACTTCCGGCTGCTACCTCAGCCTCGGCGCCCTGACGCCCTCGAGTCCGCTTCCTCACATCCTGACAGCGTCTAGCTCTGCTCCCTCACGTGCGGTCCAATAAAGGAACAAATGAAGAGAAGACTTTCCCTGGCCATTGAAGGGATCAGATGATTAGCTCTAGATGTTTAAATCAAATCCTACTGTAATGCAAAGACTGTTTGATGTGGTATGAATTTAGTATCTCTGTTGAAATTTAAAGCAGCAATTAGTATTATACAGTATATAATTATTGCATTATAATTTGTATTATGTATTAGTTATCTTACTATACATTATCTTATTTATTGTTTATTTATTGAGACGAGGTCTCGCTCTGTCGCCCGGGCTGGAGTGCGGTGCCATGATCTTTACTAACTGCAACCTCGACCTCCCAGGCTCAAGTGATCCTCCCACCTCAGCCTCCCTAGTAGCTGGGACTATAGGCATGCTCTGTTACCTCCAGCGAATTTTTAAATATTTTCTGTAGAGATGGGGTCTCGCTATGTTGCCCACGCTGGTCTTGAAGTCTTGGGCTCAAGGGATTATCCCGCCTCAGCCTGCCAAAGTGTTGAGATTACAAACATGAGTCACTACACCCAGCCCATTATTTTAAAATAACAATATTATATAATTATTGCTTTTTTTTTTTGAGACGGAATCTTGCTCTGTCACCCAGGCTGGAATGCAGTGATGCGATCTCGGCTCACTGCAACCTCCACCTTCTGGGTTCAAGCAATTCTCCTCCCTTAGCCTCCTGAGTAGCTGGGATTACAGGTGTGTACCACCACACCCGGCTAATTTTTGTATTTTTAGTAGAGACGGGGTTTCACCATGTTGGCCAGGCTGTTCTCACACTCCTGACCTCAAATGATCCACCAACCTCATCCTCCCAAAGCGCTGGGATTACAGGTGTGAGCCACCACACCCAGCCATTACTATTATCAAGGTAGAAATTTGTCATTTTGTGATAAAAAGCTGAACCTTCAAAATAACCAGACACGAAACTGCCAGAGCTTGCTGTTTTATAGGAGATGGACAGAACTTTGCTGATCACATGCAGAGTCTTCACTTGGAGGCCTAGACATCTTCACTTTCCTCTCCATCTTGTTCACTCTTGGCTAGGAACCCCATCCTGACACCTCTCCACCACCTGCCCTACACACCAGAGTTAGAAGTGCTTGGTTTACGAACTTAGCATTTAAATAACTCTACTACTTAGACTCTAAGCAGCCTTACACGGGGGCTCACGCCTGGAGTTTCTAGTGATGCATTTACATTTGATCACTTGTTTTGAACATTTTAAAAGAAAACCAACATTTTCTTTAAATATGTTAACATTAATGTAATATGAATTTATGTACTTATTCAAGTATTGGTATGTAATTTTATTTTATAATAAATATATTTTCACTTTTATTGAAAGTATTTAGAAACTATTTTCATCTGCAAAACTTAGCTTATGGCCAGCTTTTCAGAGACATTTCTGTATTCTTGAAAGTAAAACACTCCTTTGTTCACACCAAAGCTGTGTGTTCTCTATGGATGTATTCCTGCAATTATTGCACAGGTCTGGGTGGCATGTGCTGAAAGGAAAACTGATTGTTTGTTTGTTTGTTTGTTTGTTTGTTTGTTTTACCGACCAAGGCTAGCACATTGCTTTTCTGATACTGAGGTTTAAGTAAAAGGTAAAATTTTAGAGGTCTCAAATATAGTATAAATACCATGGACAAGTAGGAAAGTCCTGGGTTTAACATGCATTCCATCACTGTTGTGTGATATTGAGAATTCATTAAAAGATTTGAACCTTAGTGCTTTTCATCTGGAAGATAATTAATGCAACATTTTTATATCTAACCTTCACCAGGTGGTTATTAAGACCAAATAGTAGGTCTAAAAATGTTTAAGCTATGCATTATGCAAATTATTTGACAACTCCATGAAGGTAACCTAAGATTTTGTTGCTAATAAGGCATCTTGACAGTGAAAAATCAAACAAATATTATCAAATACTTTTATTTGCAAATAATCATTGAAGTCAGATTCCACAGAAGCACAAGCACACTTTCCCTGGGCGTCTCCCTCCCCGACGGGGCCTTACACTAATACCCAGTGGTGCCCATTTCATCACACTAGGAAATGCTGATCACAAGAAGTAAGTAATGATTCTCTTAAAATTCAGAAGGTACATGGTATACATTGAAGTACTCAAATGCTTTCTACCACCATATGGTTATTCCTCCAAAGCTAATTGAGATGAACCCACAAGCTAACTATAGTCTCAATAATTGTGTTGGTGCAAGTGTGTTTCACAGGAAAGGAGTTTGCGAGGCAGTTATCTCATTAATGGGGTTTCTATTTGTGACACTTCTGTCACCTTGCACCTGCCTCACTCTGCTTCTCTCCTTCCAGCCTGCAGTGGCGTCTGGGACAACATCACGTGCTGGCGGCCTGCCAATGTGGGAGAGACCGTCACGGTGCCCTGCCCAAAAGTCTTCAGCAATTTTTACAGCAAAGCAGGTACTGTCCGTCGGTTGAGTTCCTGAGCTCCTCCAGGGTGTTTGCATCTGAGCGTCCATTTTTTCCATCCAAGAAGCAGGAACATCACTTTCCTTCAGGCATCTCCTGCTACCCTGGGGGTCAGGGAACAGCTGTGGCATATTGGGGTGAGTGCCCGTCTTAGGGAGCAGAAGGGCATCACCTGCCTTCAGCCAAACCCCAGAGAGCAGGGCAACTACAGGGAAAGAACCAGGGGAGACAGGAGCCAAATGGGAACCAAAGCACGGGAAACGTGCATGAGAGGGGAGGGGAGGCAAGGGGGCCCTAAAGGAGGCTCCCCTCCTCCCACTGAGTCGGCCTGTGAGCCCCAGAGAGCACACTCTGGAAGTTTCTGGGAAGTGGGAAGTGTGGCACCCAGAGCCTCCATGCTCAGGGCAGAGGCCCCAGGACACACCTAGTTTATCGAACCCACTCCCCCAACCTCCCTGCCGCCTCACAGGTTTGATGCTGCCTGGAATTTGCAGTTTCTCTGGGCTTCCAGGCTCCTCCTCTGCACCCAGGGCATGCTCCGTATGCGGTGCTGCCAATATCTCTTGGCTGAATCCTGAGAGAAAGGTTTTGTTTGTTTTTGTGAGTGATTCAGATTTTCATAGTGTGAAGAAATCTATTCAGAAAAATAGAAAACATAGGAAACATCTGGAAACAGAAAGCATAATACTTTGGAGCACTATGGAGAATTTACTTTTATCTTGGACAGAGGTTAAAGGGTAAAGACTTTGGGAAGTAATAATGCTGTAGTGTTTTAAAGCAGAGTTTTGGAAAAGAGATTGGGACAGAGGAGAAGGAGATTCCGAAAGGAAGATTTTGACTTTCTCACCCCGAGTTGCCAGCAAAGCAGCCTGAAGGTAGGGACCATGCTTGCATTACCATCACTGCCCACCCCTGAGTTAGAACCTAAGTCACTTTAGAGAACCTGAACTTTAAGAACTGTTCCCTCCAATCAGTAGCATTTCTACTGAGCAGCTTGGGCTGCATCCATTCTCCTGGAGATCTGGAGGGAATTGGCATGGACTCTGGCTTTTCCTAGTCGATGGCATGGTTCTGAGGCTTCCAGAAAGCACCCAGCAGCCTGGTAGTTTGCACATTAGCAAGCACCAGAATCCAGTCCAGCCTCTGCCAGACAGAAGCCATCTGGGCACCAGGCGCCCAGGTCAGTGAGGCTCTGGCCCTGCCTGGAAGCATCCTGCTGCTGCCTGTGAGAATGAAAACTCCCAGTTGGCTTTGGGTTAAATGCTTATTCCACCTTTTTCCCAAGCAGGGAGCATGACACCACCTTGTTATTGTGAGGAAACTTGTGGTGTTTCCCCAAGTCTGGGCACTTGAGTAGTCGCAGCTAGATGATCTGAAATGCAGGGGAAATATGCTTCTGCTTTTTCAACTGATCACAAAAACGTGAGCTATGCGAGGACATGCACAAACTGTGGACAGATGGTCCCCATGGAATGTCCGCATGGAATTCATCTTTGGGGCATTAAATGGGCATCCTTTGCAAATACTTAGAGAGATGTGGATGCGACTGGGGGCCGAGCAGGGCTGGGGTGAAGCCACCTGGCATCGTACCACAGAAGCTGAGGCTTCAGAGACTAAATTTGGTGGGATAACTGTAGAGTCTTAGAAAGAAATGAAAGTCAGGCTTGCGTCTGCATGGTGCTCTGTGGTCTACAGAACACTCTACACATGTGATGGCTGCTCCTCCCATGACCTGTAAGGAGAGCTGGGTCATAGAACACACGTGGAATCATTTCTGCCCACAAACCCAGGTGTTCCAGAAATAAGTCACCATTCTAATGAAACATTGTGTTCTCTTTTGATTTCTCATCCTTCCAGCAGGTGGGAGGTTTGGGGGCTGTCTGTCCTATGCTAGGCAGGTGGCCTCTGGGCATCATCACGTGTGTCCGGCACTGTGCATCATCACAGTGACCAGCACACTGGCGCCCTGTGTCTCTGTGCCAGGCGGGACCCTGGGCCCTGTCCAGAAGCAGTGGGCAGCTCCTTCTCCAGGTCCTAACCCCTGCCCTGCAGCAGCTCCAGAAGCAGTGGGCAGCTCCTTCCCCGGGTCCTAACCCTGCCCTGCAGCAGTTCCAGAAGCAGCGGGCAGCTCCTTCAGGTCCTAACCCTGCCCTGCAGCGGTTCCAGAAGCAGCGGGCAGCTCCTTCCCCAGGTCCTAACCCTGCCCTGCAGCAGTGGGACCCGGGATGCAAGTCCTCTTCCCACCCGGGCTGGACTTCACCACTGCTGCTTGGGGAAAGCTGTGAGGATTAGGTGCTTCAGACATTTCCTGCCCCCATCCCCTCCAGGAGGCAATGAGCCAACTGTCTGCATAGAGGGGAACAAAGGAAGCAGGGAGCCAGGGTGAGAGGCACGAGGACTCATCACTGGGAGGACAGCCTTCTGTGAGCAGCTGCTGTTCATGCCCCATGCTCAGGGGCCAGGAGGCAGCTCCGACAGCTGTGTGCTGACCTTTCTCCCTTGACTTGCTTTCTGTGTTTCCAGTTGCTCCTGGTGCCCACCTGCCAATTCTGCATGGCACTGTTTTAGCCAGACCCAGGGCAGCAGCTCAGCCGCCCATCCAGCACAGGTGTAGGGCCAGGTGTGGTTCTGATCCTTTAAAGGGGCATCAGCACATCCCCCAGTGGAGGATGATGTAGGCTCATGGGGCTTGGAATAGTCGCTGAGAAGCACTGAAGCCCTAAGGGAGGCCTTCAAGTATTCGTCATCCTGCAAGTGGGCGAGAGTGTGCTCCCACCCCCCACAACCTTTCTCTGCACCTCCCTGGCCTCTCTGCCCCTGGATGGCCTCTCTCTGCACCTCCCTGGCCTCTCTCTGTACCTCCCTGATCTCTCTGCACCTCCCTGGCCTCTTTCTGCACCTCCCTGGCCTCTTTCTGCACCTCCCTGATCTCTCTGCCCCTCCCTGGCCTCTGTGTGCCTCCCTGGCCTCTCTCTGCATCTCCCCGGCCTCTCTCTGTACCTCCCCGGCCTCTCTCTCTACCTCCCCGGCCTCTCTGCCCCTACCCAGCCTCTCTCTGCCCCTCCCTGGCCTCTCTCTGCCCTTCCCTGGCCTCTCTGCCCCTCCCTGGCCTCTCTGCCCCTCCCTGGCCTCTCTGCCCCTCCCTGGCCTCTCTCTGCCCCTCCCTGGCCTTTCTGCCCCTTCCCGGCCTCTCTCAGCACCTACCTGGCCTCTCTGTGCCCCTCCCTGGCCTCTCTCTGCCCCTCCCTGGCCTCTCTCTGCCCCTCCTTGGCCTCTCTCTGCCCCTCCTTGGCCTCTCTCTGCCCCTCCCCGGCCTCTCTCTGCCCCTTCCTGGCCTCTCTCTGCCCCTCCCTGGCCTCTCTGCCCCTCCCTGGCCTCTCTCTGCCCCTCCCTGGTCTCTCTGTACCTCCCTGATCTCTCTGCAGGTTGCCACCTCAGTCATTTCCTGTCCTTCCACATCTGCCCCATGTGTCTCAGGAGTGAGAAGTCAGAAAGGATAAAGAACCTGTGAGGGAATCTGCACTTCATAGAATGACTTTCTGACTTAGTTTGTGGAGTTTTATTTCAGCATCTTCTTTGGATTGGTAAACACTGATCTCCCGTAGGAAGGAGAAAAGGCTGCACCTCGCAGAGGATGAGTGACAGGCTCAGCTCCCACCGAGGTCCTGGCTTCCAGGCTCAGGATAGGGGCCTGCAGGTGCCCTGCTCAGGTGAGAGCCAGGCTGTCAGGTGTGGCGCTTGGCCCATCGCTCACCAGTGTGACTTTGGGCAAGTGACACGACTTCCTCAGCCTTGGCCGTCTCATCTCTGAGATTAATTGGAGAGCTGCCTCCTGTGGTGTCAGGATTAACTGGGTTGATGCAAGCACAGAGCCCGGCATTCCTGAGGGCTCAGTGAGTCGTAGTGGCCACTACCACATGACTAGTATTATTATAATAACTATTATGAGTGCTGTTCCTGAGTCTGTGATGGGCACATTATTTATCTTTGTGGACCTGTCTCCTTGTCTGCACAATGGGGCCGTGGGACCAGGTCTCTAGGAGGCTTGCCTGCTTTAGGGCTCTGTTTTGCCTCTACCGTGTATGGGGTCTCTGCAGCTAAGAGGCCCCCAGACCCTGCTGGGGCTCCCTGTGTGAGGTGTGGGCCTTGTAGTCAGAGCCCCTGATTGGTGATGGTGTCGGGGTGCCAGTGGGCAGGGCCAGCCCTGAGGCCTTGCTGAGACCAGTCTCCCACCCCACTCCTCCCCAGTACAGCCAGAGCCTGGCCCGGCCCTCTCTCTGCCTCTCATCACTGCAGGACAAGAATCATGCACGCACCCCACTCAAACTACTGAGTCTTCAAAGCCTTGTTTTCCCCTTCTGTAAAATGGGAACAGCAGCGCCCACCAAGTCTGTCTTGCAGGGTTGTCTTGAAATTAAAAAGTCACGGGAGTGAAAATATTTGCTAAATCCAAAGCCCCAGACCCTTCCAGTCACCCAGGCAGGGAGACAGGGGCTCCGCTCTGGCTGTGCCAGGAGTGCATGGAGGGGTCCGGCCTCCTGGGCTCTGCTGTGGGGGTGACCCTAACACCATGCAGCCATGCTCGGGGCAAGGCTGGCACGGCGTTCAGTGCCTGGTTTTATTCTTACGGCTCGGACACCTTCGAGAGCTTTATCACTTACTGTTCTGTGTGGCCATCTGCTAAGGACACACACAAATACAAGGAACATTGAATTTCTGAGCTTACATATGATTTTAGTTCCGTAGGCGCAAAAGATGAGATTGTAAGGGAACAACTGCCTTGGTTTCCTACAATTAAACTGTAATTCCGCCATCCTTTCTTCCAACACCAGTGGCCAAATGGAGCCTGCCCTACTGGGTCACGGTTGGTGATGAGGGCCTGGCCAGGAGGAGGGAAGGTGCTGTCAGGAACTGGGGCAGGCCAGGCACCAGGTCACCGTTGGTGGTGAGGGCCTGGCCAGGAGGAGGGAGGATACTGTCAGGAACTGGGGCAGGCCGGGCACCCGGTCACCATCGGTGGCAAGGGTGCTGGCTGGGAGGAGAGAGGGTGCTGTCAGGAACTGGGTGGGGCACCCAGTCACCGTCGGTGGTGAGGGCCTGGCTGGAAGGAGGGAGGGTGCTGTCAGGAGGAGGGAGGGTGTTGCTGGGAGGAGGGAGGGTGCTGTCGGGAGGAGGGAGAGTGCTGCCAGGAACTGGAGCAGGTGGGGTACCCGGTCACCATCGGTGGTGAGGGCCTGGCTGGGAGGAGGGAGGGCATTGCTGGGAGGAGGGAGGGTGCTGCCAGGAGGAGGTAGGGTGCTGTCAGGAACTGGACTGGGCACCTGGTCACCATCAGTGGCAAGGGTGCTGGCCAGGAGGAGGGAGGGTGCTGTCGGGAACTGGAGCAGGCGGGACACCTGGTCACTGTCGTGCTGTTGGGAACTGGAGCAGTGGGGCATCTGGTCACCGTCAGTGGCGAGGGTGCTGGCCGGGAGGAGGGAGGGTGCTGCCCAGAACTGGAGCAGGCGGGGTACCCGGTCACTGTCGGTGGTGAGGGCCTGGCCGGGAGGAGGGAGGGTGCTGTCAGGAACTGGGGCAGGCTGGGCTCCTGGCTCCAGGATGGCCAGGGCTTGGCTATAAATATCACTTATGGTGGCAGAACCTAAGAGTCTGTTAAGAATTTTCATTCTGCCCCAAAAGAACTACACTTACAGTTGCGGTAATTATGACTTATGACACAGTGCGTTCACTCACATCTCAGGACCCACCGGCCCCGAGAGGTGACCTGCTGTCCAGGTCACATGGACTAGGAGGGCAAGGAAGGTTTTTTGAGTGGCAGTCCTGTCTCCTAGCTGACCCCTGGGTGTGGGAAGCATTTTAATAGAGCACGGGCTCAGCACGGACTAAGGTCCCTTCTAAGGCCAGTTTTCATGGACTTGCAGATAAAATATCTGAACTTCACTTTCCAGGAAACATAAGCAAAAACTGTACGAGTGACGGATGGTCAGAGACGTTCCCAGATTTCGTCGATGCCTGTGGCTACAGCGACCCGGAGGATGAGAGCAAGGTAGGCTCCTGCGTGGTGCTACGGTGGTGAGGTTCCACTTCCTAACACTGCACCAGAAGCCCCCTCCTGCCCTGCAAGAATTATGTAGATTTTTCCCCTAAATAATCCTCTGAGTACCAATGCTACTTTCTGCTTTCCAAGTTAAGCGAAGTCCCTGTTTCCGTTCTGCTGCTGGCACTTGGGATTGTTTGATTGTTCCGTCATTTTGCAGGCAGGGAAAGGCCGGTTTTCTTGACCTGCTGTGTATGTGTCTGGGAGATGGTGAGGAGAACCTGAGAGTGGCCCCGCCTGCCCGAAAGTTACTTTTCAGATGAGTCCTGGAGAGCATGCCCTTTCTGCATTTGGATTTCTTGTCCCATTTAAGATTTTGCCACATTCTGGGGCATTGAGAAGTCAGCGCCATGGTTTCCTGAGCCCTGAGCCTGCAGCAGGAGATGTGATCACAATTAGGGTGTCTTTTCAACTAAGAGACCCAGCTTGTCCTCCGCCAAGAGGTGTCTGGGAGCAGGGGTCCCAGGATGAGTTGGGGACCCCCCAATCCGGGCTGCACAAACTTGCTGCAGTGATCTGGAGCTCTTGGGTGTTATGTCCACTGTGAACCCTTCTGCAGGGCTGTGATCTTTCAGTAATGAGGATGTTTCTCCCGAGTGTGGGATGTGTGGCCTTAAGCTCTGCTCTGGTCCATCCGTGCAAACTTCCCCAGCTCTGCCTCAGACAGCTGCTTCTCCTGAGGGCTCACTCTGTGCTACGTCTGCCTGTGGTTTATCACCAGACAGACCTCCATCCTTGCCGGCAGCCCTGGCAGCACCGTGTGGGTGGCGGGCACCATAGCAACCTGCAGCCAGAGGTGTGTGCAGAGTGTGCTCCCTGCACAGGGCAAGGCAGGAGGCAGGGGATACATTGGAGGCTGCTCTAAGGAGCCCTGGGAAGTATCGCGCTCCCCACATGCAAATGTTCTCCTACAAGCCCACAGCATTCCGGGCAAAACCATCAGCTTGTGGGCCGATCACCTCCTGCCCTGACCCTGCTCCGCCTGCCCCTCCTGGAGGTGTGGCTTCTGCCCTCTGGGCCCCCAGGGGATGGTGGCAATGCTGCCTGGCTGCCTCTTGGGAGAATGAGCCCAACTTTCTTACAGAGGCCTCCTTTGCTCACTTCTCTAAGATTCACAACTCTAAGCCAGTTCTTTCTCCGCCAAATTATTAAACCCTAGGAAAGGAAGTATCTTATACAGTAACCAATATCCCAACGATTGGAAGGTAAAACTCCTGACCCATGGTATATGGGTCATTATCACACTGCTGATAAAGACGTATCTGAGATTGGGTAATTTATAAGAAACAGAGCTTTGATGGACTCACAGTTCCGTGTGGCTGAGGAGGCCTCAAAATCATGGCAGAAGGTGCAAGGCACATCCTACATGGCAGCAGGTGAAAGAGAGAATCAGAGTCAAGCGAAAAGGGAAACCCCTTATCAAACCATCAGATCTCGTGAGACCCATTCACTATCACAGGAACAGTCGGAACCGCCTCATCGGATCTTCTGAGACCCGTTCACTATCACAGGAACAGTTGGAACCGCCTCGTCGGATCTCGTGAGACCCGTTCACTACCACAGGAACAGTCGGGGGAACGGCCTTGTCGGATCTCGTGAGACCAGTTCACTACCACAGGAACGGTCGGGGGAATGGCCTCGTCGGATCTCGTGAGACCCGTTCACTATCACAGGAACAGTCGGAACTGCCTCGTCGGATCTCGTGAGACTCATTCACTACCACAGGAACAGTCGGAACCACCTCGTCGGATCTCGTGAGACTCATTCACTACCACAGGAACAGTTGGAACCGCCTCGTCGGATCTCGTGAGACCCGTTCACTACCACAGGAACAGTGGGAACCGCCTCGTCGGATCTCGTGAGACCCGTTCACTACCACAGGAACGGTCGGGGGAACGGCCTCGTCGGATCTCGTGAGACCCGTTCACTGTCACAGGAACAGTCGGAACCGCCTCGTCGGATCTCGTGAGACTCATTCACTACCACAGGAACAGTCGGAACCGCCTCGTCGGATCTCGTGAGACCCGTTCACTACCACAGGAACAGTCGGGGGAACGGCCTCGTCGGATCTCGTGAGACCCGTTCACTACCACAGGAACGGTCGGAACCGCCTCGTCGGATCTCGTGAGACCCGTTCACTACCACAGGAACAGTCAGGGGAACCGCCTCGTCGGATCTCGTGAGACCCGTTCACTACCACAGGAACGGTCGGGGGAACGGCCTTGTCGGATCTCGTGAGACTCATTCACTACCACAGGAACAGTCGGAACCGCCTCGTCGGATCTCGTGAGACCCGTTCACTACCACAGGAACGGTCGGAACCGCCTCGTCGGATCTCGTGAGACCCGTTCACTACCACAGGAACAGTCAGGGGAACCGCCTCGTCGGATCTCGTGAGACCCGTTCACTATCACAGGAACAGTCGGGGGAACCGCCTCATCGGATCTCGTGAGACCCGTTCACTATCACAGGAACAGTCGGGGGAACGGCCTCGTCGGATCTCGTGAGACCCGTTCACTATCACAGGAACAGTCGGGGGAACGGCCTCGTCGGATCTCATGAGACTCATTCACTACCACAGGAACAGTCGGAACCGCCTCGTCGGATCTCGTGAGACCCGTTCACTACCACAGGAACAGTCGGGGGAACGGCCTTGTCGGATCTCGTGAGACCAGTTCACTACCACGGGAACAGTCAGAACCGCCTCGTCGGATCTCGTGAGACCCGTTCACTATCACAGGAACAGTCGGAACCGCCTCATCGGATCTCGTGAGACCCGTTCACTACCACAGGAACAGTCGGGGGAACGGCCTTGTCGGATCTCGTGAGACCCATTCACTATCACAGGAACAGTCGGGGGAACAGCCTCGTCAGATCTCGTGAGACCCGTTCACTATCACAGGAACAGTTGGGGGAACCGCCTCGTCGGATCTGAGACCCGTTCACTATCACAGGAACAGTCGGAACCGCCTCATCGGATCTCGTGAGACCCGTTCACTACCACAAGAACAGTCAGGGGAACGGCCTGCATGATTCAGTTACCTCCCACTGGGTCCCTCCCACATGTCGGAATTATGGGAGCTACAATTCAATATGAGATTTGGGCGGGGACACAGGAAAACCATATCACGTGGCTAGTGGATAAGGTGGTGCTGGCTGGCATTGGCAGGTGTTACTGTGAACCCACTGTCATTGTGTTCAGCAGATAAGGTGGTGCTGGCTGGCATGGGCAGGTGTTACTGTGAGCCCACTGTCACTGTGTTCAGTGGATAAGGTGGTGCTGGCTGGCATTGGCGGGTGTTACTGTGAACCCACTGTCATTGTGTTCAGTGGATAAGGTGGTGCTGGCTGGCATTGGCAGGTGTTACTGTGAGCCCACTGTCACTGTGTTACTTTAGTTAGGCTTGAAAACAACTCACTGCATGGATGGAGAAGCTGAGGCTTAGGGGAGTGGTGAGGTGTGCTCCCCACTGGTGAGCAGCCACAGCCAGGCCCTGGTAGTCTGATTCCCATGCAGTCTGCTTGTTGCCATCTGGTCGGGACAGCTCCTGGCCCCACCGCCCTCCCTGAGTGGGTTGAAGGCACCTGCAGGAGTCGCCTGGCTGGGGACCACATTGACCTGTGGGCCCGTCTAAGATGCGCTGTCCCCCATGGCATCCAGTGGAGTTGAGAGAAGACTGAGTTGAGTGTTGGGGGCCCAGCTCCAGCACGCATGGCTGTGAGCCCTTGAGGAAGGTCCTCAGGGAGGATCCTGGGGCGCATGGCTGCACCCAGCTCAGCCAGGGAGAGGGGGAACATTGCGGCCTCTGTCATCACACACCATGGCTGACAGCGGCTCTGGTGTGTGAGATCACAGCAGTGATAATACCATCTGCCCCAGGCTTCCATAGGAAAGGGAGCAGCCAGGGGTCTCAGGGGCTTCTGTGGCCTGGGGGGGATTTCAAGGTCCAGGTGGGATCCCCGGTGTGTTGGAGGCACCACCTCTGAGTCTTCATCTTCGTCTGCACCTAGCCGGCAACTGTGCCTGGGAGACATTAGGACAGAGGTGCTGGTGAAGAGCAGAGACCAAGGCCCCCAGCAGCGTCACCCAGAGCCCCGTATGTGCAGGCTCCGTCGTTCATTCTCTCCTTCCTTTATTCAATAAGCATTCCCTGGGAACCTCCTTTCTGAGCCCCAGCCTGGGTTATAAAGAGTGATGTGGATCTGGGAGGCAGTGACAGCCGCCGCCTGCTGTGGCAATGTCAGCCCACAGAGTCATGCCCAAGCTCCTTATCTCCTGTCTCCTCCTGGGCACACCCTGTGAGGCATCCCAGGGACACGTGGCAAGCTCTTCTGGGTCCACTGGTCCTTCATCGAGGCCTGTAAGTAAACCCTGCCTGCGTGAGCATAGTGGCTCTGTGATCCCCTGATGCTTTGCTGTTTAGTCTGAAGAACTATTTTTCTTCTTAATTAAACATTTCAGAGATTCTGCAAATATTATAAGTGCATATTCACTGCTAAGGGATTAGAAAGTCAAAATATTTTAAAGTGAGAAAGCAAAGAAAAGGATGGCACAAAACCAAAATGAATAATTTTTCTTCCTGTTGCAGTTTCTGCTCGTTGAATACTTTGAATACTTGGTTGGTTTAGGGACTCGCTTCCAAGACGAAGCAACAGCACATAGCACAGGCGGCTCTGGAGGCTGCAAGCACCAGAACAGGCCCCAGGCAGCCACGGGGTGGACATGCACGGTCCTGGGCCGGCTCTGCCCACCGGCGAGCGCAGGGCTGCCTGGGAGCTGAACTGAACAGAGTTTCTCCTGCCCGGAGCTCACGCTTCGTCCCATCAGGCCCACTTGCTTCCCAGATTCACATTTTTAGTTGTGTTTCCTGCTTGCACAGGGCCAAAGTCTGCCCTGGGTGTTGTGTGTGCAATCATTATTGTTTATTGTTTTCGAAATTAATTAAATTCGAGAAAAAAAATTAGCCTCCACAGAAGCCACAGACTTGGCTACATGTGTGAGGGAATCAGCAGAGATGTGGGTGTGGGAGCCCCTGGGAGGAGAAGGGCTCTGCGGACCAGAGGGCTCTAGGGCAGCCCTGGGCACTGCTGAGCAGCTGCATCTCATCTGGACCTGGAGCCCAAGGGGCCGCACCAGCCGTGGCCATGGTCTGGGCCTTTATTTGGGGTCTCACCTGCTGCAGTCAGATCCTGAAGCAGATAAGCCAGCCAGGGATCAGTCTCCCTGTCCAAGGTCTTCCCGTCTGTGTCCTCTTCCTGCCAAGACCAGCTTTCAGGCCTGGGGGAGTCTTAGGTCTTCACTGAGTAAAGGGTTTCATCCACAGTGTATCAAGGAGCAATGGCCCCAGTCCTTGCCCTCCACAGCTGCTCCTCTCCGCTTGCCCACCCGCACTGTAAGCCACAGTTCTCGAGCACCACCACCAGCAGACTGAGGGCTCGGGATCACCAAGTGTGGGAGGCTCCCCGAGCCGTGTGCTGGGGCCCGACCACCCGGCCCTGCCCTGCCCTGCCCTTCATCCCATCACAACTCTTCTGTGCTGATGGATGGGGGCCGGGGTTCCCACTGCGTGGAAAACAGAACAGCTCAGGCAGAGGACGGGAGCGGCAGTGGCCGGGCTGGTGTGAGGCTGGGGATTCCGCTTGCCCCGGCAGGGCTCAGGCTTCCAAGAGGCCACGGAGGAGCTCCTGGGACTGATCGTGGTGCGGGCTCTGGCCCAGTGGGTCTGTGTGGGGGCTGAGACCCTGCCTTTCCAGCACGTTCCCAGCTGGTGCCAGTTGGAGTCAGAGCCTGGAATCCTTACACGAGAGGCCAGAAGCCTTGGCCTCAGCAGTCCAGGCCTGAGAACCCACCCAGCTGTCACTCACCGATGGCTGAGTGACTTTGCACAAAGCCCTGTTGCCCGCCCTATCCCACTCCTGGGATCAGACCCAGAAATCTTGGTCTGTGTGTCCCAACTGGCTACAATTGCTGCTCAGCTTCTGAAAGGTGCCTCTTCAAGCCTGTTTCTTGAAACAAGGCACTGAAAAGCATACGTTGTGTCAAAAGCCCAAAAGGAGTGGGAATTCTCCTTGGTGATTTGGATTTCATCTTGGGCACTGATGAAAGAGCACAGAGTGGGGGCCTCCCTCCTTGAGTCAGGGTCAGGCAGGGGCAAGGCAGTAGAATCTCTAACACCCTGGGCACTCACAGCCCTGCCATTGCTTCTGTGGTGGAGGTGGCCAGGGCGGAGTGTGGCGTTCCCGGGAATGGCCTCAGCAGCACACCGTGGTGGGCACGCGAGGGGGCCGGCTCCCGTAAGTCTTCTGTGTTACATACTGGTTAACTCCGTTCTTACATAAAGAGCACGTCTGCTAAATTTAGCCAAGAGAACTGTTTGGCATTTCGGCCTCCCCATGCTTCAAGTGCACACATTTCTTCCGTGTTACGCCACATCCCTAAAAATAAGCCTCTGCCCTCCTCCAGCACTCAGGCCACCGCAGTGACTCGTTCCCACTGATGGCAAACTTCACTCCCCAGGGCTCCCATCCCTGGTGACAAAGATCACAGCAGCTGGCACTGCAGATGCCTTTGTGGGAGGCACCATCTGATCATCCCGCCAACCCTCCTGCAACCCTGCAAGGACACACCAGCCTCCCAGGGTGCCAGGAGGAGCCTGCCAGAGACCCCCAGAGCGGCCTGCCCCAAATCACCTCTGAGAGCAGCAGCTTTTCTGAAGGAAGCCTCCCCTCATGGTCCTCAGGCCCAGCAGGTGCCAAGCTCAATGCCAGCCACGAGGGCATTGGCTCATCGAGTGATGGGAACGGGGACAGCAAGGCGGCCACAGAGAGGGTGGTCTCAGCCATGGACACAGTACGGCGGAAGCATCCCGAGGTGGGCCGGGACAAGAGCTGGGCCTGTGGCTGCTGCGGGGGCCACGAGACTGACCTCAGGCAGGGGCAGAAATCTGGCCACAGGCAGAAATCATTCAGCTGTCACCTGGCACAACCAGACAGGATTATGAGCACTTTTCTGCTGTTTAGTTTTAACCTGTGCATGTGATGCTTAATACTTTCCAAATAAATGGATGAGTCTTTTCAGGGCCAAAGGAGATACGGGACCAGGGAAGGAGGTTAAGAAGGAAATGCACAGATACGCTGGTGCCTGGGGATGGCGATTGGGTCTCCAAGTTCTTTAAGTTCTAAAGGAATCCGCTAGGGAAGATTCTCCTAATGGGAGGGAGATGAAGGTGAAGGAATTAGAGGTCCACATGATCAGGAAGGTGGAAGGATGGAGGAGCACACCAGGATGATGTGCAGCACAGGGCAGCGGACCTGTAGGAAACACAGCGGTGCGCCAGGCGCTTCTGGGCATGGAGCTGGCCGATGCCGGAGGAGGGGAGGTACGTGCCTGACCCAGGATGGACCATCCAAGGCAGCAGGGTCTGCACACCAGGCTCTGCATGAAGGAGTGTGTGGCCCCAGGCAGGGGTTGAAACTCTCCGGGCCTCGATGGATAGGAGGCCTGTCTTTGGGCTTGGGCAGCCTTGGGTGGGACCTCCGGCATTGTGCTCTGGGGAAGGGTCCAGCCTCCCTGCTGCTCCCCTTAAGGGGAGGTCTGTATGTGGGCGGCAGATGTTCAGCTTGGGCACCCAGCAGCTGGCTCTTGGGCTCCACAGGTGGGTGGGGCAGGGGCGCTGGTTCTGAGAAGGTGTGCGTCCTGCAGCTTGTTGCCAGGAGCCCCCGGGGAGCCTCCAGATCATACACCACACACCACACTGGCCCCTCCAGGACACACAGCACATGCTTCAGGACTCAGCATTTATGGTCCTCAGAAACAACTGTATTGAAGAAAGTGTGGAAACCCAAATTTCAGGGTTCTAGGGAGGTCTGTTAAAGACTTAAAAAAAAAAGAGAGAAGGAAGAGTTTTGAAGGGATTCACCTACTGCCTGTCAGGTCGGCACCAACTGTCATGTCGATGTGATTTGGAGCCTGGACAGGAGCAGGGGCTCGTGGAGACCACCGTGGGCTGGATAACGGCCAAGGGGGCAGAACAGCAGGGCCTTGAGTCTGGGGCTTCCGGTGACACTCCTGTTCTCCCTCTTAATAGTCCTTTTGCTCTATTTTCTGCTTTTTCAAAAATAAGAATATATTGGTTTTATATTTACAAAAATCAAATTTTAAGTACTAAAAAAACCACTTAAATTTATACGTGCTTTGCCTTTGAACCCCAGACTTTGTCAGTACAAAGAGGAAACTCAGTTGTCACATTCTCTCTGCTGTATCTTTCTTAGCAGCTGTTTTGAAGTTAGTTGCAAGAACAGGGCCAGGTTCCCCGACTGTGAGCCCTGTCACCGGCTGTGAGCATTTGCCCGGCCCTCACACTGGGTGTGTGCAGCACACAGTCACTTGCACACACGCCTTTTCACCCCTTAAATGTTAGGAATCCCCTAAAAGCAGGGCTGGTCTCTTAAATCTCTTCAGTAGTGTCATCAAATTTAGGAAATGTCCCATTTTCACTAATGCTGTCATATGATTTGCTGTCTCGGCTCCGATTTCATAGACTCCAGGCCAGGATAGTGCGCTGTGTGTGGTTGTGGTGGCTCCCCGGCTTTAATCTGGAACTCTCCCTAGCCCCTCTCCATCTTTGTGGCCGTGATGCCCTCAGAGACCTCAGCCCTCTCATTTCACGAAGTGGCTTTGCTGGGGTCTATCTGATGTCTCCTTGGGACTAGGTTCAGGAGATCTGCCAGGCACATGTTTTAAAGCAAAGTACAAATATTTGCTAGCAAAGCAAAGGCCCCCACTTCCTAGGTCAGTTGCCTTTTTTAATCCTAAACTCTGTGCATGAACTAGGTCTCAATGGGATAAAAAGCTCCAAATGTCTCTGTTTCTATACTTCAGAAATGTCATGTTTGGATTTTAAAAGAAAATAAGTTCTCCCTCTAACTTGGACATACCATAAAGGAAACACGTGGCTTAAAATAAGGTGTGTGGCACGGCATGGAGTCGCACTGATTACGGGCTGTCTGCCTCACAGCCGTGTACACGCAGGATCTTCGTCTTTAAAACGTCACCACCAGAGCCGGATGCCACCCTGCAAAGAAGCTGCAAAATCACACTGCAATTATCACCGCAGGCTCACTTGGGGTAACAGCAGTGCACACTCTTCTCTGGGAAACCAGCCCTTATTCAGAGGAGGAACAGGAGGCCACCCAAGGATGTCTCCGGTGCCTGTGCACGTGGCCACGACCTGGGCCTCCCAGCAGCTCTGGTTCCTGAGTGCCAGCCCTGGCTGACGGGTCAGGGGCTCCAAGGGCTCCTGAGGGCTGAGCTTAGCTAGTGGCTGATGTCAGAAGCAGCCATGGGCTCAACTTTCCTTGGGCCTTGGGCACTCTCTGGCCTGTGTCTAAATGATGTCCCCATTCCTCAGACAGCAAGATTTAAGGGGCAAGATTCCACGTGCTCATCAGAGACCCCGTGGCCTCTTCCTCTGCTGAGTCTGGAAGTGAAGCCACAGGTTTCACATCCCAGATGGCAGAGGCGAGGCCCTGGCTCCCATGGGGATGGAGCAGAGGGGAGGAGCCTCCCCTGTGGAGAATGAGACCAGGGCTGCAGTGAGAGACCATCCCCTCCTCTGCATCTCTCCTCTTGGGGCCTCTTAAATGATTTGGAAATCATTCCCCTAAAAATTGAGCCTTTCCTTGAGAGGTCAAGGCAGACTTTCCCATCACAGATGTGAGCCTGTTCCCCATCCTACCCTTCAGCTTCCTGCTCCCTTTCCATCACGCAGACATGACCACCAGCCCTGAAAGAGGGAGTCACGAGGGGCGCCCGTCAGCACTGGGCATGGGGTGGCCGCTGTCCAGGAGACTCAGGGACACTGCGGGGCCTCTCCCATGTCCGGACCCAGGGACGCTGCAGGGCCTCTCCCCTGTCCGGACCCAGGGACGCTGCGGGGTCTCCCATCTCCGGACCCAGGGACGCTGCGGGGTCTCCCATGTCCGGACCCAGGGACGCTGCGGGGTCTCCCATCTCCGAACCCAGGGACGCTGTGGGGTCTTCCATGTCTGGACCCAGGGACGCTGTGGGCACCTGCTTGTTGTGGGTGGAACAGCTCCTCGCTCCCATCTCGGATCCTGAGCCCAGCGCTGCTCTGCACTGACAGACTCCAGGGGAGTTTTCAGCCCAGGGAAGTGGTTATTTTTGTGAGAAATAAGACTATTTTTAAAAATCTCCCCTGAGTGAGTTGGAGAGGCTCCTCACTTCCGGCAGTGAGAGTGAGCTCCAGCCACACCCGCCAGCACCCTCGAAAGTAAGCGTGGAGCCGCGGTGCCTGCCCTGACTTCTACTAAAGGACGCTTCTTAAAACACGGTTGGTCTGAGTTTCCCATTTCCCTGAAGGATGACCTCTGAGAAGATGGACGAGACCAGCCTCCTGTGTTGACGTTTTCAGTCTCAACCTAAGGAAAAGTAAATGAGCACACAAAGTTCTCAAAGTCTACAGTGTTTTTAAAAATATAATGACGTTTACCTCTCACCTTCCTCCAGTAACTGCCAGTGTCTTGAGGAAATGTCTTCTGCCCCCACCAGCCCCCGCAGGACCACATCTCTCAGCTTGGGAGCAGCATCTCCGCTGCTAGACGGGTTCTCTGAGTGGACGGCACCAGTGCAGAAGTGGATGGCTTGTTCCACCTGCCTTGACTCCCCCAGGTCACCCACTCTCCCCGGAGAGGCTGCACACTCACATGCGTGTGTGGGTAACAACAGTCACAGCCTTGTTCCCAAGGCCTGAGTCTTGAGAGCAGAAGGGAGGCTGCTCTTGCTGGCAGCTCCACGCTGCTGCCCAGCACCAGGCCCATGAGACACCCAAGGCCCAGAACTCTGAGACACGGAGCCACAGTCCTTCCAAGCAGAAAGCCACGTTGCAAACACCGACCACCTCCCTCTGGCAGACACACAAATCTCTGAGAACAGCCGAACCCGGGAGGCGGAGCTTGCAGCGAGCCAAGATTGCACCACTGCACTCCAGCCTGGGCAACACAGCGAGACTCAGTCTCAAAAAAAAAAAAAAAAAAGAAAAGAAAAGAAAACAGCCTCCTGCCAAAAAGCATCCCGAAATTGCCCATGGAAGGAGGTTATTTTGGTGATCTGGTTCAAGTTATTTTGATGCCAGAGGCTGTACAATTTGGAATGAGTCAAGACTCTTCAGTTTAAAATGGGAAAGGAAATGAATATTTGAAGATAAATATCTCAAAGGGCAGTGCCAGACCAGAACCCAGAACCCCTCCTCACCCTGTCATCTTGAGGAGAAAATCCCAGAGGAGAGGATAAATGGGGTACTCAGGTCGCTGTCCCCTCCTCCTGACCTCAGATTAGAACATGGTGGCTGGGCCCATCTGGAGGGGACAGGGTAAGACCCGCTCCTGTCACACCTGGTGCTCTCGGCTTCATGAGTGTCAGATTCGCCAATTTCGCTCTGGGCCCCAGCCGTCCATTGCTGTGTCCTTTTGCTTAAAACAGGCTCAGCCTGCAGAGTCCACAGCTCAGGCGGAGGTGGGCAGTCTGTGCAGGTGGGAAGCCCTCACGTCAGCCTCTGACTCTGTCTTCACAGGAAAGCCCTGGGAGGTTCTCACCTCCGTTTTCTGAGGGACTAACCGCTGCCCAGGAGTTCAGCGGCATAATCTTGGCTCACTGCAACCTCCGCCTCCCAGGTTCAAGCGATTCTCGTGCCTCAGCCTCCAGAGTAGCTGGGACTACAGACGTGCGCCACCAGCCTGGCCAATTTTTGTATTTTTAGTAGAGACTCCTGGCCTCAGGCGATCTGCCCGCCTCAGCCTCCCAAAGTGTTGGGATTACAGGCATGAGCCCCTGCCCCTGGCCCAGGTGGCTTTTCTAACTGCGGTTGCTCAGGCCCGTGGAAGGAGGACAGGTCCAGGCCCAGCTGACTAGGAAGCAGCCTTCAGGGCCAGGCAGGCTCCCAGCCGCAGCTCTGAGTATTCCAGCCTCCTCCTGTGGCACCGACCAGTGCTCGCGTCCCGGGAACCACAGGAGGAGGCCAGGCAGGTCTCATGGCCCCTCGTTCCCCCACTGCTATTGCTGATGGGGGAACCGGACTGTGTGAGGAGTGACGTGCAGGGCGGGGCTTTCCCTGGGCCCCCTGCGAGGCAGGCATGTGCAAAGCAGGCAAGGAGGGCTGCAGTTGTGGGATTACACAACCTTTCACATCCCTTCCGTTATAAAAATTCCTTTCATCATCATATCACACCAAATAGCATAAATTATTGAGCGTTCACAGAGCACCTGGCACCATGCTGAACTCTGCATGGACTAGCTCATTCAGTCCCCCAGCCATCCATGGGATAAGGCGCTGCATGACCACACTTTACCATACAGGGACACGGCTCAGAAGGGGCAGCCGCAGACTCATCCATGAGCAGGGGATTCCCACGAGCAGTCGAGACATCAGCGCTTATCTTCTGCTTCATGCGCAAAGCCCTCTATTAACCTCACTTGTGTTGCTCCAGTTCCGTAAACCACAATTCGATGCTTCTACGGAGCTCCTGGGGCAAAGTAGGTTCCCAAGGAATCCAGGCTTTACCGGTTTGGTAAAATGGTCACAGGAAGTGGCCTCTGTGTGTGATCACAGCGTGTCTGTGCTGAGGTCACCAGAGATTGTGATGGTCACAAGAGGTGGCCCCTGTGCGTGGTCCCAGCGTGTCTGTGCTGAGGTCACCGGGGATTGCAATGGTCGCAGGAGGTGGCCCCTGTGCGTGATCCCAGCGTGTCTGTGCTGAGGTCACCGGGGATTGTGATAGTCACAATAGGTGGCCCCTGTGCGTGATCCCAGTGTGTCTCTGCTGAGGTCACCGGGGATTGTGATGGTCACAAGAGGTGGCCCCTGTGCGTGGGTCCCAGCGTGTCTGTGCCGAGGTCACTGGGGATTGCAGTGGTCGCAGGAGGTGGCCCCTGTGCGTGGTCCCAGCATGTCTGTGCTGAGGTCACTGGGGATTGTGATAGTCACAAGAGGTGGCCCCTGTGCGTGATCCCAGTGTGTCTCTGCTGAGGGCACTGGGGATTGTGATGGTCATAAGAGGTGGCCTCTGTGTGTGGTCCCAGCGTGTCTGTGCTGAGGTCACCGGGGATTGTGATGGTCACAAGAGGTGGCCCCTGTGCGTGGTCCCAGCGTGTCTGTGCTGAGGTCACCGGGGATTGCAATGGTCGCAGGAGGTGGCCCCTGTGCGTGATCCCAGCGTGTCTGTGCTGAGGTCACCGGGGATTGTGATAGTCACAATAGGTGGCCCCTGTGCGTGATCCCAGTGTGTCTCTGCTGAGGTCACCGGGGATTGTGATGGTCACAAGAGGTGGCCCCTGTGCGTGGGTCCCAGCGTGTCTGTGCCGAGGTCACTGGGGATTGCAGTGGTCGCAGGAGGTGGCCCCTGTGCGTGGTCCCAGCATGTCTGTGCTGAGGTCACTGGGGATTGTGATAGTCACAAGAGGTGGCCCCTGTGCGTGATCCCAGTGTGTCTCTGCTGAGGGCACTGGGGATTGTGATGGTCATAAGAGGTGGCCCCTGTGTGTGGTCCCAGCGTGTCTGTGCTGAGGTCACCGGGGATTGTGATGGTCACAAGAGGTGGCCCCTGTGTGTGGTCCCAGCGTGTCTGTGCTGAGGTCACCGGGGATTGTGATGGTCACAAGAGGTGGCCCCTGTGCGTGATCCCAGCATGTCTGTGCTAAGTGTCTCCTTTGGTGCCTGCCTTGCTTTTGATTTGCCATCCCCTTTCATCCACAGTAATTTTTTAAGTCCTGATTTGCTCTTCTTTTCTCTCCACGTGTAACTTCTCCCTTCCCCACAGTGATCCTTGCTAATCACAGCATCTTCTAGATGTGGAATGCCTTGTTCTCACAGAAATGCTGCCTCCTCCTGCCATCCTGTATGCAGTGTACAGCCAGTGAGGTATTAGTTGTTAGGGTCCCGTGCACTTTTTGTGACATTGGGACAGGTTTTTGCTGTTGTTGTTGTTGTTGTTTTACAAGTGGAGAAACCTGAGTTGTAAAGCATGTAAAGACTTGTCTCAGGTTTCCTTGCTGACAGAAATCACTAATATGTATTGAACATCTAGCATGTGCTAATAATATTAGTTATAATGATAATAATAGTTGTTGTTAAGGGCTTACTGTGCTCTAAGCACTTTACATGAAATTCTAAATTTAATGCGCAACACTGCCAGACAAGAACTATTCCCATTCCACAGATGAGGAGCCGAGGCCTGAGGCTATTCCCATTCCACAGATGAGGAGCCGAGGCCTGAGGCTATTCCCATTCCACAGATGAGGAGCCGAGGCCTGAGGCTATTCCCATTCCACAGATGAGGAGCCGAGGCCTGAGGCTATTCCCATTCCACAGATGAGGAGCCGAGGCCTGAGGCTATTCCCATTCCACAGATGAGGAGCCGAGGCCTGAGGCTATTCCCATTCCACAGATGAGGAGCCGAGGCCTGAGGCTATTCCCATTCCACAGATGAGGAGCCGAGGCCTGAGGCTATTCCCATTCCACAGATGAGGAGCCGAGGCCTGAGGCTATTCCCATTCCACAGATGAGGAGCCGAGGCCTGAGGCTATTCCCATTCCACAGATGAGGAGCCGAGGCCTGAGGCTATTCCCATTCCACAGATGAGGAGCCGAGGCCTGAGGCTATTCCCATTCCACAGATGAGGAGCCGAGGCCTGAGGCTATTCCCATTCCACAGATGAGGAGCCGAGGCCTGAGGCTATTCCCATTCCACAGATGAGGAGCCGAGGCCTGAGGCTATTCCCATTCCACAGATGAGGAGCCGAGGCCTGAGGCTATTCCCATTCCCCAGATGAGGAGCTGAGGCCTGAGGCTATTCCCATTCCCCAGATGAGGAACCGAGGCCTGAGGCACTGGGATTGTTCTCCCAGCAGCGTTTCCAGGCTGTGACCAGAGTAGCTGAATGGACTCCGGAGCTCACTGCTTTCACTCCGTGGTGCAGGCCGTGCTGCCACCGCTGTGTGATTCCCTCTCCAGCTCAGACAGTGGCTTCTCCAAGAAATCCTACTCAGGTCAGGGCTTAGTCCAACTTGTGAGACACTGTCCTGTGCACTTGCTCGCTGTGATGTGAATAACGTGGTGGGACTGTCCTGACTCCTTGCAGGTGTATAGGTGTGCTGCAGCAGGTGTGCAGGTGTACAGCTGTGCTGCAGCTTGTGTGTGGTATACGGGTGTGCTGCGGTGGGTGTGCAGGTGTTCAGGTGTACTGCCGCAGGTGTACAGGTGTGCTGCAGCATGTGTGCGGATGAACAGCTGTGCTGCAGCTTGTGTGTGGTGTACAGGTATGCTACAGCAGGTGTGCAGATATACAGGTGTGCTGCAGCATGATTGTGGTGTACAGGTGTGCTGCAGTGGGTATGCGGGTGTTCAGGTGTACTGTCGCAGGTGCGTGGCTGTGCTGCAGCATGTGTGTGGATGTACCAGTGTGCTGCTGCAGATGCTGGCTCCTCTGTAGGTTCTCTCAGGATTGGGCAACAGTCAAGGCTGATGGATGCTGTGCTCTAGTAGGTAGAGGAAGAACCATTCTTGACTGTCAGAAGACCCTAAGGCTCATTGCCGGCTTCCCCTGTAAAAGACCCTCAGGCTCAGTGCCTTCAGGGGTCGGGTGGGCACCGATTGGGGCCCCCAGCCAGCCACAGGACTTCCTGCAGCCTGGATTATGGGGGCAGCAGGGAGAGGATAGGGAGTGCCCCCACTTGGGTATTGTTTGTTTGGGAAGCAG
Organism: Homo sapiens; assembly: GCF_000001405.40. Taxonomy (NCBI): domain Eukaryota; kingdom Metazoa; phylum Chordata; class Mammalia; order Primates; family Hominidae; genus Homo; species Homo sapiens. The sequence continues at coordinate 159,087,935 of NC_000007.14, read as the reverse complement.
TATCTCACTATCAGGATCCTGTGTGTTGTTTGCTGGGGAAGCCGTATCTCACTATCCGAGTCCTGGATATTGTTTGTTGGGGAAGCTGTATCTCACTATCTGAGTCCTGGGTATTGTTTGTTGGGGAAGCCGTATCTCACTATCCAAGTCCTGGGTATTGTTTGTTGGGGAAGCCGTATCTCACTATCAGAGTCCTGGCAGAGTGTGGTTATTGTTTGTTGGGGAAGTCGTATCTCACTATGAGGATCCTGTGTATTGTTTGTTGGGGAAGCTGTATCTCACTATCAGAGTCCTGGGTATTGTTTGTTGGAGAAGCTGTATCTCACTATCAGAATCCTGGCAGAGTGTGGTTATTGTTTGTTGGGAAGCCGTATCTCACTATCCGAGTCCTGGGTATTGTTTGTTGGGGAAGCTGTATCTCACTATCTGAGTCCTGGGTATTGTTTGTTGGGGAAGCCGTATCTCACTATCCAAGTCCTGGGTATTGTTTGTTGGGGAAGCCGTATCTCACTATCAGAGTCCTGGCAGAGTGTGGTTATTGTTTGTTGGGGAAGTCGTATCTCACTATGAGGATCCTGTGTATTGTTTGTTGGGGAAGCTGTATCTCACTATCAGAGTCCTGGGTATTGTTTGTTGGAGAAGCTGTATCTCACTATCAGAATCCTGGCAGAGTGTGGTTATTGTTTGTTGGGAAGCCGTATCTCACTATCCGAGTCCTGGGTATTGTTTGTTGGGGAAGCCATATCTCACTATCCGAGTCCTGGGTATTGTTTGTTGGGAAGCCATATCTCACTATCCGAGTCCTGGGTATTATTTGTTGGGAAGCCGTATCTCACTATCAGAGTCCTGGCAGAGTGTGGTTATTGTTTGTTGGGAAGCCATATCTCACTATCAGGATCCTCGGTATTGTTGGTTGGGAAGACGTATCTCACTATGGGGATCCTGGCAGAGTGTGGTTTTCTTCACGTGAGGACATGTGAGTCTACTCTAGACCATTTGAGGTAAGAGCTGATGTTTTATTCACAGAACCTGAAGACAACCTGCTGGTGTCACAACCAGCCTCCAAGATGCACTTTTGCTGCTTCAGAGAATTGTGTCACTTCCATGTTTATTACATGGGTATCAGCTACTCACTGAGGAGTCATGGCTTTGTGCCATCCTACGGGGTGGGAAGCAAGCACCGTGAGCCAAGGGTCCTGGGCAGGCGCTCGGAGGCAGGCAGAACTCAGACCCAGCAGGACCAGCTCCTGGGCACAACACCTGGCCATGGAGAATCAGCGCAGCTGTCACACCCAGGTGGCCCATGTAAAGAGGAAGAGCATCCCTGGAAAGAAACTTCACATTTGACATCCCCCGGGTTGAGAGCTTGTCTCTCACCTTCCTGAACACTCAGCAGAACCATGCAGGCCCCAGCCTCAGCCCTTCCTGGGGGCAAACCCATGTGGCAGGTCTCAGCCATGCAGCCATGGTGCAGGATCCAGGCTGTCACAGCTTTTGCTTTGGGAAGGCCTTTTCAGCTTACCTCAGATTCCGGGATGTTACAGTCCCCCGCGTGGGTCAGAACAGGGCACCTCCCCACAACCCAGCTCAGCACGGTCTGATTTTCATAGGACTCCATGGGCAAAACAAGTCAAGATCATATCTGTGCTTTACCTTGCTGTTGGAAAAACAGTTCTCACTGGAAGACACATTCTTAAGATGGAACCACCCCAGGCATCCCTGAGTTCTCCACTAGACTTAGCAGCTCCTGATTTTTCAAGTTAATCGACTTTTTAGAGCAGTTTTATGGTGACATAAAAATTAAGCAGAAAGTACAGGGGATTCTCGTGCAGTCCGCACTGCCCAGTGCCTCTTATTAACATGTTTTGTTAATGTGGTGCACTTGTTACAACTGATGGCTTTGGTATAATATTGACCCCTTGTTGTTAACTGAAGTCCCTGGTTTACTTAGGGCTCACTCCTGGTGGTTTGCATTCTGTGGGTTTGGACAAATGCCTAATGACAAGGACCCGCCATCACAGCATCGCGCGGGTCGTCCTCGCTGACCTGAAACTCCCCTGTGCTCCGCCTCTTCGTCCCTCCTTCCCCAGCCCCTGGCAACTGCCGATCTTTGCCCTGGCTCCATAGTCCTGCCTTTCCAGAATGTCTTGGGTTGGAATCCTGCAGCATGTGGGCCTTTTCAGATGGAATCACCAGTTACTCCTAACGAAAAAAAAAAACTGAAACAAAAGAGTAACCCTGGATTCTTGTGGTGGGAGACTTCCTCCAGTGAGACGGTGTCATGGGATTCGATCCTGGCGTCAGCTTCAGCGTGACAGCCGTGTCCTTAAACTCACCATGAGGCCGGGCGCGGTGGCCCACGCCTGTAATCCCAGCACTTTGGAGGCCAAGGCGGGTGGATCACCTGAGGTCAGGAGTTCGAGACCAGCCTGACCAACATGGTGCAACCCTGTCTCTACTAAAAATACAAAAATTAGCCGGGCGTGGTGGCACGTGCCTGTAGTTCCAGCTACTCAGGAGGCTGAGGCAAAAGAATCACTTGAACCCGGGAGGCAGAGGTTGCAGTAAACTGAGATCTCACCACTGCACTCCAGCCTGGGTGACAGAGCAAGGCTCCGTCTCAAAAAACAAAACAAAACCCTCCACCCGCCTCATCCGTGTTGTGGGAACGGAGCAGTGAGACTCAATCTGGTGTCTTCACAGGGTTGTTGCCATAACTGCATGAATTCGTTTTGTAAATTGCAAAATGCTGCACCATCATGACGATGGTCCTGACAGTCTCCTAAGTGGAGTGACTTGTAGAATCTGATGCTTCACACCAGGATATTTGCCACAGGATAGATCCTCAAAGTAAATGTCCTCAAAGGATATTTTGCCAGTAACTTGAAAGAAGAAAAATTCAACTTGCTAATGCTTTTACACAGTGCAGTGTTCTCATCCTGAATCTTGAAACAGCACCTCCGTTTTTAGAAGAAGCTTCCATGGGCCATGATGCCCTTGGAAAAGATTGCAGTGGCATCTTGGAGAACATTTCCCACAAAAATAGGTTATGGTTTCTGACGGTGTCTAAAACATTTGAGAAGCAAAAGGAAGCTCCAGCCTTCGACTTCTAAGGCAAAAACAGGCACCTCCTACCTCTGAGACTGGCAACTGGCGGCCTCCAGTGAGGGGTGGAGTCCATGCCCCGAAATCCTCCCTGTACCCCACTCCGCGCCAGCACCAGGCAGAGGCCCCCCAACAGGCCCACATGCTCCGGGGACCCATAAGAGGTGCAGACAAACCCTGCACTTTCTGCAGCGTGAGGCCACGCCGCCAGGGGCCCTGCAGACACTGACCAGGGACTGACCTTGCCTGCCATTGCACAGGCATAGTGCCCTGAATCCCGTGCCCGGCGCCCTCTCTGCAGGAGCCTGAAGCCTGGCAGAGGGAACAGGGGACACATTGTGCCACTCTGGGAGGAAGAGGCCAAGGGAGGGTGCTGTCACTCGGCATGAAATGCTGCGCCAGGGGCCCCCACATCCTGTCTCCTGCCTCACGCTGTTCCTGTCTCACCTGGCGGCACTGCCCTCCAGCGTGCCCAGCCGCCTGCCCCATCACTCGCTATTTCCCTTCACCCACTAAGTGCTCCCAGAGTTCCTGCCCCGAGCACTCTCATCCTCCCGCCCACACCTCGTGCGGCCTGCCAAGAGTCCACTGCCTGCCTGCAGAACTCAGAGGCATGGCCTTTGCCCCTCTGGCCTGGTGCGCGTTGGTCTTGTTTACTAAGGACCGGACAGAAGCTGTCTGAGTACTGATGCGGCTTTGCTTTCTGCACCCCACAGCACCCTGTGCAAAGTGGCATTGGTTAAGACGTTCATCATTACACAAAGGGTCTGGAAGAAGCAGTTTCCCAGACGGAGATGTGTGTGATGGGGGCTGAAGTGGGCTGGGAAGCTGAGACTTTGTCAGAGCCCATCCAGCAAGGGCACATCTGCTAAGGGGTAAAGAAGGCTTCTATCTGAGGGTTTCCTGAGAATGTTCACATGCACCAGCCCAGACACTGCCTGCAGCAGACGCAGAGTCAGGAGCCCCCTGGCCTAGCCCAAAGCTTGCTTCAAGTTTGCCTGAGGCCTGCAGTTAGGGACACAGTTCACACTGTGATGCAGTGCAGACACCTCACAAAACCACAGGTTCTCTTCCAAATGTTGCTTGTCACCCCCCAAACTGCATACCTCCTGGATGGGTTATGAATGGACTGACAGTAAACGTGTCCACCAGACCTGGCCTCTCTCGAGAGAACGGGGCTGTGCATGATTGCCCGGGACAGCAGGTGAGAAGCAGGCCTGGCCCGGCTAGTGGGTACTGGCTGCCCTGGCTGTGGCTCTGGTGGCTCGCTGCCTGGAAAGCTGTTGAACCCGCGTGCTGTGTGAAGGACTCTGCTATGGTCACTCCAGGGCAGATATTTATGGAAAGGTGGAGCTGGAAGGGACTTAGACACCTCCTTGACCAACACACTCATCTAGGGATGAGGAAACTGCTCCCAGAAGGGGAACTACCTGAGGTCACGGCTTTAGGGAAGAAAGTGGGCTGGGCGCCCATTGAGATTCCTCGCAAATGGGACTGGAACAGAAGCACTTTCTCCATCATGGCCATAAGGTTCCGGATGAAGCTGGGGGAGACTCCCTCACCCAGACAAAGATGAAGGGAAGAGGCTCTGCAGAGCAGTGGGGCAGGCTTGGGATCCTTGCCCAGTGAGTGTCAAGGCTGCTCCGGGGTGGACAATGGAATTAGTGTGTGTGACAGGCAAGTGGAGTCAGGACAGGGGCAGGTAGGACAGGTGGGACCAGGGACAGGCAGGGATAGTTGGTTCAGGAAGACTTGGGGGTGTGGCCACCAAGATCCAGTATTAGAACACTGAAGCTCTTGCCCTTCTGCTCTATTCTTGAAGCCAACCACAACTGAAACAAATATAACACCGTGTGTAATTACATGAGGATGATGGTTAGCCTCATTTGCATGTAATTAGGAAGGATCTAATCATTGTTCATCACACATTCGGTGACCCATTGATACACTGGGAATGGTCTTGAGCCACCCTTCATGATAGCTGCCTCTCTGTCCATCTGGGAGCAGGTCTATCTGTCTGTTTGTCTGTCTGCCTGTCTGCAAGTCTGTCTGGCTTTCTGCCTATCTGCCTATCTGTCTGCAGGTCTATCTGTCTGTCTGTCTGTTTTCAGCACAGCCTATTCTACTACCTTAGAAACCCAAAGGAAATGGGCGAACAGGTAATTAGGATGAATTCAGAATGCTGCTCTCTCATAGAAACATTCTTTTTTTTATTATACTTTAAGTTTTAGGGTACATGTGCACAACGTGCAGGTTTGTTACATATGTATACATGTGCCATGTTGGTGTGCTGCACCCATTAACTCATCACTTAGCATTTGGTATATCTCCTAATGCTATCCCTCCCCCACGACCCCACCACCCCACAACAGTCCCCGGTGTGTGATGTTCCCCTTCCTGTGTCCATGTGTTCTCATTGTTCAATTCCCACCTATGAGTGAGAACATGCGGTGTTTGGTTTTTTCTCCTTGCGATAGTTTGCTGAGAATGATGGTTTCCAGCTTCATCCGTGTCCCTACAAAGGACATGAACTCATCATTTTTTATGGCTGCATAGTATTCCATGGTGTATGTGTGCCACATTTTCTTAATCCAGTCTATCATTGTTGGACATTTGGGTTAGTTCCAAGTCTTTGCTATTGTGAATAGTGCCACAGTAAACATACGTGTGCATGTGTCTTTATAGCAGCATGATTTATAATCCTTTGGGTATATACCCAGTAATGGGATGGCTGGGTCAAATGGTATTTCTAGTTGTAGATCCCTGAGGAATCGCCACACCGACTTCCACAATGGTTGAACTAGTTTACAGTCCCACCAACAGTGTAAAAGTGTTCCTATTTCTCCACATCCTCTCCAGCACCTGTTGTTTCCTGACTTTTTAATGATCGCCATTCTAATTGGTGTGATATGGTATCTCATTGCGGTTTTGATTTGCATTTCTCTGATGGCCAGTGATGATGAGTATTTTTTCATGTGTTTTTTGGCTGCATAAATGTCTTCTTTTGAGAAGTGTCTGTTCATATCCTTCGCTCACTTTTTGATGGGGTTGTTTTTTTCTTGTAAATTTGTTAGAGTTCATTGTAGATTCTGGATATTAGCCCTTTGTCAGATGAGTAGATTGCAAAAATTTTCTCCCATTCTGTAGGTTGCCTGTTCACTCTGATGGTGGTTTCTTTTGCTGTGCAGAAGCTCTTTAGTTTAATTAGATCCCATTTGTCAATTTTGGCTTTTGTTGCCATTGCTTTTGGTGTTTTAGACATGAAGTCCTTGCCCATGCCTATGTCCTCAATGGTATTGCCTAGGTTTTCTTCTAGCATTTTTATGGTTTTAGGTCTAACATGTAAGTCTTTAATCCATCTTGAATTAATTTTTGTATAAGATGTAAGGAAGGGATCCAGTTTCAGCTTTCTACATATGGCTAGCCAGTTTTCCCAGCACCATTTATTAAATAGGGAATCCTTTCCCAATTGCTTGTTTTTGTCAGGTTTGTCAAAGATCAGATAGTTGTAGATATGTGGCATTATTTCTGAGGGCTCTGTTATGTTCCATTGGTCTATCTCTCTGTTTTGGTACCAGTACCATGCTGTTTTGGTTACTGTAGCCTTGTAATATAGTTTGAAGTCAGGTAGTGTGATGCCTCCAGCTTTGTTCTTTTGGCTTAGGATTGACTTGGCAATGCAGGCTCTTTTTTGGTTCCATATGAACTTTAAAGTAGTTTTTTCCAATTCTGTGAAGAAAGTCATTGGTAGCTTGATGGGGATGGCATTGAATCAATAAATTACCTTGAGCAGTATGGCCATTTTCACGGTATTGATTATTCCTACCCATGAGCATGGAATGTTCTTTCATTTGTTTGTATCCTCTTTTATTTCATTGAGCAGTGGTTTGTAGTTCTCCTTGAAGAGGTCCTTCACATCCCTTGTAAGTTGGATTCCTAGGTATTTTATTCTCTTTGAAGCAATTGTGACTGGGAGTTCACTCATGATTTGGCTCTCTGTTTGTCTGTTATTGGTGTATAAGAATGCTTGTGATTTTTGCACATTGATTTTGTATCCTGAGACTTTGCTGAAGTTGCTTATCAGCTTAAGGAGATTTTGGGCTGAGACAATGGGGTTTTCTAGATATACAATCATGTCATCTGCAAACAGGGACAATTTGACTTCCTCTTTTCCTAATTGATGCCCTTTATTTCCTTCTCCTGCCTGATTGCCCTGGCCAGAACTTCCAACACTATGTTGAATAGGAGTGGTGAGAGAGGGCATCCCTGTCTTGTGCCAGTTTTCAAAGGGAATGCTTCCAGTTTTTGTCCATTCAGTATGATATCGGCTGTGGGTTTGTCATAGATAGCTCTTATTATTTTGAGATACATCCCATCAATACCTAATTTATTGAGAGTTTTTAACATGAAGGGTTGTTGAATTTTGTCAAAGGCCTTTTCTGCATCTATTGAGATAATCATGTGGTTTTTGTCTTTGGTTCTGTTTATATGCTGGATTACGTTTATTGATTTTCGTATGTTGAACCAGCCTTGCATCCCGGGGATGAAGCCCACTTTATCATGGTGGATAAGCTTTTTGATGTGTTGTTGGATTCGGTTTGCCAGTATTTTATTGAGGATTTTTGCATCAATGTTCATCAAGGATATTGGTCTAAAATTCTCTTTTTTTGTTGTGTCTCTGCCAGGCTTTGGTATCAGGATGATGCTGGCCTCATAAAATGAGCTAGGGAGGATTCCCTTTTTTTCCGCTGATTGGAATAGTTTCAGAAGGAATGGTATCAGCTCCTCCTTGTACCTCTGGTAGAATTTGGCTGTGAATCCATCTGGTCCTGGACTTTTTTTGGTTGGTAAGCTATTAATTATTCCCTCAATTTCAGAGCCTGTTGTTGGCCTATTCAGAGATTCAACTTCTTCCTGGTTTAGTCTTGGGAGAGTGTATGTGTTGAGGAATTTGTCCATTTCTTCTAGATTTTCTAGTTTATTTGCGTAGCGGTGTTTATAGTATTCTCTGATGGTAGTTTGTATTTCTGTGGGATTGGTGGTGATAGCCCCTTTGTCATTTTTTATTGTGTCTATTTGATTCTTCTCTCTTTTCTTCTTTATTAGTCTTGCTAGCGGTCTATCAATTTTGTTGATCTTTTCAAAAAACCAGCTCCTGGATTCATTGATTTTTTGAAGGGTTTTTTGTGTCTCTATTTCCTTCAGTTCTGCTCTGATCTTAGTTATTTCTTGCCTTCTGCTAGCTTTTGAATGTGTTTGCTCTTGCTTCTCTAGTTCTTTTGTGATGTTAGGGTGTCAATTTTAGATCTTTCCTGCTTTCTCTTGTGGGCATTTAGTGCTATAAATTTCCCTCTCCACACTGCTTTGAATGTGTCCCAGAGATTCTGGTATGTTGTGTCTTTGTTCTCGTTGGTTTCAAAGAACATCTTTATTTCTGCCTTCATTTCGTTATGTACCCAGTAGTCATTCAGGAGCAGGTTGTTCAGTTTCCATGTAGTTGAGTGGTTTTGAGTGAGTTTCTTAATCCTGTGTTCTAGTTTGATTGCAGTGTGGTCTGAGAGACAGTTTGTTATAATTTCTGTTCTTTTACATTTGCTGAGGAGTGCTTTACTTCCAACTATGTGGTCAATTTTGGAATCTCACTGAGCGGGTGGAGCCGTGGTTGGGGCGAAGGTCAGTCCCTACCTGCATTTCTGTGTTTATTTGACAGTTCTTCCCTTGTGGTCTTTCTCTGAGTGGAGCTGAGAGTGCGGCCATTCAGCATTCCTGTCACCACCCATCCTTCCTCCATGGACACTGAAGGCTTCAAAGTGGGATCTCAGTGGGCCCTCCAGGTTGTTGCTTGGTTCTCACAGAGACCATTTGCTGAGTCAGTGGGCACTGGAGCGGATACAACACCCGAGAGAGGTGGTGGATGTTACTCTCAGGAGGATAACACCTAGCGTCCAAAAATGCCACCTGCCCAGATTTAACCAGCTCAAAAGATAAAATGAGTCACAGTCTGATTCAGGTTGTATGTTTCCAAGCCCACCTGCATTTTCCTGGATAACGTGTAATTGGGTTTACATTTTTCCCGAGTTACTTATGTAGGCACAACGCGATGCAACAACGTGCTCCTCCTCAGCCATGAATAGCCCAAGGCTGTGTGGTTGCCTAATGTAAATCTGGCTCAACAGTGGATAGATCTTTGCTATAACTGTAAATATTTTGCAGTAAAAAAGACCCCTTCCAACAAGACTCAAATGCAGACTTTCGTTGGCATCTTTTCCAATAAACTAAGTCTCCAAGTTCTAATGTATGGGGCACATTGCCTTCTTTAGGAAGCAGATCATAGAAAACTTCTTAGATCTGGTGGAAATCAGCTTTTGAATATTGCATTAGTGCCTTACAGTGTTGAACCGTGTCATGATTACCTAAGACAAGATAAACATGGGGATGTCTCATTTCAGGAAGCAGTGCTACAGGAAAGCTTCCTCCTAAATTAGGCTTCTACGTGGTGTGAGCAATCAGGTATTTGTTAGATATTTCTATGGAAACAAAAAAAAAGGTTACTAGTTGGAACAGATTATAAACTCAGTCTCTCAGTTCAGAGGGAAGCCAGTTGAGATTTAATAGATTTGAGCTGGAATTATCTTTAGATGGTAAAATGAGGGGGGGAAGTTTCAATGTGAACAATTTTCCTGATTTGCAGTTTGAATGTCCCAGGCAATATCACCAGGTGTTCCAATGAGCTCTCTAAGTGGCCCACACAGGAACAGGCATGAATGTTGTCCATGCATGAACTGTGGCAGCGATTTCTCTGAAGTTTATATCAAATTTTCCAGTTTCAACTTGCAGGGAGTGAGGGAAAGGGCAGTTTTATTTCTTGTGATTCCAGGTCAGAAGAGTGAGGGAAAATTGGAAATGTTCATTTCGAAAGTCACAGCCAGACATTGGAGGAAAAAGGAAAAACTCAAGTTGCAGTCCAGGTTAGAGGTACACAGCAAACCTCAAAGACATTGAACAGGGCTAGAATCTGATAACAGGTACACCTTAGTACCTCAAAGACATTGAACAGGGCTAGAATCTGATAACAGGCACACTGTAGTACCTCAAAGACATTGAACAGGGCTAGAATCTGATAACAGGCATACTATAATACCTCAAAGACATTGAACAGGGCTAGAATCTGATAACAGGCACACTGTAGTACCTCAAAGACATTGAACAGGGCTAGAATCTGATAACAGGTACACTGTAGTACCTCAAAGACATTGAACAGGGCTAGAATCTGATAACAGGCACACTGTAGTACCTCAAAGACATTGAACAGGGCTAGAATCTGATAACAGTTACACTATAATACCTCAAAGACATTGAACAGGGCTAGAATCTGATAACAGGCATACTATAATACCTCAAAGACATTGAACAGGGCTAAAATCTGATAACAGGCACACTGTAGTACCTCAAAGACATTGAACAGGGCTAGAATCTGATAACAGGTACACTATAATACCTCAAAGACATTGAACAGGGCTAGAATCTGATAACAGGCACACTGTAGTACCTCAAAGACATTGAACAGGGCTAGAATCTGATAACAGGTACACTGTAGTTTTCTACCAGAACACAACTTTTGTCTCTTCAGTCACCCCAATTCCTACCAAAGATAATCATACTAAGACTAATCTGTTTGCAAAATCAGTCTAATCTCATTAAACTTGGACTGATCATTTATGTAACTGCATCAAGGATAGTGGTTCAATGCACATTCTCAAATATGACATTCCAGTCAAAGTTTTGGTGATAACCAAAGGGGTTATTAGCTCCATAAAGTCAATCTCTACTCATTGAAACTGTCTGGTAATAAGGAGTCTCAGATTAGACTTTTAAAAGCCACTCCAGGCTAAGCAACCAAGCCATGGACTTGCACAATTTTGTAAAATGGAGATAACTTAACTAGTAATAAAAGTTGTATGTCTGTATTATAACTAATATTGACAACTCTGAAGGTATATCCTTTTCTTTTTTTAAAAAAACTAAACCAACGATATTCTTACTCACCAAAGATTATCCGTGTCACATGAACTTAAAAAACATTTGAGTAAATTCCTGTTTTTCTGAAAGTTTTAGAATTACTTATACAAGTGCTTATTTTTCTTTGAGCCAATTAAATAGAGCTATTTTATACATTAATTTTGGAAATGCCATCCAGAGGTTAAAAAAAAATACACATGTCATAAAGATAGAGATAGACAGAGATCTTACAGCTTCCATTTAGAAATTTCAGTCATGTGTCTGGTACAATAATACAAAACTTGCTAGTTTATAAAAGAACAGCTGGATCCAAATTGTGTTTCTGGCAGACAAAATAATTTGCTCAAATGGCTAAAGACTTTTTTACTAAAGATTTTTCATTTGTGCACTGTAAGGATACTTTTGGAGAATCAGTTTGTCTTTTAGAAGCTTCTGCATAACAAAGAAGGCATTTCACTGTCTCTGAAAAGATGAAGATCCTCTGTCTTCAAGGGCACCCCTAAGCTGATCTATCTTACTTATGGACTTACACGATCTACAAGCAACATTTTTGTTTTTTTCTTTTCTAATATGTAAATGTTAAAGGTTCCCCAAAGTGGCCATGGCAGTTCCAAATTATCCTTTTTTAAGTTTACCCATTTTTCCAAAAACGCACAAGATCCTGGCCCACGGAGGATTTTGGACCAGGTGGAACCCATCTTTGCCTTAAATTACCCAGACATGAACAGCTGTTCCAAAACAGTTCAGCTGTTTCTTCCACTTCTGTACAGAACAGGGTGACCCACCAAGAAGGTTCAACAAAGATTACTCAAGAAAATGGGCAAGCTCAACACAAAGGGTGTGGAGATTGGATCCTAGAGACTTACCCTGGACTTCCACGGCCCGTGAGAAAGCAGTAAATGCAGTAGGTCCTTGGGTGCCGGCCCTGGGCTACTCGCTGATGCAGCGGGTCCATGGGTGCCGGCCCTGGGCTACTCACTGATGCAGCGGGTCCGTGGGTGCCGGCCCTGGGCTACTCACTGATGCAGCGGGTCCGTGGGTGCCGGCCCTGGGCTACTCACTGATGCAGTGGGTCCGTGGGTGCTGGCCCTGGGCTACTCATTGATGCAGTAGGTCTGTGGTGCCAGCCCTGGGCTACTCCCTGATGTGGCAGGTCCTTGGGTGCTGGCCCTGGGCTACTCCCTGATGTGGCAGGTCCGTGGGTGCCAGCCCTGGGCTACTCCCTGATGCAGTGGGTCCGTGGGTGCCAGCCCTGGGCTCCTCACTGGCCTCAACCCTCATCAGGGGTCTTCTTTGGTTCCCACTCCTGACACTAAAAATATGATATGAAGATTTTATTGAGTGAGAAACAAACTGTTTGCAAATAGGGAGACTTCAAAGCCAAAACTGGTAAGAAGCTTGTCTCATGGTTACAGCAAGGTTTATATGCTATGAAAGAGGAAGTTCATAAGCTTAATTCTCATTGGTTAGGTTGAGTAAATTACCTGGGTCACTAATTGGCTACAATGTGCTGAGGTGTTTCAACAAAGAAATAAAGCTCAAAATTGGTTTACAGTTTAAGTGGGTAAATGGACATCTGTAGATTTTGAGCTGAGCTGAGGGTAGGCCATTGACTCACAGGCAAAGGTCAGTTCTAGCCTCCATTTTTATTCTTATTTAACAGTGGTAATGGGAGGATCCTAAACTTTTCAAAAGCATCTGCAAAGGCCACATGTAGTCATGTAGTCTAAGGCTAACAGAACAAGAGGTTTCTTAGCCTGTCTTTACACCAAAAGCCAAGCCAAGCTATTTAAATATCAGCTAAATAAGGTATTCATTGAGTTCACTTTTCATAGACATAGAGACACTCCTGTTCCAAGTTACCTGTCTCATGGCACCTCGAGCATAATGGGTACCCAGTTTTTCCTACATGTTCTTTGGTCTCTTTCTATTGGCTTCAGAAAAACGAGTTCTTTTTTTATCTGGGTTTTTGTTTGTTTGTTTGTTCATTGTGACAGAGTCTCACTGTGTTGACCAGGCTGGTCTCAAACTCCTAGCCTCAAGCAATCCTCCCACCTCAGCCTCCCAAAGTGTTGGGATTACAGGCATGAGCCACTGCTCCCAGCCAGAAAAACAAGTTGTTATAGATTTCTAGTCATAAGAACAATTTTTAATAGTATATTATCTTAGTCTATTCACGTTGCAGTAACCAAATATCATAGGCTGGGTGACTTATGAAAAATGGAAATTTATTTTTCAAGCTTTGGAGGCTACAAAGTCCCAGATCAAGGTGCAGCCGATTCCTTGTCTGGTAAGGCCACATTTCCTCTCACGATGCTCCCACACAGTGGAGGGACAAGGGGCTCTAACCCTGTTCATGAGGGCTCCACCCTCACAAACTGATCACCTTCCAGAGGCCCCACCTCTTGATACCATCACCAAAAAGTTAAGTTTCAACATAGGAAATGGCGTCCTGAGCAAGCTGAGTCTTTCACACAGAAATGGGTCTGTCTCCCTTTTATTTGGATTTCTCTTCTGTTGCTTGGGGAAGTGCTTCAGTTTCCTCACTTTAGGCCCAGAACATTTTCCGCTCAGTTTATTCCTAGATATTTTACACTTTGTGCAGCTCTTTTGAATGAGGCCTGATTAAATTTACTTGATAGTTTTACTGATTATTTCTGTTGACTTCTCTTGATTTTTCTGAGTATGGACTTACATGATCCACAAGCAACAGTTTTGTTTTTTTCTTTTCTAATGTGTAAAAAATTTCATTTTGCATGTTTTATTTTATTGATTAAAATGTGAAAAACATTTTGTGGTAGAAGCAGGAGTGGACATTGCTAATGTTAATGAGAAATTTCTAGTCAGGGCTCTGATTCCATCAGCCCCCAGAATTGTGTGCACAGTTGTCTGTCTGTGCACTCATGCCTGTGTGCATTTTCTTCCTGTAGAAAAAAAGGTTCCACGTCTCCCTTAGATGGACAGACAGCTCCACAGCCCAGAAGAGGTGTAGAGTTCTGCCCTGGGGCTCCCCCACTCCATGTGGCACTGCCTGTGCCTGAAAGGAATTGTTCTAATGAGACCTAAGAAATTATAATTCTATTCAATTAAAAAAAAAAGGATAGGCTGAGCACGGTGGCTCACGCCTGTAATCATAGCATTTTGGGAGGCCAAGGCAGGCAGATTGCCTGAGCTCAGAAGTTCAAGACCAGCCTGGGTAACATGATGTAACCCTGTCTCTACAAAAATTAGCCAGGTGGGGTGGCACACACCTGTAATCCCAGCTACTCGGGAGGCTAAGGCATGAGAATCACTTGAACCCGGGAGGCAGAGGCTGCAGTGAGCCGAGATGGGGCCACTTCACTCCAACCTGGGTGACAGAGCAAGACTCTTGTCTCCAATCAATAAATAAATAAACAAGGACAAGTGAATATCAACTGGGATAAGCATTTTTTTCATTGACATATGGATGCAATATATTGTACTAATTGCAAGCATGTGTCATCTTTGCATCCTGGGGAAAATCTACTTGATTGAGGTGTGTGTATTTAGTATACTCCTAAACTGATCTTCTTTTATCCTTGATATTTTGAGATTTTTCCTTTTGTATTTGTAAGTGAAATTATTCTGTAGTTATTACTATTTATTTCAGTATATTGTCTGCTTTTGACATCAGACTTATGCTAGCTTTAAAAATAAGATGTTGTGCTTTTTCTTTATTTGTTACTATGTTCTGGAACAATTTTTATATCCTAGGAATAATGTGTACCTTAGAAGATGAAAAGAACTCACCTGTGAAAACTCCTGGGTTCACTAACATTTTTACAACTTATATTTCACAGACTTTAAAAAAATAGCTCTTCTGGTTATTGGTGTTTTTAGGTTTTCCTTAAATCTGTTCTGGAAATGTTTACAGCCCCAGAATGTTACCATTTCGTTGAAGTTTTGACTTTGTTAGCACAGAGCTGTGCATCACACTTTAATTAAAATGTGTAAAATAATGTTCCTCATTATTTTTCTTGTTTTGATATTTCATAAATAATCTACTCTATTAGGCTATACCAAAAAAGTGGGTTATTGTAAATCTGACCATTTTTTAAAACTTACTCTCCTTAATAAATATTTCCTGAGTATTCCTGTGTGCCAACCACTGTTCTGGGCATTTTGGATATACATCAATAATTACAAAACCAAGGCCCAGGGCCTCATGGGCCTGTCGTCCAGGAAGGAGGTAACTTTCTGTGTCTTTCGTTTTTGTGCTCTTGTTATTATAATTTCCTTCTTCTTGCTTTCCTTGACTTGTTTTATCATTTTTCAGGCTTTTTTAGTTGAATGCTTTATTTTCTTATTAAGAAAGGTATTTAAGGCTCTAATTATGCCACTGACCATAATTTTGACAATGTTTTGAAATGTTACCATTTTCTCTTTTTCAGATGTTTACTGTTTTTCTAGTTTTAATTTTATTTTTTGAGTTTATTTGGAAAATAAGTTGACTGTTAATTTTCTTGCTCTTTAAAATTTTATAGTCATAAGTGTCATTCTGTAAGCTTTAGAGACATGGGACTCTGGATTTTGTTGCTAGTCTAGCGATGTGTGTTTTCTTACCTGCCGGTACCATCGTGCCTTCATCCAGCAGGTGCCGCAGGGTTCCCGGCCTAGAGACGTGGGACTCTTTATTTTTGTTGCCAGTCTAGTGATGTATGTTTTCTTACCTGCCGGTACCATCGTGCCTTCATCCAGCAGGTGCTGCAGGGTTCCCGGCCTAGAGACATGGGATTCTGGATTTTTGTTGCTAGTCTAGCGATGTGTGTTTTCTTACCTGCCGGTACCATCGTGCCTTCATCCAGCAGGTGCTGCAGGGTTCCCAGCCTAGAGACATGGGACTCTGGATTTTGTTGCTAGTCTAGCGATGTGTGTTTTCTTACCTGCCAGTACCATCGTGCCTTCATCCAGCAGGTGCTGCAGGGTTCCCAGCCTAGAGACATGGGACTCTGGATTTTGTTGCTAGTCTAGCAATGTGTGTTTTCTTACCTGCCGGTACCATCGTGCCTTCATCCAGCAGGTGCTGCAGGGTTCCCGGCCATGCTGTGTGCGGTGTGACTGCACTTTTCATGGCTCCTTTGTATATTATGAATTCTAGTTTACCAGAAGTCTCCTCTGGATCTAAAGTTAAAGAGAAAACTCTTTGCACCTGTTCTCCTGTGAACAGTCTTTCTGATATGGACGGGTTCACTCATTACCGCTGAATTGAACTCCTGTTCTGGACAAGGAGGGGGCCTGGGCCTTGGGATGAGGCTGGTGGGGTTGTGGGTCCGAGCTCCAGGCACAACTGAGGAACCATGAAGAACAGAACGCGATGCCCATGGAAAAGCCAGTGCCAGGGAGATGCTCAGAGCCAAGATTCTCTCTGAAGGCCCCAAATGGGGACAGGCACTCTCTGAGTGGTCCAAGGCCAAGGGTCTGCCTGGGGACCCAGGAGGAAGGAAGCCAAGATGGGAGGCTGAGCCGGGGAAGGTTCTGGAGTCCAGAGGGAGAGGCCTCCTAGGAAGAGACCCTCTGTGCAGTTCTTGAAACTGCTGAGCTGGCTTGGCCACCTCTAATGAAGATAAACTTCACCTCACAGTGAAGATGGAAAAGTGTGCACAGTTCCTCATGACCATGTTCTAAACATTGGTGCTTATTACAGGAGGTTGAATGAATGTCTGTGCAACCCAGAAAAACCCTGGAAGTTGCTCGACCCACCTCCTGCAACACAGTAGCCTGGCGGTTTTCTTGTGAGTTGCCTCATGTTTTTAAAAACTGACTACAGGAAGGATTTCTTGCCGGTAATGACCTGCGTGGTGAAGCCACAGTCAGCCAGTCTGTGGGCGTGCCGTTTCGTGTGCTGCTGGGCCACGCTGCTGAGGTTCTGATGGGACCTTCCCACCTGCGTGTGCTTCAGCACTCACCGCACAGTCTGCTTTGCTTCCCCAAGACCTTAATGGAGGCATTTTTGCAAGAAACCAAATAAGCCTTCTTAAATGCTTGAAAGCACGGGATGTGTAAAATCAAAACCAGCTTTAAGCAAACTAATATAATTTGCAATGTAGCCCTTTCTATTCTTCTAGTGAAGACAAACACAAATTTTAATTCATATTCATCTCACTTTCTAGCTCATTTATTGTCTTCTGGGACAGTTCCCAAAACAAACTTCCTGTGGTGAAGTACAGGCCGAGTGACTTGTGGGGCCCTTCTGTCAGTAGCGGCCGTGCTTCCCACAACGCCTGACGTGCTGTCTGCATCCTATTAAGCGTCCATGAATGTCCTGGATAGAATGAATTAAACTAACCAAGGATACCAAACACATTCAGCAAGAAACACAAATCTTACATGAGAAACTGGGCATAAACAACTCCCACCACAAATCATCCCAAAATGCTAAATCAAACATAACAATAATCCTTTAAAATGTGTAGCTGGGATTTCAAGAAAGTAAGAAAATCTAAAAAAAAAAAGAGCTGAGAACCAGAGTGACCGCAGTGGCAGCACCGGGCCCTGGGTCGTGTGCGGAGTCCTCCGTGCAGCCCTGGATGCAGGGGCGGCTGCTTGGAATCTGACCCCGGGACAGCAGGAAAAATTGCCTTATATGCCTTTGCTTTCCACAAAGAAGATTTTTAAAGTCCTTCCCAGGAATCTCACGATGAATATGCCCTCCTAAAGGGCAAGTTCCTTTTTACCCTCGGTACAGAAGCCCTGAGCTGAGACTTTGGCGTTGGCTGTTGCTGAGTGGGCAGCCCTGGAGGTACCGGACAAAGCAAACAGGTTCTGTCTGGAGGGAAATGTCCACCAGGCCTCACAAAATTCCCATGGGTAAACTCCAAACATCAGCTCACATTCCGGGTTGACAAACTACAGAAGGAAAAAGCACCATGAACAAGAATCAGCCAACGACAGACAGTAAAATTACACCCAATCTTCAGCTCAGGAAATCATCAGGCACCAAAAGGAAATAAATGCATTTAAAATGTTTTTTAAAAGGGGGAACTGGGGGTGAAAGTGTGAACCAGAAACAAGGTACTCTAAAAAGTATGGGTTACATTAGTTTCCCTTATTTGGGGGGAAAAATGGAGCAGATGCATTAAACAGCATATTAGACATGATGCAAAGAGGGTTCTGGACCAGGAAGGATCCGTACAAAGAAACCAGCCCAGGTGCAGGCAGAGAGAGGGACAGAAAACAGGGTTGGAGACCAGGATTGACCAAGGCCAGTCACAGGCTTAGTAGAGGTTTTCCAGAGTTTTTGTGAGGCTCCAATCCTCAGATTCAAAAAGCCTGAAGACCCTAAATACAGTGAATAAAAGGAAATAACTGGCCAGACAATTGTGGTGGGTCTGGAAAGTTCTGGAGACAAGAGATGGATTCCGCACACGTGAGGAGGAGTGCAGCAGGTGCATTGTTGTCTGGGGCCTACAGCCGTTCGTTCCCAGGAGTGCATACCCAGCCAGACTGCACGTGGGTTCCAGAAAGCAGGGACTGGCAGGGTCCCCAGCCAGCAACCCTCACTCGGAGCGCCTGGAGAAGGTAGTTCAGGGGAAACTGGACACAGGAGGAAGAACTGACAGGAAGAAAAAGTGAGCAGGGAGAAAGGCCCCCATGAGCCCTGAGCACAGTTGCTGAGGCGGTAGTGAAACTGGAGACAGGTGGAGTGGACACCGCACAGCCAGGAGCCTGTGGGGAGATGGAAGCCCTGTGAGGAGTACCTGCAGATTAAGGCTGCCCAGTGAGGTACCAGAACCAGAACGGTTCACGCGGCTCAGTGAAGCCTAAGGCCGTAGTACTGCACAGCCCAGAGACAGGGGCCTGCCAGCACCCACTGAGATTTTATTCCTGTGCAGTTCTCTTTCTGCTGTTTGTTAGTAGCTGCGTGTCTTCCTTATATTGTTTTCTATGCTTTTGGTAGGTTTGAAACACTGTTTTCTGACTGTTTAGTCTGAACTCTGATCACAAGATAATTGGTGAAGAGCAGCCATTCCACTCTGCTCCCCATGGGAATGTCTCAGAAAGGAAATTGGAAAGGAGACAGTGGCCTCAGTCACAGCTGTGGAGACGCCTTCAGAACCCTCCTCAGACCCTGCCTTCTTTCTGAGGCCGTGCTGTTGCACCCGCCGTCCAGAAGCGCCACTCCTACAACAAACGTCACAGCAGCCAACAGCGGGATCTGCTTTCTCCCTCACACTCAGGCCTGTCCTGGCCCCGGCAGGCTTTGTCGTGGGTGCCAGGGCTGTCTGCGCTGACTTCAGAATTGAACAAGAGAACAGACAACCCACTTCTAAACACACACGCTGTGGAACACAGAAGGCTGGCCGTGTGGGAACCCTCTTCCTGCATTGAGCCCTCGCTGTTGGCTAATTAGAAATGGGTCACGGCTGCTGATGGTGTTCTAGGGGAAAGAGCACTGGGTTTGGGGTCAGATGGCTTTGCCATTAATGCTGAGTGTGCTTGATTTCTCTGACAGATTTTAATTAGTTCTATTCCCCTTAAAGGAAAAACATGTGAAAAGAGAGGGGCTGTTTTTTTAAAAGGCCTTGAGTCCCAAAGGCAAGAACCCTGGGGCTGGGCTGACTCTCCCCTCACGGAAGTGAGGACCTGCTGCTTTGGGTCTTGGCACACTGTCTACACACTGTTGGGGCAGGGTTAGTAATACTCGTATCTAAGGCCAGGTTCTAGGACGTGCTTGATATTTTCAGTAAACACACCACTGGCCTCAGTGTTTTTAAATTTCTGAGCCGGTTGCTGTTCACTTCTGGAGTTGGGTATGGGCAGCTCCCCAGCGGTTAGCATGCAGGAGCCGCAGCCTGGATTGCTCAAGAAGGACCTCTGCAGAGAGGGGCTAGCGGCCCCCGCAGCACCTGCCCTTCCTGCCCTGACAGTGGCTCTGCCCAGCCACAAACCATTGCAAGTGACAGCAGCAAAGTACCTGCTTCCTTTAGGCAAGCCCAAGTGATAGCCTTGAACCTATGAGATTATCTTTCACCCTTCTCCTTGGCCTCGACAGGATCTTGGTTCCGGGGAAAGAACTTGAAGGTCTTTCAAATCCTTCTTTCCAACATCAGTGCTGGAATTAACTTCTGCTGTGACCGAGCCACTCCCTGGAATTGCAGCTGTTAGTTTAGGCCCTTTCTGATCATGAACACTTCCTGCTGGATTATTCTTTCTTTCTAGTAGGAAATCATGGTGTTTTTAGAATCCTGTAATGATCAGAGCTATTGTACATTCTTCAGATTTAATATACCCACATTGAGCAGAGCATTTTCTTGTTGCGAGGAAATCTGAAAGCATTGAGCTCATGGGATGAGTGTAGCTTCCAGGTGTCAGGCCGGCGCCAGCTCCTCATGCACGCTGGGTTCTGGGCCGTTGGTGGAAAGGTTAGTGCTGTTCAAATAGATCATGCTTTATAAGTTCTGGGCATTGCCCATGGACCTGCCCCCACACACCTGGAATCCAGAGCTCTGTGTTGGGAATAAATCCTATAGCTGCACAGCAGAGGTGATGACTTTCAAATGGGTCAGAGCATCCGTTTGGCTGCCCTTTATGTGAGACTGGAAAATACACACATGCAAATGTTGATTAACAGAGGGAAGGTGCTCGTGTGGGTGAATGGTGGTCGTATGGTCTCTGTGCCAACAGAACTGTCTACGCTGATGGGAACGTTCTTTATCTGAGCTTTGTCGAGTGTGGCAGCCACTGGCCACATGTGACCGTGAGCACCAAAATATGGCTGGTGCAACTGAGTCACTGGCGTGTCAATTTTACGTAAGTTTAATTAACTTCGATCTCAGTATCCGCACATGGCAGGCACGTGCTGGAGAGCGCCAGTGCCCACTCACAGGAGAGTTCCACTCAGTGTGGATCTTGGTTTTCCTACTGAGGTTTAACAAGGCAAAAAAATCCCCCTTCTAAAACTGTATTAATACATTAGTTTCCCAGATCAAAATTGATGTCAACCTTGATTACCTGAACTATTTGAGGAGTTATACTAACAAATTTAGTTTTCTTGCTAAGTATTTATCAGTATTGTCTTTCTAAAATGTGTTAGCCCACCACTGAGGCTTTGTAAGTAGTAATGAGCATAGGGAAACTTGCCTTGAAATATCATCACTGAGCTCTAGTTCTTGCACCACAAAGATGCAGGGAGTGGAAGCAATTCAGACAAATCTGCTTGGTCCACCAAGCCATCCCAGAGCAGAGGCTGTCCAACTAGGCCAAGTGGCCTCCCAGAATGCCATGGAAGGGTTCAGGAGCAATTATCCTGGAATCCACGGGATGGTGCCCTGAATCCCACAGAATGCTGCAGGAGCAGGCATCCTGGAATCCCACAGATGGTGCGGGAACAGGCATCCTGGAATCCCATGGACGCTGCAGGATCAGGCATCCTGGAATCCCTTGGACGCTGCAGGAGCAGGCATCCTAGAATCCCACGGATGGTGTGGGAACAGGCATCCTGGAATCCCACAGACGTTGTGGAAGCAGGCATCCTGGAATCCACGGACGCCGCGGGAGCAGGCATCCTGGAATCCCACGGACAGTGAAGGAACAGGCATCCTGGAATCCCACCGACGGTGTGGAAGCAGGCATCCTGCAATCCCATGGACGGTGCGGGAGCAGGCATCCTGGAATCCCACGGACAGTGTGGGAGCAGGCATCCTGGAATCCCATGGACAACGTGGGATCAGGCATCCTGGAATCCCACGGACGCTGCAGGAACAGGCATCCTGGAATCCCGCGGACGCTGCGGAGCAGGCATCGTGGAATCCCATGGACAGTGCGGGAGCAGGCCCCTAAAGGAAAACCTACCCCAGCAGCCCTCTTTTAATCTCTAACACATGTTGGGTTAAATGAATTTGCTTCACCTGCGTTTTCTGTCTCAGGGGAGGTCAAACCTCACAGCTCTGTGCTCTGTGTGGCTTCTTTCATTCCCTAAACGCAATGTGTGGGTCAGCCCTGAGCACTCTGTAGTGGACACTGTGGTCGAGAACGTAACTACACGTGGGCCACGGGCCACAGAAAACCAGGGTACTTTCTGGGCGGAGGGTTTCTGAGACCGGAGGAGCAAAGCACTTTCAATAACTGTGTCCCTGATGTCTTCTCGTTTCCTGTGCGATCTCAAGTTCTAAAACCTTAGTGTTGAAAAATTTTCCTGGTCAATCTGATGGTCTTTTTATGGGGATTTGAGTTCATAAAAAATGTTATTGTACATGCAAGGAACAGTGTGTCGATTCAGGGTTCAAACAGGACACTGCTGGCACACGCCAAGGATAAAACTGAAAAGAGCTTAAACGCAGAGAATCCTTACAGAGGTCTGGGCAGTCACGGAGCCCTGTGAGAACTGTGCAGCCTCCACTCTCCAGCCACGGGAAGCCGGAACCCTGGCCAGAGGGGCAGGGAAGGGACCCGAGACACCAGGGCTTGACGTATTTGAGCAGCCACGGAGGGCCAGAGCCTGGGGTGGCCGCCCTCCTGCCCCCGTCTCCTGCGGGCTCCTCCTGTAGCAGCCACTGCAGGGGAGGGGAGGGAGGGAGATGGGCGGGCAGAGGGAACAGCAGCATGACGCTGTCCAAGGCTTTCTAAATCCAGGGGTTGAGATCCTAGAACAACTCAGAAACACAGACACATCCAGACACTTCTCTCTCAGCTCTCAGATCTTCCACTCCCCAGGGATCAAGCCTTTAGGAGAGCCAAGAAAGCCTTAGTCCAGGAGGAATCGTGTGGGGTTCCAACACCGTGTTGTGATTTCCGCCCTCCCAGCTTTCAGAGAGCGGTGCAGTGGGCCCGCCATGGCTCCAAGTCCCACGGAGTTCCCACCGCCTGCTTCTGGAAGGTGGGCAGGTTCTCGGTAGAGGTGGCGATGCAGAGTCTACGTGGGGAACATCAGGCCCCTGCAAAGCTGAGACAGGAGCTTCCTCCACACTTCATCAAAGCCTGTCTTGCCAGGCATGGAACCCCGGGCCTCTAGGCGAGGCCTCTGCAGGGACTGAAGGAGGGAGGGTCGGTGCCCCAGCACACAGCTGTGCACAGGCGGCCCCGGGTCATGTGGTGCCAGAGCTGGGGCGAAGGCCGGGCCAGCAGACGGCCCTGGATGCGCCTCAGGACTGGACGCTGACCTGGCAGGACTCAGTCAGCACCGACTGCTCGGCCTCGAGAGAGCAGCCTGGCCGGCCTCTGTGCCACTGCACCCAGGACCCAAACCCAGGCCCTGTACTCCTGCTGCTGACAACCTCGAAGCCCCACCCGACAGCGGGTGGCTGCTGCCACCTTCAGCCCAGCACCCAGCTGGCCGCCCCGACTTGAGACCACAGTTCTGGTCTCGTCCATTTTCACCCCGCCATCATCCTCACTCACAACGAACCCGGACACTGCTGCCTCAGGAGCCGCCAATTCCACTCCGTCTCCATCCCTTCCTGCATCTCTCCCCGCCACGGTCCCGTCCCGGAGGGTTCTGCACAGAGGGGCAGCCGGGGGTCCTCTGTGGACCCGCTCGAGCCCACGGGGCCCAGGTGCAGGGTCGCCTCAGCCAGGCCCCAGTGGCTCCGGGGCAGGGGACCGGGGCTCCCGTGAAATGCGGGAAGAAGGAGCCCTCCTGGCCCGGCGCGTGGGGCCGCCCCTCTCCCACCCCAGCAGCCGCATCGCCTCCTTTCTGCTCCCTCCGCGCCCACCCACGCCGGGCGCGGCTTCCCCATCCAGAATCACATGAGAGGCGTTTTTGTCATTGAATTTCTTGGTGAACGCCCCAGGCCTCAGTGCTGCCTGAGCCTGAGGAAGTCTCAGGGGACGCCTCTGGCCTAGACCTTCCTCTTGAACCCCAGCCCGGTGTGAGCACCGGGTGCTCCACGACCCCCGGACCCCGCCAGGCCCCCCAGATCCAACCAGGACCCCACATCCCTCCAGGAACCCCAGATCCCCCCAGGACCCCCAGACCCCACCAGGACCCCCGGAACCCACCAGGCCCCCCAGACCCCACCAGGACCCCCGGACCCCACCAGGACCCCCGGACCCCACCA
Organism: Homo sapiens; assembly: GCF_000001405.40. Taxonomy (NCBI): domain Eukaryota; kingdom Metazoa; phylum Chordata; class Mammalia; order Primates; family Hominidae; genus Homo; species Homo sapiens. The sequence continues at coordinate 159,063,795 of NC_000007.14, read as the reverse complement.
GGACCCCCAGACCCCACCTGGACTCCCAGACCCCGCCAGGTCCCCCAGATCCCGCCAGGCCCTCCGACCCGCCAGGAACCCCAGATCCCCCCAAGACCCCTGGACCCCACTGAGAGGTGACAGCATGCTGGCAGCCCTCGCTCGCTCTTGGCGCCTCCTCTGCCTCGGTGCCCACTCTGGCCGCGCTTGAGGAGCGCTTCAGCCCGCCGCTGCACTGTGGGAGCCCGTTTCTGGGATGGCCAAAGCCAGAGCCGGCTCCCTCAGCTTGCAGGGAGGTGTGGAGGGAGAGGCGCGGGCGGGAACCGGGGCTGTGCGCGGCCCTTGCGGGCCAGCGCAAGTTCGTGGGCTCGGTAGGCCCCGCACTTGGAGCGGCCGGCCGGCGCTGCCGGCCCCGGGCAGTGAGGGGCTTAGCACCCGGGCCAGCAGCTGTGGAGGGTGCACCGGGTTCCCCCAGCAGTGCCGGCCTGCTGGCAGTGTGCTCGAATTCTCGCGGGGCCTCAGCTGCCTCCCCGCAGGGCAGGGCTCGGGACCTGCAGCCCACCATGCCCGAGTCTCCCCCCACCCCGCCGTGGACTCCTGCACCGTCTAGCCTCCCTTACAAGTGCCGCCCCCTGCTCCGCGGCACCTGGTCCCATGGACCACCCAAGGGCTGCGGGCACGCAGCGCAAAACTGGGGGCAGCTCCGCCTGCGGCCCGGTGCAGGATACACTAGGTGAAGCCAGCTGGGCTCCTGAGTCCAGTGGGGACGTGGGGAACCTTTATGTCTAGCTAAGAGATTGTAAATACACCAGTCAACACCCTGTGTCTAGCTCAAGATTTGTAAATGCACCAATCAGTGTTCTGTGTCTAGCTAATCTAGTGTTGACTTGGAGAACTTTTGTGTCTGGCTCAGGGATTGTAAACGCACCAATCAGTACCCTGTCAAAACGGACCAATCAGCTCTCAGTAAAACAGACCAATCAGCTCTCTGTAAAATGGACCAATCAGTAGGATGAGGGTGGGGCCAGATAAGGGAATAAAAGCAGGCGGCCGGAGCCTGTAGAGACAATTCACTGGGTCTCCTTATGTGCTGTGGCAGTCGTGTTCTTTTGCCCTTTGTAATAAATCTTGCTGCAGTAAATCTTGCTGCTGCTTGTTCTTTGGGTCAGCACTGCGCTTATGAGCTGTAATACTCACTAGGAATGTCTGCGGCTTCACTCCTAAGACCAGCGAGACCACAAACCCACCGGGAGGAATAAGTAACTCTGGGCGGGAGGAATGAACAACTCCAGAGAGGGGCCGCCTTAAGAGCTGTAACACTCACCGTGAAGGTCTGCAGCTTCACTCTTGAAGCCAGCGAGACCGCGAATCCAGCAGAAGGAACAAACTCTAAACATGTCCGAACATCAGAAGGAACAAACTGGGGACACATTACCTTTAAGAACTGTAACACTCACTGTGAGGGTCCGTGTCTTAGTTCTTCAAGTCAGTGAGACCAAAAACCCACGAATTACGAACACCTCGCCAGGACCCCCAGACCCGAGCCCGAGGCTGGCGCTGCTCTCTCACCTGCGGGCTGCTGTGGCTGTGACTTGCCGGGGCTCAGGCTGAACCCTTCGGGGTGTCCTTGCCCTGTTTTTCTCCCGTCTCCGTCGGGAAGGCCCGCGGGCCCCCCATCAAGTCCCTGTTGGGATCCGGCCAGTTCTCGTCTGCTTCACACCCGCCGGCGCCCCATGGCCACACCGCCGCCTGAAGACCCCACACCTCGCCCTCTGCAGGGCCCTCGGGATGGGGCTCCGCAAGACCAGGCTTCTCAGGACGGGGCTCCTCTAGAGGCTTCAGGCTTTCCGCCCTCCCGCCATGGACTCCAGACGCGGCCGCCGCTCCCCTCCCACCGGGATCCCAGAGCGGCAGGCTTCTCCCGCTAGCAGTGCGTCCGAGCCGGCCTGGCTTCCCCGCACAGCCGCGCACCGAGCTTGATCCCGGTACTCCGCCGCGGCTCGCCCTCCCGCTGAGCGTGAGATCCAGAAAGCCGTCTTTCCTGTCTGTCGGCTTCTCCCGCTTTCTCAACCCTGGTGGGCGCCCAGTAAATACTTGCTGAATGAGTAAGGGTGGAAGTATGGATTATTTTTCACTTTTTTTCTTTTTTTTAACTTTTTTTTTTGCGACAGGTCCTCGCTCTGTCACCCAGGCTGGAGAGCAGTGGTGTGATCACAGCTTAGGCAGCCTCCACCTTCCTGGCACAGGTGATCCTCCTACCTCAGTCTCCCCAGTAGCTGTGGACCACAGGCACACACAGCCACACCCGGCTAATTATTTTTCCATTTTTTTTATGGAGACGGGGGTGTCACTCTGTTGCCCAGGCTGGTCTCAAATTCCTGGGAGCAAGCAGTCCTCCCACCTCGGCTTCCCAAAGTGCTGGGATTTTGCAGGTGTGAGCCACCAAGCCCAGCCTTTTTTTTTTTTTTCAACTTTTATTTTAGACTCAGGGGGCACATGGGCAGGCTTGTTACCTGGATATATTTCATGATGATAAGTTTGGGGTCTGACTGATCCCGCCACCCAGCTACAGAGCATAGTACCCAACAGTTTTTCAACCCTTGCCCCTCCGTTTCTCCCTCCATTTCTCCTCCCTGAGTACCGTGTTTTGCTCCCACTTACGAGAACACGTGGTATTTGGTTTTCTGTTGCTGTGCTAATTGGCTTAGGATGATGGCCTCCAGCTGCCTCCATGGTGCTTCAAAGGACGTGATTTCAGTCTTTGTGGCTGCGTAATATTCCATGCTCTGTATGTACCACATGTTCTTCATCTAGTCCACCTTTGATGGAGACGTATTGATTCCATGTCTTTGCTTTGTGAATAGGGCTGTTGATGGGCATGTCTTTTTGCTAGAATGATTTCTGTGCCTTTGGGTTTATAGCCAGTAATGGTATTGCCAGGTTGAATGGTAGTTCTAAGTTCTTTGAGAAATCAGCAAACTGCTTTCCACCACAAAGTGAAGGTGGTGGTTACGTGATGTGAGGGTGGCTGTTAGGTGAGGTGAGGGTGGGTTAGGTAAGGTGCAGGCTGTGGTTAGTTGAAGTGAATATAGGTTAGATGAGTTCAGAGTGGTGGTTAGGTGAAGTGAGGTTAGTGGTTAGGTGAGGTGAAGATGGGTTCCATGAGGTGAGTCAGGTGGTGGGTAAGTGAAGGGAGTATGTGTTGGATGAGGTGAGGGTGGTGGCTAGATAAAGTGAGTAAAGTGGTTAGGTGGAGATGAAGGTGGTTGTTAGATGATGTGAGGGTGGCAGTTAGGTGAGGTAAGAGTTATGGATAAGTGAGGTGAATATGGTGGGTAAGCGAAGTGAGTATGGGTTAGATGAATTGAGAGTGGTGGTTAGGTGAGAAGAGTGGTTAGGTGAAGTGAAGTTGATAGGTGAAGTGAGATGGTGGTTAGGTGAAGGAGATGGTTAGATGAATTGAGAATGGTGGTTGGATGAGGTGAGGGTCATGGTTAGGTGAAGTATGGGTTAGATGAGGCTTGAGGTGAGGGTGGTGGTTGGGTGAAGTGATGGTTAGGCGAGGTGAGTGGGGGTGGTTAGGTGAAGTGAGTACAGATTAGGTAAGTTGAGAGTGGTGATTAGGTGAGGTGAAGTTAGTGGTTAGGTGAGTGAAGGTGGTGATTAGGTGAGGTGAGGGTGATGGTTAGGTGAGGTGAAGGTGGTGATTAGGTGAGGTGAGGTTAGTGGTTAGGTGAGGTGAAGATGGGTTCCGTGAGGTGAGGGTGGTGGGTAAGTGAAGTGAGGATGGGTTGGATGAGTTGATAGTGGTGGTTAGATAAGGTGAGGAGAGTGGTTAGGTGAAGTGAAGGTGACTGTTAGGTGAAGTGAGATGGTGGTTAGGTGAAGGGGATGGTTAGATGAGTTGAGAATGGAGGTTAGATGAGGTGAGGGTCATGGTTAGGTGGAGTATGGGTTAGATGAGACTTGTGGTTAGGTGAGGTGAGGGTGGTAGTTGGGTGAAGTGATGTGATGGTTAGGTGAGGTGAGGGTGGTAGTTGAAGTGAGTACGGGTTAGATAAGTTGAGAGTGGTGGTTAGGTGAGGTGAGGGTGGTGGTTAATGACATATTCTCGTGAGTGGAGTCGGGAAGGATGAGGAATAGCAAGGAGAAGGGATCTGGCCAGGACTACTCTGTGCTCTTCTCTGAGCTGTCCTAAGTAAGCAGGGCCGAGGTTCCCAAGAAGAGATTCCTGCAATGCAAAGTAAATGGGTTAATATGTTCTAAATGATTAAACAGTAAAGTTATACTTAAGAGCCAAACTAATAAACAAGAGCATAACTTTCTGAGTTTTGCCTTAAATTTTGTATTGCAAAATAACAGTGAGGTTTGGTTGTACTTATACGGACTTAGGGCCTCTTGACAAAAATAAAATTCATCACATAAGCACACGTGGATTGTTTCCCTCTTTATTTTATAGGAATTAGCTTTATCAAGAAAATGCAGACCAGGAAGCGGCCTTTGGGAGTGGCGAGTGATGATGATGCCCTGCAGGTGTTGCTGGTTTTTATCGCAACAGGCACTGGTTTTCCTTCTAGAGGACCCAGTTCTTTTTGTGTAGGATTCCCTGTTGTCATAGAACTCCCTGTGATTCTGCCACCATGATGATCATGAATCCCTCCTGTACCTGATGATTTCGTGGAGATTAAAAGTATCAAGCCATGGACCTTGCTAAACCAAGAAATGTTAAGGAAATAAAATTCCCAAGATACTGCAGCTCAGCAGCTGGCTCTGGCTTAGGCAAGTACCTCTGTCTGGAACACCTCACCCTGTGCCTGTAGGTAATAGTGTTTAACACACTCAGACCTGTGTGTCCACCTGAGCTCATCCAGGAGTGTCAGAAAGCTGGATGTGCTGCCTCGGAGACAGACTGAGCTCTCTTTCTGAACTTAGCTCAGCGCTTCCTTCCTTTGCTTTCCCTGATGGTGGCGGGTCGTGTTCCCTCCAGACAGAGGTGCTTTACAGGAACCATCCAAAGTCATTCATGATGAATTATAAGAAAAAAGTGGAGGTTCCAAATTGTGGGTGTCATTTTTTGGTTCAAAATGGAGGTGGAATTATAAAGCGAGACTATCTCGTGCCTTCCAGGCAGGCAAGAGTCCTTCATGGCCAGAGCACAGGGCTGGATCCTGGAACCATTCCTGTTGTCTGGTGTTGCTGGTCACCCTCAGCTTACAGATCTGTTTTCTTTCTTTGTAGATCACGTTTTATATTCTGGTGAAGGCCATTTATACACTGGGCTACAGTGTCTCTCTGATGTCTCTTGCAACAGGAAGCATAATTCTGTGCCTCTTCAGGTAAGGAGCAGAAATTAGTAATTCTGCAAAGAATACAAGACAAGCAAAGTTTCCATTTAGGCCTTCTAGGCGCCACCCAGCCTGGAGCCCTCTGTGTGCTAAGCCAATAAGACTCCCATGGAGAATGCTGCCATTAAATATGATGTTAACATTTACATTTTTATTTAAATACTCTGCATTTATTATGTAAAGAGATAATGCTGACCTTGGATAGGAACTCAGCTCAGCTATCATTTATTAAATACTTAGCCATTATGCAAATGCGTGGAAAATACAGAAAAAATAGGATCTCACCCTTGCCATCCAGAAGCTCCTGTGTTTTGGCTGTAGGTGCTCTATTAGAGAGATGCTACGACGTGTTTAAGAGCATGAAGGTGGAGTCAGGCTGTCTGGGTTCAAATCCTGGGTCAGTCTCTTAGCAGCTGTGTGACCTTGGACAAAGTACTTAACTTGTCTGTGCTTCTGTAATGTGTGGAGACTAAGAAGCCCCCTTCAGAGGGCTGTTGTGAGAACTTGATGTGTCGGTAGATGTGAAGGGCTTAGCATGGCACGTGAGGTTGTGATGAGGGCTTATTAAATGCTGCCCACTCTTCCCTGGCAGTGAGGTGAGATGGCCCCTGCACACCTGCATCTTTAGTGGGTCTCTTGGTAACTAATGATGACATAGTGCAGATGATTTGACCAATCAAATCATTGTTCATTTGGGTTGGGGGTAGAGGTTTTGGTCCCAGAACGGCAGTTTCTCTATAGGAAGAGCTCTGGTGAATTAGGATTAAATCTGTCTTACGTATCATTAGCACTAAATAAAATGGAGGCTATTCAGCTTATTCTATGTATCAATCACTACATATTTTATTTCTCTTTGCTAAAATGTAATCGAAATGTTTGCCAGTATGTCAGATAAAAATCAATGATAAATGGAATATTTCTAGACCCTAACAACAGTCCATTAGGAGATCCATACTTGGAAGTGTAAAATAAACAAGTTAGGAGTGGTTGAGAATCCAGCTAAGAAAGCCAGCAAATGTAATTGAGCTATGCTTTTTATTGTTCAGGCATCTCAACTATGGTTGGTAATTCTCAGAAAGAATAAGTCTACCTTTGATACAGGGCTGCACTTTGAAAAGTGAGGAAGGCCTATCATATTCTAGTTATTTTTAAAATCTGGTACAATATTAATATTTGTTCTATTATACTTATATTTTATAGAGTATAATTTACTATATATGTTTACTATTTTACTGTATATGTTTAAATTTTTAAGTTGCTAAAGAGAAAGAGGAAAACTTTAAGGAAGTAAGCTGACCCAGGGAAATTGAATCTGAAAATTTTATCTTATTTTCCTATATTGAACAATCCCTATTTTTTACACACATCTGTTTCCTTCACATATGTACAGCATGACATATTTAATTAGGCAACCCAAGAGCATCAGGAATTATCCCGCCTATGAACACTGATCCTTTAGGGCACAGAACACACCCCTCCATCTGTAGGCATCATTCGTCACCTGCCTGTGGCACTTCTGAGCTGAAAAAAGTGCATGTCTGTGTTGGATGTCATTCTGCTGGTGACCACATAGTGTCCAGAGCTGGTGTGCAGCTCTAGGCTTGGGGCTCATCCCACGTCCTTCTGTCAGAAGCAGGGTCCAGTGCCACTTCCTGAGAGCTGTGAGAGTCTGTCAATTCTAAAGTCCGAATTATAAAAATAACGTGCTCCATTGTCTCAGTAATTATACCCAGGAAGCAGAATGCTTTGCGGGCATTGAACATTTCTTCTCCAAAATAGCCCAATAAGCCAAGAAAGCCTTCAGTAGCCATGTTCTTATTTTATACACGGGAAATGGAGCTACTTACTTCTTAGAACACATCCCAAAGTGTGCAGTGTTGACGCTCACAACAAATACAGGACCAGCTTTGTAGGGGAGTCATCCTATGGTGACAGCTGCCCCTGTGACCCAGGGACTGACAGAGACGGTTCCAGTCCATGCCAGTCCAGCAGGGTCCACAGCACGGTTGCTCCTCAGACAACACGGGTTTGAACTGCATGGTCCACTTCTCTGAGAATGTTTTTCAATACAGTCAGCCCTCTGTATTGATGGATACCACAGATCAGAAGTATGGCCTATTCTCAGGATGAGAAGCCTGCAGATACAGAGGACCAGCTTCATATATCCACGGGTCCTGAAGGGGCAAATGTGGGACTTGCACATTCATGGACTTTGGCATGGGGTAAGGGGGGCAAGATTGGGGGAGGGGGATTGGACCCAATCCCCTGTGGATACCAAGGGACAGCTGTAACTGCTAATATGCACCGTGTCAAGTACTTTACAGATGTTAACATCATCAGGTAAGTACTGCCACTGACCCAGTTTCTCCAGGTGGAGAGTGCAGCCCCAGGAAGGTCGCTGGACATTGCAGGGTTGCTGAGCTGGTGCACGCAGAGCCCTGATTTCAACCCAGGCTCTCATCACTGCAGCCTGCACCTCTGTCACTGTCAGATGGACGTGGCCTCCAAAATCCTTTCCCACCATTGCTAATGAGCAGACTCTGGTCCCCCTTTCCGGAAGCCACACTTTCTACTACCTCCATTGCCCATTGGCAGATCCATACGTGGAAGTGAAAATTTAAAACGAGCAGTGAGTAATGAAGAATATCACTGAGAAACCCAGCAAACATGTATTTGGATGGCTTGCTAACTGGACCAAAAGCATGCTCATCTCTGAGCAATGGCTGTAAGTGCCAACCCCACTCCACAGAAACACAGGGGGTGGAAGAGAGAGGGAAGGAGAAAAAATAAGAGAGGGAAAAAGGTGATTTGGAGAGATGAATGCAGCCAAGGAGAGAATCAGTGGGAAGCAAAACGGCACCGGTGGGGGACATTTGCCTTCTGAGGAAGGGGTGTTGAGGAGAAGCCAGAGGGAGCGGCACTGGTGTGTGAGCCTGGCGCAGTGGCCACACAGCTTTGGAATTGCTCCCAAGACACCGAGAAAATTCAGAGCATATTTACAATTCTTTGCTTACCAAGGCTCTGTGGCAGTGTTACATATGCTAAACGTTTGCTAATGCAGTATATGTTCAGAATGCATGTTTACCAGGCGAACACAGCACCAGATCGAGATGTGGGATACAACTCTCACCAGGGACCCTGCAGCCACCCGGTGTCTACCCCACCTCTCTCCTGAAAAGCAGTGTTATTCAGAGTTCTGGCACCAGAGACAACTTTTCTCTTTTTGAAAACGTTACCTCGGAATCATGCAAAAGGAACTCCTGGTCTCTGGGTTCTTTCACTCAGCATTTTGCAAGGAGGTTCATCCATGTTGCATGGAGTTACCATGTTTTATTTTCTTGCTGTATAGTATTCCACTCAAAAAAATATGATGTATTTATCCAATCAACTGTTCATGGACATATGGGTTACTCAGTTTGAGGCATAGCAAATAATGCTGCTGTTATATTCTTAGTCATCATCTCATGCACAGATGCACATGTTACTTTAGGTATGTGTGTATATGTACACACATTTATATTTACATTTGTGTTTATCTTATATTTACTGGTCATAGGCTATACATAGAGTTAGTCTTCCTAAATACTGCCAGTAGATATGCTAATACCCTGATGGGATCATCATACCACATAGATATGTATCAAAGCATCAAAGTATACCCCATAAATATGTACAGTTACCGTGTGTCCATTAAAAATAAATTTATTAAAAAATGAATGCTGCCAAGTAATTTCCAAAGTGGTTACCAGTGTACACACCCACTAGCAGGGCAGGAGGCTTCCATTCACACCACACCTTGCCTCCATTCGGTATTGTCCATTTTTAAGCCTTCAGCCATTCTTGTGCGTCTGTAATAACATAGAACGGTGTTTTAATTTACATTTCCCTGATTTCCCTGGTGGAAAATGAGTTCATACATTTTAAAATCTTGCTTTTTTTGAAGTGCCATTTCAAAATGAGTTTGCTCATTTTTCTGTTTGGTCTCTCCCTCTATTTAAGTCAATGTTTAGGAGTCTTCGAGCCTTTCATTACATACGAGTATTACGGATTTTGTCTCCAGCTCTGTGACTGAGTTTAAGCTCTCTTCGTGGTCTTTGGATAAACAGAAGCTCTTAACTTTAATGAAGCTTATTTGCCATTTGTTTCTTTATGTCATTGTTTCTTGAGTCCTCTTAAGAAATCTTTGCCATATTCTTTTTTTTATCATCTAGAGATGTTATTATTTTAACTTTTCATGTTTCTGTCCATAATCCACCTGTGAGTTATTTCTGCTGTGGTGTGAAGCAGGGTAAAGTTTCTTTAGGGCTTTCAGTGTGTGTATCCCGTTGTCCGGGAGCGGGTACAGGAAGGAGCTTCTATGGCCTGCAATGCTTCTCTTCACAGAGCAGGCAGTGGCATGTGTGGGGGCCTCGAGTCCCGGTTCTGCTCCTTTGGCCTTCTGCCACTGCACTGTTTCTGTTTATTATAATTACCCTGCCTTTAATAAGTCTTTATTCCTAGGAGTCCAAGTCCATCAACCCTTTTTTATTTTTTAATTAGGAAGAGCTTGGCCATTTGTACTTACATGTGAATTTTAAAAATCAACTCTTAAACTTTTAATGTCAATTGCCGTTTTAAAAAATCAGGCTGGTTGCATTGGCTCACGCCTGTGATCCCAGCACTTTGGGAGGCCAAGACAGAATGATTGCTTGTGCTCAGGAGTTCAAGACAAGCCAGGGCAACATAGGGAGACCCCATCTCTACAGTCTCTACAACAAAATTTAAAATTAGCTGGCCGTGGTGGCACATGCCTGCAGTTCCAGCTACTTAAGGGGCTGGGGTGGAAGAATCACTTGAGCCCAGGTTGAGGCTGCAGTGAGCTGTGATCACACCACTGCACTCCAGCCTGGGCAACAGAGCAAGACCATTTCTCTCAAAAAAACAAAAAAAACAAAAATTCTATTGCAATTTCATTTGGTATTGCATTGTATCTATAGATCAGCTTGGATAGACAGGACATCGTTCTAATTATGAATCATCCAACCTGTGATCATAGTAGATCCTTCCATTTGTTTTGGTTTTCTTTAATTTCTCAGTGTTTTATGATTTTCCGAGTGGAAGTCTTACACATAATTTAATAGTCATTCCTAGATATTTGTTTATGGTATTATAAATATTTTGTTAAATTCCATTTCTAATTGTTTCTTGAAAAAATTTATTTTAGTATATTAATATTGCTTCAAAGGCCAGGTACAGTAGCTCATGCCTATAATCCCAGCACTTTGGGTCAAGGCAGGAGGATTGCTTGAGCCCAGGAGTTTGAGACCAGCCTGGGCGACAGAGTGAGACACCCTGTCTTAGAAGGAAAAAGAAAAAAAAAAGACAAACCTCTTGCTTCAGCAACCTCACTAAATCCATTTATGGATTCTTTATTCCATAAATTCACTTGGATTTTTCTATGTGTAATTCATGCTGTTTGTGAAGTACAATGTTGAATAGAAGTGGTGATAGCAAACAACATTTTCTTATTTCTGAACTCAGAGTGAAAGCTTTCCATACTTCACTATAAGCATGATGTTTGCTGTAGATATTTTGAAGATACCTTTTACCAAATTAAGTTTCTCTCAATTCCCAGTTTTCTGAGACTTTTTAGTCATGAATGGCTTTTGAATTTTATCATGATTTTTATGTACATACATATGGTTTTTAACATTTGTTCATTTAATTTGAAATATTACATGGATAGATTTTCTAATGTTAAATCCACCTTTCATTCCTAAATTAACCCTACATGGTTTTGATATATTATGTTTTTAATATATAGCTGAACTCAGCTTGATAATATTTTGTTGAGGATTTTTCATCTACATTCATGAAATTGATCTATTGTTTTCCTTTCCCATGAGTCAATCTGGTAAGGTTTGGTGTTGGCCCATAAAGTGAAGAGGAAAGTGTTTTCTCTTTTCTATTTTTTGGAGTAGTTTAGGTTAGATAAGATGTTATATCTTCTTTAAATGTTTGGAAGAAGTCACCAGAAGAGCCAACAGGGCAGAGAGTTTTTTTTGTGAGCAGGTTTTATTTGGCTGTCCAAAATTTCTAAACCAGATATAGGACTATTCAGACTCTCGGTTTCTTTGTATGTTAGTTCTGCTAAGTTGTACTTTTCAAGGAATCTGTCCATTTCATCAATATTTTCAATGTTCTGTTACATTTTTAATGTATGTAAGATCTATACAGATCTCTGCTCCTTCAGTCCTGGTATTGTCAATTTGTGTTTTCTTTCTTTTTATCTTGATGAGTCTTACTGAATAAAGTGTTACCAATTTTATCAGTGTTTTCCAAGAACCAACTTTCAGTCCTCTGAAGCTTGTTGAGACTTGCTTTATGATCTGGCATGCCATCTGTTTTGGTAAAAGTTTCATTTTCGTTTGAAAATAATGTAAATTATGCAGTTCTTGGTTATGTGCTACATAGGTCATTCACATCGTTTTTCAATGTTATTTAATTATTCCAAATCTTTACTGATTGTTTTAACTGCTTTTTCTACCAGAACTGAAAGACTTACATTTTTCTACCAGTACTGAAAGACATGTATTAAAATCTCCAACTATAATTGTGGGCTTGTCTATTTGTCCTTTTAATTCTTTCACTGTTTACCATCTATATTTTAAGGCTATGTCATTAGGAGTATATCAGTTTAAACTGCCAATGTGTAGTAATGTCTCCTACCTTAAAAATCTGCTTTGTCTGATATTTAAGATAATTTTATTAGCTTTATTTTGCATTTTCAAGGTATACGGTTTTCTGTGCTTTTTATTTTCTACTTCCCTGTGTTTTATATTAAATGTAGATATTTTATAAGCTCCATTTAATTGGAATTTGCTTTTTGTCTACAATCTTTATTTTTAAATGCAGCATTTTCATACGCACAGTCTACTTATGACAACTGTGAGTTCTAATCTACCTTTCATTTCTTTGCTTTCTAATTGTCTCAACTGTTCTTTGTTGGTTTTGCACATATTCTTGTTTCTTTTGAATTGATCAAATATTTTTATTCTTCTGGTTTTCTCCTCTTTTGGATTGTTACTATTCTTCTAGTTGTCACCCCAGATTCACAATAGGCATCCTTTTCTCATGAGTTAACCTCCAGTAACTACTTTTACCACTTTCCAGTCAATTCAAGAGTTTTGCAACATTTTAGCTCCATTTTACCTCTCATGTGTTTTGTGTTTTTGTCATGTATTTTAATTCCATATATAAATACTATTGTTGTTGTGTTAAAGGTCGCATTTACTTAGCATTCCCTCAACATTTCTTTCTGGTGCTCTTCATTCTCCTGCATTTTGTGATTCCATCTGGAATCATTTTCCTACTGCAGGAAGATTTCCCTGTAGTGTTTCTCTCAGCACAGTCCCACCAGCAGTGAATTCTTATGAGTTTTGGTTGCTTGAAATCATTTTAATTTTGCCTTCATTTTTGAGGCTATTTTGGAGAGGATTGAATTCTGTTGGCAGTTATTTTCTCTCACCACATTAAAGATGTACGTCGTGACCTCTTCTGAAAAGTCAGCTGCCAGTGCACCATTGTTCCTTTGAGGCAGTGTGTCTTTTTTCCTCTGAAAGCTTTGAAGACTTTTTTCAGTTTTTAGCAGTTACACTCTCATAGGACTTAAGGTGGTTTTCTTCACATTTCTCCTTCTTGGGGTTTGTAGAGTTTCTTTAATCTGTTACTGTCTTTTGTCAGTTTCAAAAAACCTTGTGGCTAGCATCTCTTCAAATACTGCTCCTTCCTAATTCTCTTCTCCTAAAACTACATTTCCCATGTATTATATTACTATTTTTTCCTATATTTTTCATATTTTTGGTTTCTACTTTAATCTAGACATACTACTGATCCAATTCATGGTACTCGCATCTGCTGTGTTAAATTAATGTTAGTCCCCTCTATTTAACTCTTAATTTCAAGGTTTTTTAAGTTTTAAATTTTCTATTTGATTGTCTTAATTTTATTATCTAATAAAATTCTCCATTTCTTTATCTGTTTTCTTAAATATATTAATTTTATAGTCCATGTCTTAAAACACTAGCATCTGAATCGCTATTGTCTGGGTTTTTTTGTTTTTTTTTGTTTTTTTTTTTGTTTTTTTGTGTTTTTTTGAGATGGAGTATGTCTCTGTCACCCAGGCTGGAGTGCAGTGGCATGATCTCCGCTTACTGCAACCTCTGCCTCCCGGGTTCAAGCGATCCTCCTGCCTCAGTCTCTCAAGTAGCTGGGATTACAAGCGTGCACCACCATGCCCAGCTAATTTTTGTATTTTTAGTGGAGACGGGGTTTCACCATGTGGGCCAGGCTGGTCTCAAGCTCCTGATCTCAAGTGATCCACCCACCTTGGCCTCCCAAAGTGCTAGGATTACACGCGTGAGCCACCGTGCCTGGCCAGTGTTTTTTCTTTTTAACTTGGCTTTTGATTACTTAGTCCTGTTTCTGGCATACCTAGTAATTGTTACTGAAATTACAAATACTTAAATTGCAGAGGCTTCAGATGATTATCTTGCTGCAGAGGATTTGAATTTTTCATGGTAACAAGGGTAGACCAGCCTGGGCCGTCAGGGCCATGTGGGTTTCGGGCTGCATTTCAGGTTTCAAGCAGCCAGGTGCTCTCTGGTTTGTTGTTACTCTGGGCCACAGCTATTCGGGACTCCCCCATGAAGGGAACCCTGCCACCCTCAGGCCCTGAATCCTGGTGCTTGCCACCCGGCACCCATGAAGCTGCAGGCATTTCCCCCAAGTACTCGCCCTTGGCCACTGCTTTCTGGTTTATTTCTCAGCCTCTCACCCAACACACAGCCATCTCAGAGACCAAAAGGATTTGGATGCAGCCTCTATTTCCTTTCCTGCAGAGTCGTTGCTCCCCGAGGGTCACCCAACAGCCCTTATCTCCCGTTTCTGCTGTGGCGGGTGAGGCTGCCCTCGCTATGGCCCTGGCTCTGGGCTTGTCCTTTCTGAACACCCTCTGTGCCCGGAGAGCTAAAGCAGCAGATACCCACGGAGGCCCTGGAGGGCCCAGGCGCTCCCCACAGTGCCCTTGCCTTCTCCCCAGAGTCCAGCCCTTTGGTCCCCACAGCTGCGGCTGCTCCCCAAAGCCCTTGGGCTGCTTTTTAGGATCACCCTGATCCTTTCCTGAGGTATCCTCCTTCACGGCCACAAGTGGAGGTCCTCTTTAGGGTGTGTTCCAATTAAGTCTTCTCTGAAGCAGAATTTAAGTGTTCTAAGAGAGTTGTAAACAAAATGTTCTGAATACTTTTTAGAAAAGCAAGATGTCACATAAAGTTAAGCCCCAAGAAAGGTTCATGTTGACATTTGATGAGGGTCTTGCTGGAAGAAGAGAATTCCAAGAGAGAAAGTTTTATGGGAGTGCGTGCTTGGCAGAGGAACAGGGACGCTCAGAGTCCACAGAGGGTGCAGTAATGGGGGTGGCATGTTGATAGAAAAAATAAAAATAAGGTTCAAGAAACTGAAGGCTAAGAATGAGGAATCTTTTGAGTGGGAGAGAAGGGTCCTCCATGCCTTGAACAAGTGGACCCAGCAGAGGTTTGTGGAAGAACTAGAGAAAGCCCCTGGAGCTGTGCAGAACATCAGTAAGGGCTGAGCTGAGTGCACGCTGGCTGTGGAGGAGTTTGACAGGTGCCAGCCCAAAGAGGAGCTGAAAAAGCACAATCCAATAGCTGTTGAGATCAGCAGTGTCCAACAGAAACATAAGGCAAGCCACTAGCATAATTGTAAGCATTCTAGTAGCCTCATTTTAACATTTTCTTTTAAAAATAAAAAGAAACCAGTGAAATTAATAATACATTAAAGTTGTCAGATCCAAAATACTACTTCAATATGTAATCAGTATAAAAATATTAATGAGCTATTTACATTCTTGTGTTCAGAGTAAGTCTTCAAAATCCAGTTTGTAGTTCACACAGTATAGTTCAATTTGGTCACTGATTTGTATTGGAAATACTTGATCTGCCTTTAGAGTTTTTAAAATTTACAGTTGAAAAAGTTGTTCAAACATACCTAGCTGTCCAAACATACATAAAAGCTCTCCAGCAAGTCACTCTGGTACCAGGAGTCATTTCCCTTTACTATTCATATCCACATTAACAAAACTAGGTTACCATTTTTAGAAAGAGTTGATCTAACTTTGAAGCAAAAGCACCTTTGTTTGCAAATTATGTCTTCTCAAGTTAAATAAGCTTACCCTTGTATCAGCTCAGTATAACTAATGTCAAATTCCAAGGGGCAATGCATAAATTGGCAAACAACTCTAAATCCATTGATTAGAAAAAGTGTTTCTCAAATTTATATGGTATTTTTCTGCCAGTTTAAATGGTTCTCTTGATTGTAATTAAAATATTCTGCATATTTATTCATGTTAGAAAAATGCTAAATCATTAGTTATGATTTATATTATGGGAAGTTTTTATTTCCACATAATTTTTCATACCTAGCTATGTCACAAATAAGCTCTCCTTTCTTCAAGGTTCCAAAACCAACAGGATAGCACTGAGAAAACATAAATTATATTGTCATTTTGCTTTTGATAATTGAATATTTGGAAAGCCCTTACTGTTTGAGAAAAATCTTGACTTGGAGTTACCAATACAGTGAATATTGTAAAATTCTTCCATGACTCACCCAAGCATTTGCAAAGAACACTAGATCATTAAGTTCATTGTCTTGTTTCTTTCAGGTGTTGTGTAAACGCTCAGCGATTCAAAGCATTTGCACATAAATACTGAAAGATTTTAACAACAACATTCTTGATGGTTTTTCTAGAGTCTACTTCATAAAATGGAACACAAATACTTTCAATAGTATTATACAGTGGAAAGAAGCAATAATGGAAATATCTGTCCCTTGTTTTAAATTCCAAATGAATTGCAATAAATTCAGGGTTTTGACCTTGCAGTAGCTGGAGCAGTGTCTGTCATAATAGAAACTAGTTTTTTCATATATAACCGAATTCTTTGACAAATGGAAACTATGAAAAAATATTTACACCATAATTTCTAATTTTTATAAACAATTGACATTTGTTTATAAATTTGGAATTCTTCTGTAATTAAAGAATTCAAAATATTAATTGTCCAGTGAGTTTCTCTTAACCACACAACTCATCAAAAACCAAAGAAAAGTACTTGCAACTTTTCAAGTTTTAAATTAAAGGATCCTTTATAGTTTTTTTGTTTGTTTGTTTGAGACAAAGTTTCGCTTGTGTTGCCCAGCCTGGAGCGTAATGGCACAATCTCGGCTCCTGGATTCAATCTCAACCTCTGCCTCCTGGGTTCAAGCGATTCTCCTGCCTCAGCCTCCTGAGTAGCTGGGATTACAGGCACCCACCACCAAGCCCGGCTAATTTTTGTATTTTTAGTAGAGACAGGGTTTCACCTTGTTAGTCAGGCTGGTCTTGAACTCCTGACCTCAGGTGATCCACGTGCCTCGGCCTCCCAAAGTACTGGGATTACAGGCATGAGCCACCGCGCCCGGCCCAGGATCTTTAATAATGTTAGAAAGGGCTTTTACTCTGTGGGCAATAGTTTGGCTTAAATGAAAATTTTCACTTTTTGTAAAATATTTTTCTTAGTCTGTTCTTTATATTTCTCTAACAAATGAAATAAAAATTTCTTTTAACATCCTTTTGGACAAAAATTATTTTTCTTTTTTATGCAAGAATCGAAATTGTTTCAGCTGGCCATAATTGTTTAAAAATTTGAGGGGGAGGGTGGATTTCCAAAATTTGTGGTAAAATACCCATAACACAAAATTTACCATTTGAGCCATCTTAAGGTACACAATTCCTTGGCACTAAGCACCTTCACAGTGTTGTGTAACTATCACCATTAGCTAGTTCCCGAACTTCCTATTGTCCCAAAAGGAAGCCTTCTATACATGAGGCAGTCACTCCCCATACCCTCCGGCTCCTGGAAGCTAGAATCTGCCTTCTCCATGGAATTGCCTCCACTGGATGCGTCATACAATATGTGGCCTTTTGTGACTGGTGTCTTTACTTAGCATAATGTTTTCAAGTTCGATCCACGTCAGTACTTCATGCCTCTTTATGGTTGAATAGTATTTAGTTGTATGGATATGCCACATTTAGTTTATCCGTTCATCTGCTCATGGACATTTGAACTGTTTCACCATTTGCCTGTTGTGAATAGAGCTGCCATGAACATTCATGTACACGTTTTGTTTGAAAACTTGTTTCCAACTCTTTGGAGCGTATACCTACAAGTGGAATTCTGGGGCATATTGTAATTCTGTGTTGAGAAACCACCAAACTGCTTTCCACAATGACTGTACCATTTTACATTTCCACTAGCAATATATGAGGGTTCCAGTTTCTTCACACCCATCCAATACTTTTTATTTTGTTTTCTTAATTTATTATTATTATTACTATTGCCATCTAGTGGTATGCAATGAAGTCACATTATGGTTTTATGTGCTTATTGACCATTTGTATATCTTTGGAGAAATAGATAGTTGAGTTTTTGCCCATTTTCTAATTGGGTTTTTGTCATTGAGTTGTAAGAGTTCTTTATATATTTTAGATACTAATCCTTATCAGATATATAATTTGCAGACATTTTCTCCCATTCTGTAGATTTTCTTTGAACTCTCTTAGTAATGTCCTTTAATATGTAAAAGTTTTTAATGTTGATGAAGTCAACTTTATCTGTTGTTTTTTTGCTGTGCTTTTGGTATCATACATAAGAACATAAGAAATCCAACAGAGCCTATTAGACTTGTGGCTGACACCACAAGTACACAGGAAATCCAAAGGTCTTGAATATTTGCTCCTATGTTTTTTCAGAAGAGTTTTATGGTTTTAGCTCTTATGTCTAGGTCATTGATTCATTCTGAGTAATTTTTAATATGCTGTGAGGTAGGGGTCCAGCTGTATTATTTTACATATGGACATCTAGTTGTCACAGCACCATTCGTTAAAAAGACTATTCTTTCCCTATTGAATGTCCTTGGCACCCTTGTCAAAAATCAAATGGCCTTAGATGTGTAGGTTTATTTCTGGACTCTCAGTTCTATACAGTTGATCTATATGCAGTGCCACACTATTTGGTAGTCTGTAGTAAGTTTGAAATTGAGATGATGAGTTCTTCAGCTTTGTTCTGTTTAAGATTGTTTTGGCTGTTCAGGATCCATCATAATTCCACATGACTTCAGGATCATCATTTTGGCACTCCCCCATGCGTGTGCTGGTGCACTTGATGGAATTCCACAAGTCTCTTAGGCTCTTGGGCTCTCTTCATTTTCCTTCATTCTTTGTTTTCTTTCTGCTCCTCAGACTGGATAATTTCATTTGACCTCTCTGCAAGTTCACAGATGATTTCTTTTGCCTGCTCAAACCTAGGCCAGGTGCGGTGGCTCACACCTGTAATCCCAGCACTTTGGGAGGCCAAGGCAGGCGGATCACATACGGTCAGAGGTTTGAGATCAGCCTAGCCAACGTTGCGAAACCCCACCCCATCTCTACTAAAAGTACAAAAATTAGCTGGTCATGGTGGCAGGTGCCTGTAATCCCAGCTATTCAGAAGGCTGAGGTAGGAGAATCACTTGAATCAGGGAGGCAGAAGTTGCAATGAGCCAAGATTGCGCCATTGCACTCCAGCCTGGGTGACAGAATGAGAATTCATCTCCAAAAAAAAAAACCTGCTTTGGCCTACCCCAGTGAATCTTTTAGTTCAATTGTGCATTTCAGCTCCAAAATTTCTACATGGTTACTTTTTCTAATTTCTATCTCTTTTATCAATATTGTCTATGTGTTGAGACATTGTTCTCCTGGTTTCCTTTATTTGTCTATGGTTTTTTGTTTTAGGTTTTTTTTTTTTTGCACTCTTTAAGCATATTTAAGACACTTTATTTAAAGTTGTTGCCTATGACTTTAAGTCAGAAACTTAAGGTAAATCTATTTCATGTGATGCCTCAAGGATAATTTTTGTTGATTCATTTTATTTTTCCTGTAAATGGGCCATATTTTCTTATTATTATTTTTTGCTTTATATTTTTTGTTGAAACTGGGCATTTTGAATATTCTGATGTGATAACTCTGGAATCACAGTCTCCCACTTCTAGGATTTGTTATTTCTTGCTGCCGGTTGTAGCTGTTTATTTAGGGATTTTCTAAACTATTTTTATAAAGACTCTTGGTCTTTATTGGTCGCTGAAGACTCTATACTTTTAGCTCAGTCATCAGCTAGTTGTTTGATAGAGATTTCCACAAACACCTGGAGTCAAAGAGATAAAAAACTGAAAAAAAAAGAAAAAGTGCCCTCTAAAGGCCTTTGTAGGCTGGCTCTGTGTTGGGAGCACTCCTTCAATGCTTAACCAGACTGTCTGCAGCTCTGCCTTAGCTCTCGCTGCCTGCTTGTGCTAAGCCCAAAGAGCAGCCTGAGATAACAGCTTGTGGGATTCTCTGATTCTTTCTGCCCTGAACGTGCACCTGGATTTCTGGGTTCCCCACTTCATGTGAGAGCTTCTTGAAGCCCTTATTCTCCAAGATTCTCACTCCACAGCTTTTCCTCTCAGGCTATCAGAGGACCTGATGTTTGCTTCCCCTGCCAAGTGTCTCCTGAGGTGGCGGGAGCTTATTCATTCAGCTTCCAGCATGTCTGCAAAACCACTTCTCAGCCCGCGGAATCTTAGTCTTTTGCCCAGAACCCACAGAAAGGTCAAAACAAACACAACTCCTTGGGTTTATGAAATTTCTCCAGGACCAAGTACCCACAATAGGAACATGAGCTTCTGTCTTCAAAATGACCACCATGTTGGGGTGGGGTGGAAAAGGGTGAGCTAAAGACAGCATGCCCTCTGCCTATTCAGGGCCTTCCCCCGGCTAAGCGTTCACTTGGTTGGCATAAGCCTTTGAGTATCTTTGTTGTTGTTGTTGTTGTTTCTTGAATGGTCCCTACACCACCATTTTCACTGACCTCCTTTGTTGGGATTTTAACAGTTTTTTAATTGTTGATAGGAAACTTCTTATCAAATTCAGTATGTATTTGCTAAAAACGTTTCTTCATCTCATCTACTTTATTATCTCAAAAAAATTCTTAACAGAGCTTTTTCATTTTTCTCTGCCACAGCAAATTGCAGTTGCCATTCATGGTGAAATCTGCTTCATGCCCTCAACTCTTTTATTTTTCTGTGCTTCTCTGATCATAGTATGAGTTTCTCATCTCTGTCTGGTTCTCTCTCCCTCCCTCCCCTTCCCCCTCCAATTCCTCTCTCTCCCACTCCCCCACCTCAGGAAGCTGCACTGCACCAGGAATTACATCCACCTGAACCTGTTCCTGTCCTTCATCCTGAGAGCCATCTCAGTGCTGGTCAAGGACGACGTTCTCTACTCCAGCTCTGGCACGTTGCACTGCCCTGACCAGCCATCCTCCTGGGTAAGGCTGTCCCCACCACAGGGTCCCACTGTCTTGTCCCTTTATCTCTGTTCCCTCTTCTCACGATGAGGACGTCTCTGTGCTGGTGCAGGGTTCCTGTCAGGGCACAGGGTCATGGCTGAGAAACAGAGAGCCTGGCAGAGAGGCTGGGGCCAGAACAGGCCCAGTTGGCAGCTGAGACATGGGGGTGGCACTGAGGCAGGGAGGGTGGGGTTCCCAGGCATCATCAGGGCTGGGAAGTGAAAGGGCCCTGAGCCCTGACCCCCATGGAGCTAGACTGAGGAAAGGCACACCCTTCCTCACACACATCTGGGTTGAGAAATCTTGGCACAGATGAACACACACAACTCTGTTGCTTTCTGTCTGAATCTCCTAGATTCTGAGCAGTAAAGGCTTCCTTCCAGATTGCTGGAAGAACTTGATCTTGTGCCATGGGTAAATTCCTTGTAAAGCCTGATTGTGAACTCAGTTGCATATCTATGAATATCTGCGTCCAACTCTTTGATTTCAGGATAATCTTAATTATTAGTTCCTACAAATGCAGTACAGGGTGTTTGACTCCACCCACGCCCTTCTCCCTCAGCTGTATTTGTAGTAGTTATTGGTGGTTATATAGTACCTAATCAAGTCAGTTTAACATAGCAGGTGCTGTTGAGCACCTCCTACATGCAGGCCGTTCTACCAAGCACATCCCTGCTGGCCCAGAGCACTCCACATGCTCGGCATCTTTGTGAAGGATTCGTGCCCCTGGTACCTCACTCTCAACCAGAGACCCTTGCTACCAAGGTTCTTCTTAAGGAGCCAGGAGCTCCAGACTCTCCTCCCGCATTCCACGCAGATAGGTCCCTCTGCTGGCACAGTTGCTCAGTCTAAACAGATTTGAATTAACTTAGTTTTAAGATAGTAAAGCCGTTTATAACCACACAGACGTCAGCTTTTTCATAGCCCATCATCGTCTTCATGCAGGAAATGTGCCTCTGGGGATAAGCTGGCGCGTGATGCCTGTGAATCAGATTTGCTGTGATAACAAAATTAAAAACAAGATTTTTCACCTGGCAAGCCCCGTTCCCCAGGTGGAGTTGGGCCCCTGGAGTTCCTGTCCTAGTAATAGGGTCTCCCCACATGTGTAACAGTGGTCAACGCCCATAAGAAGTGTGAGGATGGTGTCGGATTCTCTCTCACCGAGATGGTTTCAGGCTTCACTCTGCAGATCCCCTGCCCTTAGCTCTTCATGAAGAAAGCAGTCACCCTTGACAGACACTTGACAGACCCTCAGAGGACCACTCGGACCCATGGCAGACCCTCAACGGACCCATGACGTCAAAAGCAGTGACCCATGAAAGACCCTCAGGACCCGTTACAGACCCTCAGGACCCATGACGGACCCTCAGGACCCTGACGGACCCTCAACGGACCTGTGATGTAGAAAGCAGTGACCCATGACAGACCCTCAGGACCCATGACAGACCCTCAGGACCCTGACGGACCCTCAATGGACCTGTGATGTAGAAAGCAGTGGCCCATGACAGACCCTTGGGACCCGCGACATGGAAAGCAGTGACCCGCAACAGACCCTTGACAGACCGTTAGGACCCTCGACAGACCCTCAGGACCCTCGACAGACCCTCAGTGGACCCCAGCGGACCCTGGAGGACCTGCAACATGGAAAGTGGTGGCCCTCGGGACTGGGTGCTGGCCTGGAGCAGCAGCTCTCTACTCTCCCCTATTGCTTCAACCTGAAAGGAGTGCCCAGAACCTCCGAGGCAGAGTGGATCTGAGCCAGCGTGGCTGCCCCACCGGGAGGGCCTGGCCTCCCACACACTGCACAGAGCATCCTGTAAATGCCGGGCTGTTTCTGTGGACACTGGGTGAACACTCATTCGCCTTCAGAAGAGCAGTTGCCCCATTTCACAGACGAGGAAACTGGGCAGAGGGGAACCCAGCAACTGGCCCGGAGTCTCGGGATCCAAAGCCCAGGTGCATGTGGGGCCCCACGATGCCCAGCAGCACAGAGCCAGTGCCCCAAGTCAAGCTCTGTGAGGACAGAGGGAGTCGGCTTTGCCCCTTGTGCCAGATGCCCCGTGACTCTAGTACCAGCAAGGGGAAAGCAGAGGCAAAGGGAAAAGCATGTGACAGACAGAGGAGGGAAGGGACAGAGGACAGGAGGGAGGGGAGATGCCTGAGGCCAGAGAGGAGCCAAGCTGGGTCTTCCCTCTCGCTGTCCTCTAAAGAACGCTCAGGCTTTGAATAAACAAGTCAGCCAGAAATAGTCAGACCTCAGTATAAGAAACAGGAAAAATAGCTTTCCTTCCAGTTGAATTTTTTTGTATATTTTTTGTTCCCAGCTGACTTCACCAAACCAAGGTTATTCTCCCAGGCAGAACACCTGGGGCAGCACCCCCAAAATAGGTGCAGGGTCTTTTTCTCATGATATTAGGATCAGCCAAGAAGATGAACAGTTCTCTTCTTGGCCCCTTCCATGCGGCCTAGACAGAGACACAGTTTCCTCTGGGGCCCTGGGCTGTCCCGGGACACGGAGCAAACCTGCCCTTTATTCTCACCATCAGCCACAGCAGGTTCCCCTGCGGGGTCTGTGGGACTCCCAGAAGCACACCCCCAAGCTTACTAAGCTGAGTCCTGCCTGCCTCACGTGCACATGTGTGCGTACTCACGTGCTCACACAGAGGCTCCCCGACAAGGCCACGGGGCTGAGGAGGGACCAGCTGTTGACTGGGCACCGGGCCTTGGTGGGTCTCCTGGCCGGGGTTCCTCACATCAACCCTGTGGGTGGCAACTGGCCCTGGAGTTGGGCCCCTCCTGTGGTGCTCTGGAGCCTGTGTAATGAGGTTTGAAGGTCACACTGTAGAAAATGAAGTCAGTAGAGGCCTTGTCATTCCCCAGACCTCCCTTCCTCAGTGTGCTTGTTTGGTGAATGGGCACATGGGAAAAAATGCAGAGATGTTTTTGTTCCCATTTAAGAAGAAAATGGAATCGTCTTCAGCACACTCTTCCTGCGTCCTCTTTGCTCCTTCAGCAGAATGTGCCAGGGCCCCACCAGGTCGGCGCCTGCTTTCAGGCGGCACACGGTCCCTCATGTGGCATGGTGTTCTCCGCGTAGCCCATCCTCTGGTATGGGGCCTGCTCTGCACTTTATTTTTCTCTTTTGCCGCTGCAGGCATCACCGGACATGCGTCTTTATGGACTGGTGTTCTTATTTCTGTCAGGTGGAACTCGCCAGTGAGGTTGCCAGGTCAGAGGGTGTCTCCATCCACGTGTGCTCCTGTCGCAGACATTTACTTCTCAGTTCTGGAGGCCTGAGACCGAGGCACCACCAGATTCGGGTCTGACTTCTCTGTGTCCTCACGTGGTGGAAGGGGCGAGGGATGTTGCTGGGGTCCCTTTACAGGGGCACTAATCCCATCGCAAAGCGCCACCCACTAACACCCTCCCACAGCGGGTGGGGCTTCAACATGTGAATTCTGGCAGCATAAAGAAGCCTCCAGCCCATTGCAAAGGGCATGCATATTTTTATTTTTTGTTTTGTTTTGTTTTGTTTTTTGACACAGACTCACTCTGTTTTCCAGGCTGGAGTGCAGTGGCAGGATCTCGGCTCACTGCAACCTCCACCTCCCAGGTTCAGGCGATTCTCATGTCTCAGCCTTCTGAGTAGCTGGGATCACAGGCAGGTGTCACCACACCCAGCTAATTTTGTGTGTGTGTGTGTGTGTGTGTATTTTTAGTAGAGATGGGGTTTCACTATGTTGGCCAGGCTGGTCTCGAACCCCTGACCTCAAGTGATCCCCCCGCCTTGGCCTCCCAAAGTGCTGGGATTACAGGTGTGAGCCACTGCACCCGGCTGCATGTGTATTTTTAAATTGTAGTAAATCTGTTTTGCTAGATTGCCTTCCAAAAGGCTGAGACAGCTGACAGCTGCACGTGGGATCACACCAGAGCCCAAAGACCTGACTGGTTTTACCATTTTGCCTGTCTGGTGGGCGTTGGCACTGCCTCTGTGGCTCTCATGCACACTCCAGGGCAGCGCACCTGCTGAGAACTGGCATCTTTCCACAAGCTGTTCCGGCCCTCTAAAACACCGCATTCATCTGTAATATTGGCGTCATAAAAATTAAACATTTGTCATTTCTATTGTAAATATGTTTCCAGATTCATGATTTGTCAATTGTATTTTTATGGTATTTTTACCATCTAAAAGCTTTTAAAGTTTATATAACCAAAATTGCTTTCCATCCTTTTAGCACTTCTTGTTTTCATTTCAGATTTCCCGTCTTGGTTAAGAGGTTTCTATTCTGAGATTGTTCATTTGTGTCTTGGTTCATCTGCAGTTTACTCCTTGTGTTTAAGATGCGGTCTTTTACCGAGAGACAAAAGAAGGCACGTTGCATCCCGATGGGTGACTAACTCCCAGAATCTCACCTCCCAGAGATTTTAAAACTTGATTTATTTCACTTTACTTTTCAAATGAGTGGCAGTAAGTCACAAATTGACTTACTGTGACTCTCCTGCATCCATGGCTGTGTTATCATGTGTGTCTTTCCACATAAGAGGCTCTGTCCTGATGCCCAGGGCAGAACTTGCTGGGATCTGAGTGTCCATTCACCAGGCGTTGACACACGAGATCCGCGTGCAGGCACTCGCCTTACTCTGGTGGCAAAGATGGACAATAAGGGTAACTCTCACCTGTGCAGTGTCTCAGAAAATGAAGCACCCACCCTGCTATGCTTGGGAAAAAGGAAAAGCAGAGGAAGGCAAGGCAGATCCAGAGCACTGGGGAGGTCGGGGCCGCCTGCAGGGCTCAGGGGAGGTCGGGGCAGCCTGCAGGGCTCAGGGGAGGCCAGGGACAGCCTGCAGGGCTCAGCGGCTCTCAGGACCCCGGAGGCCAAATTGAAAGGCCACCATATGAAAGTATATCCACCCATATATAAGTGTATCCACCCATATATATAAGTATACCCACCCATATATAAAAAAGTATATTCACCCGTATATATTTATAGGGATAGCCATCTGTTATATGTAGGTAGTATATCCACCCATACATATGTAAGTATATCCACCCACAAATATGTATAGGTGTATCCATCTGATATATGTATCAGATATATATCTGCCATACGTATGTACACCCACCTACATATGTCTATAGATATGAACATAAATACAGAAATAAGAATGGAAATGAAAATACTATTCTTTTTCAGCACACTTTATATAAGCTTAGTGATTAAAAGTAGCAGTTTCATGGTTGCTCATGAAGCTGAAATGCCTGGTACATTTAGTTAGATGAAGGTCTGAGAGATTAAAATAGATGGATTTTATATAATAATGCAATTCTTTCCCAGTGAAAATCCTTTTAAAATGTCCTCAGAAAATATTTTATTTGCTAGATTTCTCTTGTTTTCCCCTTTATTTTTTCATGTTTAGTTAAGTTACCCAATATTAAAACCAGTTTTTTACAATTGAGGAACTTACATAGTTGTCAAAAATTTAAAAAAAAAGTCTGGGGCCTGGTGTGGGTCCACTGCTTTCTCTTCCCAGGCGCTGCTCACCTGAGCTGCTAGTGAGGGCAGCTGGCATGTGCCGCGCCCTCTACCTGCACTCGTGTTCTGTTCACACAAAGGGACAGAGGCCAGAGCCCTGGGCCCCTGCAGGGCCCCTGCCACCCATACCTCGCCCCACACATGACCTCCTGCCGGCTCTTCTGGTTCTTTGCTGGCCGGCAGGACCACTGCGGGGGTTCCCGTGTTGAAGCAGGTCAGAGAAGGGGAAGTGGAGTAGCCGAGGGGAGGAGCTGAGAACGGGAGGGCCAGGGAGCTGTGCGGCCTGTCTAGGACCCTCCAGCAGTGAGTGCGCTCACCTCAGGCAGTGCTGTTCACAGTTGCGTTTGCAGTGATCCTCCTCTGGAGCCGCGGATACAAAGGTCCCAGTGCCACCAGCAGGCATTCCTGGCCAGCGCCCTGGCCTCTGTGTTAATCACTTTCCTTCCCAATGGCACCGGTGTCTCCTTCCTTGCACAGATACCAAGCGCCCTGTGTCCTGGAGCGGCACTGCCTGCTGGTAGCTGCTGTTACCGGATGAGGTCATGCTTTCCTCTCCTCTGTTTGCGGTTTCCAGGTGGGCTGCAAGCTGAGCCTGGTCTTCCTGCAGTACTGCATCATGGCCAACTTCTTCTGGCTGCTGGTGGAGGGGCTCTACCTCCACACCCTCCTGGTGGCCATGCTCCCCCCTAGAAGGTGCTTCCTGGCCTACCTCCTGATCGGATGGGGTAAGTGTGCCCCTTCCCACCCACAAACCCTCCATCCCATCCCATCGGACCAAACAACGCAAACATTTTCAGCTCAGAAAACACTTTGCCGCCCCCGTAGAATGCATGTCAGGGTCATATCATGAAGAGCTCTTCCAGGATGACTGGAGGCTCCTACAAACAACACATTAATATTTCTGGTAACCAGGAACCTAGTTTAAAATACTCCCATTCCTGGCCCCTTGTACCCCCATTCAAACTGGGCTGTTAACAAGTAACAAAACGGTTTCCTCCTCCGCCTCTACCCACTTCACCTTTCACTGAGGGTGGGGATCAGAGAGGAGAGGCACACCAGGTAGCGGAAGCCTTGCCTTGCCCAGGGTTGGAAAGGGGTGCAAATTTGGGACATCCTCATGGACAGGATGAGGCAAACGTAGCCGATAGCTCCGTGGGTGGTCGCAAAAATCAGTGAACACATCTCCTTCTCCGCACGTTCAACTCCATGGCCTCCAGTAATAACCCTTCTCATGAGGAATGGCAAGTCTCAGATTCTCAGCTCTCAAGCGTGTGTTTAATTATCTTCACTGCTTACTAAGGCATGAGCATAAACTTGTAAATATTTACAAAGACTTTAAACAAGAGATTGCACTTAATATTCCCGTGAGAAAGCGTGTCCTTGAGGGTTTTGCTGGTGAAGGCACCCACCTGTGTGCGTGCACACCGCTCCGCTCCACCTGTGTAACCAGGCGTCTCTCTGCAGGCCTCCCCACCGTCTGCATCGGTGCATGGACTGCGGCCAGGCTCTACTTAGAAGACACCGGGTGAGTCCATGACCAGACTGCAACCTCGAAAACGGGCCCGGCAACATCTGGCAACATGAAGTCCTTTGGAAGCCAGAAGGTTACCTGGTTGGAAGGACAGGGAGCGTTTGCGGCCAACCGACAGCCACGCAGGAAGCATCTGGGCGATTCATGGGGAGAAATCCTGTGAGGTTGGAGTGTTGGAGGAAGCCCCGTGCAGGAGACAGGAAGTGAGCCAGGTTTTGCAGCATAGTTGAGATTGGGATAAGCCAGGCAGAGACTGGGGCAGCCCCTGCGGTGGGCACAGCGATGTCCACAGAAGAAAGCCAAGTGCCCTGCATGTTGTTTACCCGGAGCAAAGTGGAAGGTCAGGTGATGGTGGCTGCAGGGCCCCCCGGCACTTCCTAAGCACTGGTCTTGGCTCATGCGGCCCAGAGCGCTTTTCCACTATGCTCTCCCTGAGCGAGACCACGGCCCAGACATGAGCACGCGTGGTTCCAGCACAAATATCTTGCCTTTTAAAGGGCCTCAGTGTGCATCAGTTACCCACTGCTAAGTAACAAATCACTCCAAAATTTGGTGGTTTAAAACACCCACCGTCTAGTTACGGTGTGATTCTGCACCTGATGACCTGGGAGGACTCAGCAGCTTTGAGGACTGGTTCCCCTTGGTCCCCTTCAGCCAGTCTGAGACTGCACCAGCCTGAAGGCTCCTGCCCTCGGCCCCCGAGGGAAAGCATGGACCCAAGCCTGCAATGGAGATTCTGCTTTATGGGAGGGCTGCAGACTTCCAGCGCAGGGTGTGGACCCTGGGGAGAATCACTGAGGCGTTTTACAAGCCAGGGGTCACAGCTTCCTGCTGGAGACACCCCATGCGCTGAAAATCAAAACAAAATGCTATGAGCTGGAGAGCTGGTGGCTCTAAGGACGTTTTAAACCCTTTGCCATATACATGCAAACCATTCGGGAGGTGAGGGGAAGCTAATTTTCAGGAGGAAGGTTCTTTTCTCCTGATTTCAGCTGAATGGGGCTGACACACGTTCATGCTCAGAGTGGAGGGCGTCAGCAGCCCTCCTGCCCTTGTCCTGGCTTCTGGGGCCGCACCTCCATTCCTCCTCCCCACAAGCCGACTATTGTTTTGAAAGCATGAAACAAAACACAATCACTCCCTGGGACAGATTCCTTTACGATCTGTCAGTGCAGAGAAATTGTGCTTCCACGGTGAGGGGAGTGGGCAAGTTGGGAGGGGCAGGCGCTCATTCTTCTGTACCTGTCTTGCGAAAGTGGTTGGTGGTAACCTGATTTCCCATCTCTCTCTGACAGTTGCTGGGATACAAACGACCACAGTGTGCCCTGGTGGGTCATACGAATACCGATTTTAATTTCCATCATCGTAAGTAGTCCCTGTTGACATGTGGATTATCTGTGGAATCACACACTTGGGCAGACAGCAAGCCTGCCATCCTTTATTAAATAGAACTGACCCCATTCCACGCATCACTCAGCCTTCCCGGAAAAGGACCTCTTCAGGCATGTGGACCCCCAGAGGCAGTTCCCAGGGAAGGAGGGAGGGACTGAGGGAGCGGAGGGGAGGGTCGAAATCAGGTGGACTTCAGGGCAAATTAGGGATCCACGTGTCTGTTTCACAAACTTATTATCTCTTGTGCAGGTCAATTTTGTCCTTTTCATTAGTATTATACGAATTTTGCTGCAGAAGTTAACATCCCCAGATGTCGGCGGCAACGACCAGTCTCAGTACAAGTGAGTGTGTGTCCCGGCCTGGCCGTCCCTGATGGGGATGCCGTGTGGAGACAGGAGACCCCCACGCTGCCAGGAAGGCCCTGGAGGTGCGGCGACTCCGCCTCCGCCACTGTCACACCTCGAGGCTGGGCCCCAGGGCTCTGCTCCTGCCCAAGGCTCAGAGAGGCCCTGGACAGCATTTCCCTGGCGAAGTAACAAATCACTCCAAAATTTGGTGGTTTAAAACACCCGCCATCTAGATAGGGTGTGATTCTGCACCTGATGACCTGGGAGGACTCAGCAGGGGCACTTCTGGCCTTGGCAACTGTGGAAGTCAGGCACCATTTCTTTTATTTCAAGGCCAGAAGAAAGTCCTCTCCAGTGAACTTGCTTGTTTAAGCATCCGCCCACTTACATGTTATACAGCCTGTCTTTTTCTCCTTGACCACACAGTATTTTTTATTTTACATTTAATTCTGTCTCCCCCTCAGACATGGCCATGTGTCCATGGCCGTGTGTCTACTGCCAGCCCTAATACCAGGCCTTGTACTTAATAAAAATTCAGAAAGCGTTTCCTGCCCACGTGATTACATGAAGATGGCATTGTGATCTCCCTTCAGTAGATGAAGACAGGGCAGACGTTCAGCCAGTCACCCCCAGTCATCCAGCTAATTCATGATGATCCGGGGAATCTATAAAGTAATGCAAAGACTCCATAAATTTATATCAAGAATTTATTTTTTTTTAAAAAGGTAAAAACCAAAATTCAAGTATAAACTAAACACTGGCTTGGTGTGGAAGTGGTTGGCCCAGCCCAGAAGGTGCCTCGGGCTCAGACTGACCGGGGGTGGAAGGGCGGCTGTGCACAGAGCTGTACCATGGCAGGAACCCTGCCGCCCAGCCTAGGAGGGTGCCTGGCCTGCATTTCCCTTTTCTCCCACCTTAGAAAACAGGGATGGATTTGGGGAGGGGCGGTTAGACAGGAGCATGGCCAACAGCCCCAAAGCTGGGTGCAGATACCGGCCAGTGCCCTGAGGGAAGTCACTTTGCCACTCCATGCCTCAGCTTCCCCATCTGTAACATGGAAGTAATAATGTCACTAAGGTCAGGAGGATCAATGCAGTCTATATTTGCCGGATATTTGCTGCCTGGCACCAGAGTATTGCAAAAGAGTCTGGTAAACCAGAGAATCTAATTCTGCTGTGTAGTGTCTAAATCCAGGGAGTATCCCGTCTCTGCTTGCCCACACGAGGGATGGGATTCCATGTCAGACCCCGCATGGCAGCATGACCTTGTCCCTGCTCAGGGGAGTCCGGTGGTGCCTGTGTGGCAGAGACCCCCGAATAAGATCGTTCTTGGTTGCCTTTCAGGTTGAACTTGGATTTCCTGTGAATCTTGTTTAGTTTCTATGCTGACCTTTGCATTGGTTCTTTGGGAGTGTTTGTTAAATTGAACTTGGAGATGGATGCTTTTATTTGGAAACAAAATCTGTTCCCTTTCCAGGACAACAGAAAAGGCCGAGACACCCTTGAGGCCACACGAGGTCCTTTCTGTGTAACTCTGGTCACAGAAGTAGCAAAACCTCCCTGGATAGGGGCCAAGAGCTCAGCCGCAGATAGGCCTCTTTTCCAGCAAACTTCAGATGCGTTAATAGAGGGAATCAGGCAGGTCCTCTGCCGCTGACTGAGGGACCTGGCTCCCACGGAGCCCAGCTGTTACGAGCTGCAGGTCCGGGAGCAGGATCGGTTCTCATCATTTAAACCTGCGTGTGGCAGCGGTGGAGGCCAGCCTTCTTGTCCCATGCCTGCCTCAGGATGGGCCGGGCTCCCAGGCGGGGCCTGTGTAGGTTTGGGGTCACTCACAGGGAATCTTGCCCCTGCCAGCCATGAACCCCAGGACACAGCGTGTGTCCTTGTGAGGGAATTTGGGAGAAACGGACACTTCCGGAATGCACGTTCCCAGGCCCTGAGTGCTAGATATGCACAGGGGCCTCAGACATAAACGTAAAGAAACAGTGGTTTTTCTTGTTGGGCGGGGACTCCAGCAGTGGAGAGGAGGTGTGGAGCCCCTCCCACACCCAGCTGCCCCCTCCTGAGAAGGACCCAGCCAGGCTTGCAGAGGGTCCGAGGGTCCAGCAGCTGAGCTGGCTCATCTCCTTCTGTGCAGGAGGCTGGCCAAGTCCACGCTCCTGCTTATCCCGCTGTTCGGCGTCCACTACATGGTGTTTGCCGTGTTTCCCATCAGCATCTCCTCCAAATACCAGATACTGTTTGAGCTGTGCCTCGGGTCGTTCCAGGTAGGTGTGCGGAGGCGGCCGCCCTCCCCCGAGCGCGGGTCCTGCCTGACCATCTCTTCTCATTGCAGGGCCTGGTGGTGGCCGTCCTCTACTGTTTCCTGAACAGTGAGGTAAGTTCATGGCCGCCTTGGAACCAAGCACAGGTACTCACTTGCTTCCTGAGATGCTGCCCAGCCTGGTGCCGCAGCCCCCACACATGCCTGTCTTCCGCGGGCTCGAGTTACTGCCCGGGACCCCACAGTTCTGTGTCCCCATCAGAGAACCCACAACGACACAGGCAAACCCACTCTTCTGGGCCCAGCTTCCAAACCCCGCCGTCCTTCCGTCCACCCTAAGTAGCATCGACTGCCGTCCGTCTCGGAGCCCTCTCGGGAAAGCTCCCGGCCGGGTCTAGACAGAATCTGTTTTTCCCCATGGTCGGCGTCTCGCTCCTGACCATAGCTTGTGAGTCCCAGAAAGCCGGGCCTGGGTTGGGGGGTGGGGCTGCACAGCGTCCTGTGAGTCCCTGGGGAGGAAGCCCGGAGCCGAGCTCTGCCCTGCGTTCATTCCCAGCCAGGGAGGCTGTCTCCGGGCTGCTCCAACGGCCTGGCCCCGTCCCCTGACCCCTGACCCTCCCGCCCCACGCTGCGGTTGCTGGCGCTTTCTTTGCTTGACATGCAGCTTTCACCAGCACGGCTTCTGCAAAGCTGAGCCCGAGTAGTGCCACTTGTCCTCCTCCCTCCTCTGCCGTCCGGGCACCCCTCACTCATCCCCACCCCCTCCCAGGGCTAACATTCCCTGCCCGCTGGGAACAGGGAAGGAGACGGAGGCCCAGCACCGTCACAACCCCGGCTGCTAAGGAAAATCTTTTCAGAGAAATATTAACTATCTGAGACTGTGGGACTGCGCTTACCGCGGCAGTGGCGATCCCCGAACCACCCACGCACAGTCTTAGAGTCTGGCAGCGTCCCCCGCCCTCCTGTGGCCGTCCAGTTCCCGCTCCCTCCAGCCTCTGCCCCCAAGGCCGTTTCTGTTTCTGTCCATCTGCTGGCAACACAGATACGGGAGCAGGCGGGAGGGAGAGCTGGAGGCTCGCGGGCCGCGCTTCCCATAGCAGCCGCCCGCACCTGCCCAGGCTCACGGGCGTTCCCGCTGCCCTCACCTCCCAGGTGCAGTGCGAGCTGAAGCGAAAATGGCGAAGCCGGTGCCCGACCCCGTCCGCGAGCCGGGATTACAGGGTCTGCGGTTCCTCCTTCTCCCGCAACGGCTCGGAGGGCGCCCTGCAGTTCCACCGCGGCTCCCGCGCCCAGTCCTTCCTGCAAACGGAGACCTCGGTCATCTAGCCCCACCCCTGCCTGTCGGACGCGGCGGGAGGCCCACGGTTCGGGGCTTCTGCGGGGCTGAGACGCCGGCTTCCTCCTTCCAGATGCCCGAGCACCGTGTCGGGCAGGTCAGCGCGGTCCTGACTCCGTCAAGCTGGTTGTCCACTAAACCCCATACCTGGAATTGGAGTCGTGTTGTCATTGACTCGATTTAAACTCCAGCATTTAGATAATCTTGTGCAAAATGTGTTTCAGCCGTATAGTGGATCCACTTTTTTTTTTTTTTTTTTTTTTGAGACGGAGTCTCGCTCTGTCGCCCAGGCTGGACTGCAGTGGCCTGATCTCTGCTCCCTGCAAGCTCCGCCTCCCGGGTTCACGCCATTCTCCTGCCTCAGCCTCCCATAGCTGGGACTACAGGCGCCCGCCAACACGCCTGGCTAATTTTTTGTATTTTTAGTAGAGACAGGGTTTCACCATGTTAGCCAGGATGGTCTCGATCTCCTGACCTCGTGATGGGCCCGCCTCGGCCTCCCAAAGTGCTGGGATTAAGGCGTGAGCCACTGCGCCCGGCCCAAGAGAATAGGGGAGCCAAGGAGGAAATGTGGAAACGCAGTTGTGTGGCCCAGCACGAGCCTGGGCGACCACCGGGTGACATCCGTCCCACATCAGGGCGGCCTCCCAGGTCCCATAAGGGTAGCCCCCTCATCTGCAGGACAGAGGGAAGCCAGTCAGGGCCCCCCTGACGTTAGGACCAGGAGAAATCAACAGGAGGGCAGCCCGTCCTCTCTCTTGGGGCGCCCACCCGGCCCGGCTGAGCCCTGCCCCACCCAACTCCACAGGGCTGTTTTGCCTCCCCACGGAAGGCGGGCTGAGGAGACAACCAGATCAGGAGAGCAAGGTCATGAAGGAGGGGACCTCTCCACACAGGTGTTCCGTGGGACCCTCAGCAGCTCTGGCTCTGCCTCAGGAGGTCACCTGCCGCCCTGTGGGAGCCGCAGAGCCTGACGCTCAGCCCCAGGCCAGCTGCGGCCAGGCCTGCGGGCCCCTGGTGATGGGGTTACGTGGGGTGCGGGATACAGCTGAGTGGGAACCGGAAACCTATTCTCTTTTTAACAAAAATAATCTTAGGATAAGAATTATTTTAACAACATATAAAACTGTTTCAAGCCCTCCT
The DNA here is from genome assembly GCF_000001405.40 of Homo sapiens. Taxonomy (NCBI): domain Eukaryota; kingdom Metazoa; phylum Chordata; class Mammalia; order Primates; family Hominidae; genus Homo; species Homo sapiens. The sequence continues at coordinate 159,029,462 of NC_000007.14, read as the reverse complement.
CCCCAGAGCTGGCGCTCAGCAGCCCTAGCGGCTGCTCCTTCAGGCGAAGGGTGGTTTGCAGATGTGGGGAGGGTGTCTGGGGACGTTGCTGAGCCAGCTGCAGAAGGGTGGGGATATCAGGGCACAGTCTCCATGTGTGTGCCAAGCCCTGGCCCCCACAGCGCTCGATGGACCTCAGCAAGCTGCCCAGCCCTGGCCCAGGTGCCCCGACTGTGGGACTCAGTTGTTCTGAGCACATTTGACTCCACTTTTCCCTTAAAAATGAATGTCTTGTTCCTGTGCATTGGTGGCATCACAGACCCCAGCTGGGGCGCGATGTCAAAGGTCGGGACAGCTGTGCCGGGAGGCAGCCACAGGGAAGCTCACACATCCTGTCAGTGTCACCTTGGTTTGCAAAACCCATATCCCCGGTAAAATGAGGCCGGACAGAGGGGCTGTTAGGACAGCAAAGCAGCAGTGTCCAGAGACCCCTCAATCCCCAAAGGTCCGCACCCTGTCCTGCACACCCTGGGCCACGCCGGCCACACCCCTCTGCTGCAACAAGCTCATCCCTGGACTTCTGGGAGAATGAACCCGAGGTTGGTTTGGGGAGACAGGTGAGGCGGTCGGATCTACAGAACAACCCACCATTTCTGGGGGCCGCAGAGGATCCATCACAGACGGATACTGGGGAGTAAACGGCCCAGGCCAGGTGCCCAGGAAAGGACGGCTGAGCATGTGGAGCGAGAGGGAGGCAGGTGGACGCTGCAGACCCCAGGTTCAGTGCGGCCCCTCGGCTGTTCCTCCCCTGTAGGGTTTGGACAGACCCACCCCCAGCCTTGCCCAGCTTTCAAAGGACAAAAGGGAGCATCCCCCACCTACTCTCAGGTTTTTGAGGAAACAAAGATTTGTGGTAACTGAAGGTGTTGGGTCAGTGGCCAGGTGCCGACACTGAGCTGTGACCCAGAGGGGACGCTGAGGAAGTGGGCGTGAGTGGACGTGTCAGGTGGTTACCAGGCACTGGTTGTTGATGGTCGGTGGTTGGGTGTGGGCAGTCATCAGTCATCAGGTGTGCTCAGGGGACAATCTCCCCTCAACCGCACATGTGCCACTGTTCAGCGGAGCTGACTGGTTTCTCCTGGTAGAGGGGCCGGCTGTTTCCTGACAGATGCCTGGTGAGCAGGGGAAGCAGGACCCAGTGGTCAGCAGGTGTCTTTAACTGTCATTGTGTGTGGAATGTCGCAGACTCCTCCACGTGGCGGGAATGAGCTGTGTAAATACTTCAATAAAGCCTGACTTCACATCTGCATGCTGAGTAAGAACTTGCTCTGACCAGATCTGAGGCTCTGGAGCATGGAGGACACACTTGGCGTGTTAGTCGTGGCTGCTGCATTCAGATGAAAACAGAGCTTGGACGGGGAGGGAGAGGGTGGGCAGGGTCCTGCCAGCCACAGGGCACCAGGGAGGACATTGGAAACAGCCACCTCTCCCTGAGGAGAGTCACGGACCCCTGTCAGAGCGTCGCCATTGGGGAGCCTCCGTCTGGCAGCTGTGACGCATGAGCAGTGCCCTGTGGAGGAGGCGCCTGCACGCCCAGCCTTGTCCTGCCGCACCCAACACGGCCTCTGTCAGCTCTGCAGAGCCCAAGAACCTGTTAATAGAGCAGGACTGAGTGCAGGAGTGTGTGTGTGCACGCGCGTTCATGTGATGCACATGCGTGTGTGGGTGTGTGCGTGGGGCGTGTGCACACATATGCGAATCTCCGTGTGTGCTGAGCCTTAGCCACATGTATGCTACAAGCAAATAAAATGCATTTCCAATGAACTCCACGCTCCACCAGATGGCTGTGTTGTCAGGAGGGATACAGCACGCTGGTAAAAGCCACATTCCTAAGGAGTCAAACCTAGAATGAGCCACACCAACCAGCCTTTGGTGACTTTCCTAAGAGCAAAGCAGGTGGGAAGGGGGAGAAGGGGCTGGGCACACAGCCCTCCAGGGAGTCACTGTTTTGTCTGACTCAGGAGCTTAGTGTCCATTTGCCTGAGGTGGGAAATATTCAGCCGCCTGAGGAGACTCAGCCCTGATGGGAGGCAGAAGGTGCAGGGCCGGGGGCCGATCTGCAGAAGCCCCTCCTCCACCCGTGGCAATAGCTTCGTTCTTTCTCATCACCAATGGCAGCTTTTTAATTGGCTATTTTTTTCAGGCTTTCAGATGACAAATTATACAGGACAGTTACAAAACGTCAAACTCTGTAGGCAAAGATTACATAGAAAGTGAAGTCCTCTGCCTGCCTCCTCCCCTCTCTGGGGGAAACTCGTGCCCGACTGAAGCGGGGTCCCAGTGCCTTCCTCCGTCGGTACAAACTTGTCTGCCCTTTCTTCTGTTTATTCGTGGGAATCGGGCTAAATTGTGTGAAGCTTCTGCAGCTGTCTTTCTCCCGCTGAGACAGGTGGTGTCCATCTTTCCCATCTGAAGGTGCGTATCTCGTGACTTTTAACCGCCGCCTAACATTCCACAGCCTGGGCCTGGTTGGTTTGACCGACTCCCTGCTGGCGAATGTGTGAGTTGTTTTTGCAGGTGTTTCTGTGCTTACCCGAGTATTCCCTCACTGTACACTCCTGAAGGGGAAAGGTCAAAGGTCACGCACATTTGGCTCTCGAAGGATGTTTGCTCTACGGCTCCACCACCCCTCACCGAGCATCCTGCCCTGGGTGCGTGGGAAACACTTCCTTTTGCATGTCTTGAATAGTTTCTTCACAGGTTTTTTTCTTTAACACTGACGTAAAGCTGAACCTCTGCCTGACACACTCACATCGCAGCTGCCTGTGTCTCCAGGGGCTGCCCCGCACACAAGTCTGCGTGCCAGTCCACAAACTTACTCCCGTTCTTGGGACCCGAGACGAGGACAAGAGTCGGCCTCTTGTCTGCAGGCAGCAGTGGCCGGCGGCGTTGCTTTGTGTCAGCGCACGCTGCTTGTGGGCGGCATCACAAAGGATTTAGGGCACCTTTTATACTGAAAAGTCTTCTTTGGAAGATGGAGAGAAAAGGGGCTCTCGGCTCCTTTGTGTTCTCTGAAGGTTTAATGAGGAGAGAGGGGCAGGCAGCGAGGGCAGTGGGGGGCCCACTTGTTCCACTTGTGGAAACAGTCCCTTCCCAGGACTTCCTGCAGGCCCCGTGAAGTGGGCGCCCCAGGGCTATTACCGGTACCGGGATCTTTTGTAAAGCTTCTATTCAGTACCTGGAACTGAAGAAGCAAGAGGGAAAATAAACTATTAAAATATAATACAAAATAATGAGACCTGCTGGGACCAAGCTCTCCCTTTGAGATTCAGGGCTCTACATAGCCTGACACGTGAAGGTTCCATGGGATAAAGTCTAGGAAAGCCACGCATGAATTCAGTGCACCTCAGAAGCACAAGCTATCATGGTTTAAGACCTATGACTGTGAATCCAGATGTTAAATGTGTGACTTTCAAATCCTTAAATCATGACTGTCCTTTCGGATTTAAAAGCACGCGATATCACAAAGCTCCACTGTCCCATGACTCAGTCGTGCAGATTTTCGCATGGCTTGGATGGATCACACTCTCCCAAATCCACCAGCATGCAGTGGAGACCTGAGTGTCCATTCCTACCTCTGGAGAAGCTGGAGACGCCGGCATAGGCTCCATGCCTCCAGTTTCCATTTGGAATTAGTATTGTATAATTATTACGAAGAGTCTGAGGGAAGGGGACAAGAAGGAAGCCATGAGAGGACAAGGACTTCCCTCGTAAGGGGCAACGAGGGCCAGGTTCAGTACAACAGGAGGGAGTAGCATGGAGCTCCAAGTGGGAGAGCAAAGGGCAAAGAGGAAAGGTCACCAGGAACATCCAGGACCTGGGCACGGCCTCCAAGCTGTGCAGAAAACACAGGGAAGGGGTTGGACTTGAAATCACTCTTGATGTGTTCATTCTTTTGATTGTAACACCACCCTGGAAATGAAGCCGGCGGCCCATGGCTCCAGGGGCACGTGTGGTGGTCAGCCACGCCCAGTCTGCACTGTGTCTCCTCATCTATCCATCATCCGGATGTCTAACTATGTGACCGCAAGTGAGCATTGCAGAAACAGCACGAAGCGTTCGGCAGGCACGCTGCCTCTCAGCAAGGGAGAGATGAGGAGGAGGGGATGAATGCAAGCAGGTGGTGTCCACATAAGTCCATGTGCAGAACTGTGCACAGTGAGTGCTGTGTTCCCAGCGGCACGCTCAGTTCCCGTGGGGAGAAGCAGGAACTGCAGTGGGCACCCGTGAGGTCACCCTGGAAGGGCACCCAGCGCCCTGTCGGAAGAAAAATGAGAGCTCTGAAGGCTTTGAAGCTGGAGAATGACATGATCCAGGCAATGGATTAACTTGGTGGCATCTTAGCAGTTGGGAAGAGGAGATGCCAATGGGTGTGGTCTGCAGAGGGTCACAGAGCAGAGACAGTTCCTGAAGAGATGATTTCTGGACAATAAAGGGGTCCCAGGGGGCGGAAGTTGCATAGCACCTGATCATAGTGTGCCCTGACGCTGGGAGACCGCTGCGTGCCCACCGACTGTCCACACACCTGATCGCGGTGCGCCCTGACGCTGGGAGACCGCTGCGTGCCTGCAACTGTCCACACACCTGATCGCGGTGCGCCCTGCTGCTGCAGGACCGCTTCGTGCCTGCGACTGTCCACACACCTGATCGCGGTGTGCCCTGATGCTGGGAGACCGCTGCGTGCCTGCAACTGTCCACACACCTGATCGCGGTGCGCCCTGCTGCTGCAGGACCGCTGCGTGCCTGCGACTGTCCACACACCTGATCGCGGTGTGCCCTGATGTTGGGAGACCGCTGCGTGCCTGCGACTGTCCACACGCCTGATCGATGCCACAGCGCACGGTAAGGTGGACTTTTTCCTTCACACGGATGCTTCACGATGGCATTGGCAGGGCATTTGGACAGTCGGTGGCACACAGCCATCTCGCGTCGGAGGACGCAGCAGTGCTTTAGGGCACTGGGCAGCCATGACCTCCTCACAGTGGTGCAGCTCGGGGTGCCTGGCGGCGGCGAGGACAGCCACCTTCAGGGACAGCACAGCTCAACCTCGGGCCTGGCCGAGCTCCTGGGTGCCCATTGGGCACTCTGGCCTGGATCAAGTTAAACAGGTCTTATGTGAGTCAAACCCCACATCCCTGCCAGAATTCTATTTGGGGCACTTAAAGGATATGCAGTGCTGTGAGACGCCTCATAGGGGAGGGGTCTGTCCTCGAGAATGACCCTGAAGGGTCGATGACAAGGTTAAGGTCACACGACCAGGCCCAGGTCAGGGGCAGCAGAGCAGAGTGGAGGACAGGGCAGCATGGGAGTGAGGGTCAGGGTGGGGTGGCTGCAGCCACACAGCAGCACAGCACGGTGGTCTGGGGCCCGCGGAGCAGCACCGCAGAGAGAGGGTGCTGGGTCAGCAGTGTGGTCCCATAAACCAAACCTGCCACGTGCTCTGTGTGGAGAGAAACAGAGAGGCCAGTCCCCAGTGCAGCATGTGAGAACCTGTAGCTGGTGATATCCTCCAGGTGGGACTGTGGGTGCAGCCAGGGGCTGGCGTGGTGAGGTGGGCCAGGAGCAGTGTCTGCATCGGGTGGGACTGTGGGCGCAGCCAGGGGCAGGCGTGGTGAGGTGGGCCAGGAGCAGCGTCTGCATCGGGTGGGACTGTGGGTGCAGCCAGGGGTGGGCGTGGTGAGGTGGGTCAGCAGCAGTGTCTGCATCGGGTGGGACTGTGGGCGCAGCCAGGGGCGGGCGTGGTGAGGTGGGCCGGGAGCAGTGTCTGCATCGGGTGGGACTGTGGGCGCAGCCAGGGGCGGGCGTGGTGAGGTGGGCCGGGAGCAGTGTCTGCATCGGGTGGGACTGTGGGCGCAGCCAGCGGCGGGCATTGTGAGGTGGGTCAGCAGCAGTGTCTGCATCGGGTGGGACTGTGGCGCAGCCAGGGGCGGGTGTGGTGAGGTGGGCCGGGAGCAGTGTCTGCATCGGGTGGGACTGTGGGCACAGCCGGGGGCGGGTGTGGTGAGGTGGGCCGGGAGCAGCGTCTGCATGGTGTGTTGCCCCAGCTGGGCTCTCTCTTTGGAGCTAGCGTGGATTAGTAGGGACAGCAATGAAGACCACTCCTCCAGACCCCGTTGGGCCAACACTGGGTCCAACTATACTGGACCTTGGCCCAGTGGCCTCCCCAGCAAGATCATATCTGATGCCAGCCTTGCAGCAGCACGGACGCCTTCTGTCCTCAGCACAGCCCAGAAAGTGCTCTTCACTCAGGCCATAATGTGAATGTGCCTGCAGGTGGGCCTCTGTCAGGGCCCCCAGGCACTTTGTGCCCTAAAGATGGACACCATGGGATCCTGACCCTAGCTGCCCAGGGACCACCGTATGCCCTGGAAATGGACACCATGAAGCATTTGACTATTAGTTCATCTGCACAAAGTTCTCCATAGGCCAAAAGCCACCCATCCTCCACCACTCTCCTTTACCTTTTAACAGGATGAGGGTGCAGGCCGTGACAGAGTCTGTCGAGGTCCCCCGCC